>NT_167248.2:2008750-2342034 GCF_000001405.40 Homo sapiens
AAGGCCTAAAATTATTATTAAATTGTCACCATTAAAAAAAAAATCAGTGGCCAGGCACGGTGTCTCATTCCTGTAATCCCAGCACTTTGGGAGGCCGAGGTGGGCAAATCACCTGAGGTCAGGAGTTCGAGACCAGCCTGGCCAACATGGTGAAACCCCGTCTCTACTAAAAATACAAAAATTAGCCTGGCGTGGTGGCAGGCGCCTGTAATCCCAGCTACTTGGAAGGCTAAGGCAGGAGAATCGCTTGAACCCGGGAGGCAGAGGTTGCAGTGAGCCGAGATCACGCTATCGCACTCCAGCCTGGGGGACAAGAGCAAGACTTCTCAAAAAAAAAAAAAAATCAGTAAGAAATGTATAAACCAGATATTCTCAACCTATCCCTGTGGGTTGAACTCATCCTATCTCTGACCCTGAGCCTTTCACATAAAATTTGGTAGTATTTGGTGATACTGCATTTTGTTTTAAAAAGTCAGGTAGATTGAAGTATAATTTAAATACAGTAAAATTCATCCTTCTTAGGAGTAGTTTTTGATGAGTTTTGATAAATGCATATAGTTTGTGTAAAGGCCTCCACCATGATGATATAGAGTTTTCCATCACCCCCAAAAGTTCCCTGCATCCCTTTGTAGTCAGTCCTGTCCCCATCCCCTATAGCAACCACTGATCAGACTTCTAACCTTACAGTTTTGCCTGTTCTAGAATGTCATATAGATGAAACTACAGGCTGGGCAAGGTGGCTCATGCCTGTAATCCCAGCACTTTGGGAGGCCGAGGCGGGAGGATCATCTGAGGTCAGGAGTTCAAGACCAGCCTGACCAACATGGTGAAACCCCGTCTCTACTAAAAATTAGCCAGGTGTGGTGGCGGGTGGCTATAATCCCAGCTACTTGGGAGGTTGAGGCAGGAGAATCACTTGACCCCAGGAGGCAGAGGTTGCAGTGAGCTGAGATCACGCCATTTCACTTCAGCCTGGGCAACAAGAGCAAAACTCCGTCTCAAAAAAAAAAAGAAAGAAAGAAAGAACGAAACTACAGTAGACACTCTTTTGTGTCCAGATTCTTTTGCTCAGTATAATATTTTTGTGATTCATCCATGTCATGGCATGATTCAGTAGTTCTTTCCTTTTGACTTCTGCATAGCATTCCATTGTATAAATATATGACAGTTGGCTTATTAATTCACCATTGATGGACATTGTGGTTTTTTTCTTATTTTTGGAAATGATGAATAAAGCTACTATGAACATTCATAGACAACTCTTTTTTAAGACATGTATTCTTATTTCTCTTGAGCAGATGTCTAGGAGTAGTATAACTAGGTGCATGTTTAGCTTAGTAAGAAATCGCTGCTGTGCCCAGTGGCTCACACCTGTGATCCCAGCACTTGCACCACGACGCCCAGCTAATTTTTGTATTTTTAGTAGAGACAGGTTTCACCATGTTGATCAGGCTGGTCTCAAACTCCTGACCTCAAGTGATCAGCCCACCTTGGTCTCCCAAAGTGCTGGGATTTCAGGTGTGTGCCACCATGCCCAGCCTAAAGGCAGAAGGATTTCTTGAGCCCAGGAGTTTGAGATCAGCCTGGGCAGCATGGAGAGACCTCGTCTCTACAAAATTAAAAAATTAGCCAGGTGTTGTGGTGCGCGCCTGTGGTCCCAGCTACTCTGGGAGGCTCAGGTCGAAGGATCACTTGAATCCAGGGGTCGAGGCTGTGGTAAGTCACATTCACACCACTGCACTCCAGCCTGGGAGACAGAGCGAGACCCCATTCTAAAAAAAGAAAAAATAAGGGCTGGGCTCGGTGGCTCATGCCTGTAATCCCAGCACTTTGGGAAGCTGAGGCGGGCAGTTCATGAGGTCAGAAGATCGAGACCAGCCTGGCTAACATGGTGAAACCCCGTTTCTACTAAAAATTCAAAAATTAGCTGAGCGTGGTGGTGCGTGCCTGTAATCCCAGCTACTCAGGAGGCTGAGCCAGGAGAATCGCTTGAACCAGGGAGTCGGAGATTGCACAGTGAGCCAAGATTGCACCACTGCACTCCAGCCTGGCGAGACTCCGTCTCAAAAAAAAAAAAAAGAAAAAAAAGAATTTGCTATGCTATTTTCCAAAGTGGTTCATACTGACAGAACTGTTTTAAGGAAGCTGCATCAAAATGTTCCTCTTGTAAATTCTTGCTTAAAATATGCCAAAACTAAGTGTTTTTTTTGTTATAGAACAGGTTGCCACTCAGATTACCTCAAGGGACAGAGATGGGCTGGAATAGAGCCACCTCAGTGGCCAGTAACCTGCCCCTTGAAGAACCAGCATGTCTTCCAGAAGCCACAGTGGCTTCCAGTGCCCAGCGGCAGCCCCAGGAGCACACCCTGCCTCCCTGCCCAGACTCCTTGTGGCTCAGCATCTCTGTCTGCAGTGACTGGCTCTGCCCAGGTCTTGTGGGGTAGTGTGAAGTGACACTAGCCCACACACCTGAGCATGTATGATGCCTCAGAGGCACTGTGTGTTTTTTTTTGTTTGTTTGTTTGTTTGAGATGGAGTCTTGCTCTGTCTGTAGCCCAGGCTGGAGTGCAGTGGCGCGATCTTGGCTCACTGCAAGCTCCAACTCCCGGGTTCATGCCATTCTCTCCCTCAGTCTCCCGAGTAGCTGGGACTACAGGCGCTCACCACCACTCCTGGCTAATTTTTCGTATTTTTAGTAGAGATGGGGTTTCCCCGTGTTAGCCAAGATGGTCTCGATCTCCTGATCTCGTGATCTGCCCACCTCGGCCTCCCAAAGTGCTAGGATTACAGGCGTGAGCCACCACGCCCGGCATAGGCACTGTTTTAAGAGCTATACTCAAATCAATTCATTAAGCCTTCATAACCCCAACTGTTATTTTATCTATACACCCATTTTACAGATGAGAAAAATGAGGTTCAATGAGGCAATTCACTTTCTTAAGGTTGTGTAACCAAGAAGTAATGGGAGTTAGATGTGAACCTAGGTCTATTTCATTCCAAAGCCTAGTGGCATACCTATTTGTCAGAGCATAGATGCTAGAGCCCATCTACCTGGGTTCAACTCCATGTTTGTTTGTTTGTTTTTTGTTTTTGATTTTGAGATGGAGTCTCACTATGTTGCCCAGGCTGGAGTGCAATGGCATGGTCTTGGCTCACTGCAACCTTTGCCTCCCAGGTTCAAGCAATTCTCCTGCCTCAGCCTCCTGATTAGCTGGGATTACAGGCATGTGCCACCATACCTGGCTAATTTTTGTTTTTTTAGTACAGATGGGGTTTCACTATGTTGGCCAGACTGGTCTTGAACTCCTGACCTCGTGATCTGCCTGCCTCGGCCTCCCAAAGTGCTGGGATTACAGGCATGAGCCACCATGCTTGGCTTGTTTGTTTTTAGAGTCAAGATCTTCCACTACAGCTCAGGCTGTAGTGCAGTGGCGCCATCATAGCTCACTATAGCCCCAAACTCCTGGGCTCAAGCAATCCTGCCACTTCAGCTTCCTGAGTTTCTAGGACTACAGGCATGTGCCACCATGCCCAACTAATTAAAAAAAATTTTTTTTTTTTTTTGGTAGAGATAGGGTCTCACTTTGTTGCCCAGGCTGGTCTCAAACTCTTGGCTTCAAATGATCTTCCTGCCTCAGCCTCCCAAAATGGTGGGATTACAGGTATGAAACACCATGCCTGGACAACTGTATGTTTTAATTCACTTAATTTTCATGGTACACCTCTGAGAGGAGGGCATGACAACACTCATTATACAGGTGCAGTGACAGCACAGAACTCTGTGAAGCAGGGGAATGACAGAGTTGAGTTTGGCATCCAGGAAGTTTGTCTCCAGAGACAAAGCTATTGACCTCAACACCTTCCTGCCTCTCAACAATCCTCATTATTAATGTTATTATTCAACCCACTGACCTAGCTCTTTTTGTCTTTGGGGTTTTACACTGCTCTGATGTTCATGTCCTTGCTTATGTCTTAAATTGAGACTCTGAATGGGTTGTGTACACACTCCCCAGGATACAGTAACCTTTTTGGGTATTCTCACCTCTGGCTGCATCACTGGCCTCTTGCCAGCCCTTGAGAACTGCCCCTAGCTCAAGCAAGGATCCTAATTTAGTAGATGAGGTCAGGGCCGGAAGATTATCTGCAGGGTGACCTATGCCCAAGGACTTACTCCCAAATACTTTTCTCAAGAGAAGGTGGTGTAACCAGAAGACACTTTAAGGTCTTGAGGCCATCCCCAAAGATCATTTGTTTCCTCAAACAGATTTTGGGCTTTTTCAGGTGAGAGACTAATCACTGAACCCACTGTCAGTATTCAGCAGTGTGCCTGATTGATATATACTAGGTACTCAATGGTTTTGACTGAATGATGAATAAATAAATGAATAAATAAAGAAGCCCAGATTCTCTTAATTTAGGTCTATGCTGTCTAATACAGTAGCATGTGGCTATTTATTTTATTTTATTTTTTGAGATGGAGTCTCACTCTGTCGCCCAGGCTGGAATGTAGTGGCATGATCTTGGCTCACTGCAACCTCTGCCTCCCAGGTTCAAGCAGTTCTCCTGCCTCAGCCTCCTAGGTTGCTGGGATTACAGGCTTGTGCCACTATGCCCAGCTAATTTTTGTATTTTTATTATTTATTTATTTATTTATTTTGAGTCAAAGTCTCACTCTGTCACCCAGGCTGGAGTGTAGTGGCGTGATCTCAGCTCACTGCAGGCTCTGCCTCCCGGGTTCACACCATTCTCCTGCCTCAGCCTCCTGAGTAGCTGGGACTACAGGCTCCCGCCACCACACTCAGCTAATTTTTTGTATTTTTAGTAGAGACGGGGTTTCTCCTTGTTAGCCAGGATGGTCTCGATCTCCTGACCTCGTGATCCGCCCGCCTTGGCCTCCCAAAGTGCTGGGATTACAGGCGTGAGCCACCGCGCCCAGCATTTTTGTATTTTTAATGGAGACGGGGTTTCACCATGTTGGCCGGGCTGGTCTCGAACTCCTGACATCAGGTCATCTGCCCACCTTGGCCTCCCAAAGTGCTAGGATTACAGGCGTGAGCCACTGCGCCCAGCTGCATGTGGCTATTTGAATGTAAATTCTAATGAGTCAAAATTTAAAATTCAGTTTCTCAGTTTCATTAGCCACATTTCAAGAGCACGATAATCCCATGTGGCCAGTGATTACCATATTTGAAAACACGGAAATAGAACATTTCCATCATTACAGAAAGATTTGTTGGACAGCACTAGGCTAGATGACAGATAGGGTGGGGGAAGAGAAAATGCTGCATTGGGAAAATGCTTGGTATAGGCTGACGGCTTTAATCTGCTTTTGACACTTTTAAAAGAGTCAAGATCACTTGTCTCTCATTAGATTGTATCGCACACTGCCCATTCAGAGGTCCAGAAACCACTTCTTCTTCAGAAATCTTGTACTGAGAAATGGAAGCCCATTTCTGATCACATACATGACCCATGCTTCTTCAGAAAGGAAGGCATGAAGTTGAAGGGGGAACTAAGACTGCTGAGTTCTTCTGTCTTCGGCCACAGGAAACTAACTGATTCATGGCACTTTGTACCCATGAGCTCATCTAGTCCTCCCAGGGCACAGGAAAGTGGTGAAAATAAGTGGCCATGGTTCACAGATTTTTCAGCTGGTAGAGGCTAGTTCCTACACTTAAAACATCAGTAGATTGTCAAATGTGTTCCAACTAAGAGCAGTGGAAGGCAGAAAGGTGTATAAAATATGGGTCTTAAGAGGTTTATAACCAAGTTAAGGGAAATTAAGAGATCAGCACATAAATATAAGTATACAAAACTGTAACTGTATCTGTAGCTATATGTGTGTGTGCATCTATTTATTATCTATCTACCTACTTATCTAATAACATAATTAACTAACATTTATTTGATATCTTAGAGCTTAACAAGTACTTTTCCTCATATGAAGACTCAGCAGATCCCCATGATGAATGTCAAACAAATGGAATGTTGGTACAGAGAGCAAGCATTCTAGGCATTCGCAGCCGGGTGAGATCACTGTGGATGGAGTGATGGGGGAAAGCTTTTGTTGAGGCAGAACCAGCAGGAATGTGGGGTAGTCACACAAACACAGATACAATTCCTGGTTTCCCTACTAGACACTTCCCAGGCTCTCAATTGCTTGTAGTTTTTGTTTGCTTTTTTTTTTTAAGACATGGTCTCACTCTGTGGCCCAGGCTGGAGTGCAGTGCCATGGTGTAATCATGGCTCGGTGCAGTGGTACTATCATGACTCAGTGCAGTGGTGCGATCATGTCTCAGTGCAGTGGTGCGATTATGGCTCAGTGCAGTGGTGCGATCATGGCTCAGTGCAGTGGTGCGATCATGGCTCAGTGCAGTGGTGCAATTATGTCTCAGTGCAGTTGTGCGATCATGTTTCAGTGCAGTGGTGCGATCATGGCTCAGTGCAGTGGTGCGATCATGGCTCAGTGCAGTGGTGTGATCATGGCTCAGTGTAGTCGTGTGATCATGGCTCAGTGCAGTGGTGCAGTCATGGCTCAGTGCAGCCTCGACTGCCAGAGCTCAAGCAGTTCTCCCTCCTCAGCCTCCTGATTTGTTGGGACCATGGGTGTGTGCCACCACATCTGGCTAATTTTTTGACTATTTGTAGACACAGGGCCTCGCTATGTTGTTCAGGCCGGTCTCAAACTCCTGGGCTCAAGTAATCCTCCTCGGCTTCCCAAAGTGCTGGGATTACAGGCGGGAGCCACTGCGCTGGGCCCACTGCTAGTAGTTCATTTTACTTTCTAAAAGATAAAATGTTGATGAAGAGTTCTTAGTGATCCATGTTTTCTCTCCAGTCCTCCACCAAAATAACACATTTTAAAAAAACAAACTCCCACATATTTTATAGTGATTCTACAAATGTAGAATAATTTGGATACTCTTAATACAAAATGGTTTGAGTTACCTTTATTTAATAATCCTGTGATGAGCATACAATGACATACGTCAAATAACTTACAACTCAGGCTTATATAACATCGGCTCTGCCCCAAATTCCTGCCGTGTAGAACACATAAAAATCCAACCCTGCAGTCTGACCAGTCTTGCCTAGGTTCTCCTTACATAATCATAACCACTTCCCTGCCAGGAGCAATTTTAAAATGTTCTTCTAAAGCCCTGTGCACTTCGCCTTGGCTTCCTTTAACTTTTCTTTTCTCTTTTTTTTTTTGAGAGGGAGTTTCGCTCTTGTTGCCCAGGCTGGAGTGCAATGGCTTGATTTCGGCTCACCGCAACCTCCGCCTCCCAGGTTCAAGCGATTCTCCTGCCTCAGCCTCCCAAGTAGCTGGGATTACAGTGTGTGCCACCATGCCCGGCTAATTCTGTATTTTTATTAGAGATGGGGTTTCTCCATGTTGGTTAGGCTGGTCTTGAACTCCCGACCTCGGGTGATCCGCCCACCTTGGCCTCCCAAAGTGCTGGGATTACAGGTGTGAGCAACCGCGCCTGGCCGGTTTCCTTTAACTTTTCTAAAGAGCTTCTACTTTTCTTCCTTGGCATTTGAATTTCTTTGGCTTCAAGCCACAAAAATGATTGTCCTTAACTTGAACAGAATAGATGAGTCTTGGGAGGATATTGAATAGCTCACAGAATCAAAGGAAGGCCAGAGAATCAGGCTCAGGAGACAAAGAACCAGGGTAGCTCCAGCGGATGAGGTAGCAGGAATCGACGGTGTTGTCCTGGCTACCTGCTGAAATGAGTAAGTGACAAAGGGTTTTTTCCATCCTTTCCATTTTGTTCATCATTCAAAGCCCTAGCAGAGAGAATCTGATCAGCCTAGTCTAGGTAAAGGCTAGGGGAAAAAGCACACCTTAACCATAGCTCATTAGGAATGCACACAGGTAATTCTCCAAGGAATCCAGTGACTGTTCTCAGGAGAAGAGAATGCATGCAGGATGGTCAAACCTCAGAAAATATCCACCACATTCGCATTTTCTCTTACCTCCATTTTCTACTTTTTCTAATTATCCACAACAGGGGTGACTAACATATCTTCCAAGGTTGTGAAAAATATATAGAAAAATAAATCTACCTGTATTGGAATTTTTCCCAGAAAGGATTAATGGTTGGGAAAGTTTGGCCCTACTTACCCCTCAGTGTTAAATATAAGGATTAAAGAAAATATATGCAAAATGCCTATTACCTTACTTGGCATGTAGCAAGGTTCATTAAATGTCAGTCCCATTTCACCCCTTCCCATTCACCCACTGTTGTGCTGAAGCCAGCTCACACCAGTTCATGAGAAGAATCATTATAGTTTCAGGAACTTTATGAGCCAACTGGCATAACATTGGTAGCTTGAAGTTGGCCTTTGTAGAGACAGAAAGATGTGATTGCTTTCTGCACCCATCCTGAGTCATGACCAATACTCCCATAACAAAAGACAGGCGAACAAAACAAAAGCATAACAAATTTATTTTATTTTATGTATCTATTTTTTTGAAACGGAGTTTCACTCTTGCCCAGGCTGTAGTGAAGTGGCATGATCATGGCTCACCATAGCCTTAACCTCCTGGGCTCAAGCAATCCTCCTGACTCAGCCTACAGAGTAGCTGGAACTACAGGTGCAGACCACCACACACAGGTAATTTTTTGTAGAGATGGGGTTTCACCATGTTACTCAGGCTGGCCTCGAACTCCTGGGCTCAAACCATCTGCTTGTCTCATCTTCCCAAAGTGCTGGGATTACAGGTGTGAGCCCCTGTGCCCGACCAACAAATTTATTTCATCAAAGTTTTACATGACATGGGAGCCTTCAGAAATGAAGACCCCAGAAATGCTCAGAGAAAACAATTTTTTTGATTAGTTTCGATGAAGAATGGACAGCCAAGGCTGGGTGCAGTGGCTCACACCTGTAATCCCAGTACTTTGGGAGGCTGAGGTGGGAGGATCACATGAGGCCAGGAGTTTGAGACCAGCCTGGCCAATATAATGAAACCCCGTCTGTACTAAAAATACAAAAATTAGCCGGGCGTGGTGGTGTGTGCCTGTAATCCCAGCTACTCAGGAGGCTGAGGCAGGAGAATCACTTGAACCTGGGAGACAGAAGTTGCAGTGAGTTGAGATCGTGCCACTGCACTCCAGCCTAGGCCACAGAATGAAACTCTGTCTCAGAAAAAAAAAAAAAAAAAGAACAGACAGTCATGTAGAAATGTGACTGAACACAGGCTGGGCACGGTGGCTTATGCCTGTAATCCTAGCACTTAGGGAGGCCAAGGCGGGCGGATCACCTGAGGTCGGGAGTTCAAGACCAGCCTGACCAACATGGAGAAACCCCATCTCTACTAAAAATACAAAATTAGCTGGGCATGGTGGTGCGTGCCTGTAATCCCAGCTACTTGGGAGGCTGAGGCAGGAGAATCGCTTGAACCCAGGAGGAGGAGGTTGCAGTGAGCCAAGATAGTGCCATTGCACTCCAGCCTGGGCAACAAGAGCGAAACTCCATCTCAAAAAAAAAAAAAAGAAAAGAAAAGAAATGTGATTGAACACAAAGTGAATGGTCGCATGGGAATAGGCTGAGGGAGAAAGCCAGCAGAGCCTGTCTGTTGGGATTCTGCTTGGTCTCTCTGTGCAGCATTCCTTCCTTCTGGATATAGGCAGGGACTCTCCAAAATAAGGGTTTTATGACCTACTATTAGAAAAGGTAGCTCAGTTTTTTTTTTTTTTTTTAATGAGCTGTGCTTATACAGAAAGGCAAAGGAAGGCTAGAGTAATAGTTCTAAGTTTTATGATTGGCTTTGGGGGAAAGACATTCTGGTTTCTTTGACCTGCCTTGGAGGAGAGAGGGGAGCAGGAGAAGGTCAGAGGCAGACTTTACTTCTCAGGTCCTTCCCATGTTCTTCTCAACTTGCCAAAATACCAAACTCTGGGGTATCATTTTCTGAGCCCCAACACCTTGATGGAAGTATTTACACCACAGAAATCGGAAATGTTGCAAGTCAGAACTTTCACCTACCCCCAGCCCTCCACTGCCTCTGAGAGTTAAACATTTACAGGCCACTGCCACATCTGCTCCTTTCTTTCCTTCACAAGTTGTGAGAAGAACCAAGTTAGCATTAGGTTGACCTGTGAGTGACAAAAACCGAATAGAACAATGGCTTCCTAGATGGAAGTCCATTTCTCTCTGACAGAAACAAAGTCCAGAGCCAGGCAGGCAGCTCGGGGCTGGGACAGCTCCGCCTTGCTGCCTCACTGTCTTTGATGCATGGCTCTTTGTGATTTAGGATGACTGCTCAGGCTCCATGTTCAGGCCAAGGGGAAAGAGAAGGACAAAGAAATACACACCCCATCCTAGTAGGTCCACAGACAGAAGTAACCCGTAACATTTCTGCTCATTTCAAATAGGTTGGAAGGAAGTCTCTCTGCCACATCTGGCTGCCAGGGAGGCTTAGAGCCCTGTTGCTTCCTGCAGGCAGCCATGTGCCCTGCTGGGGGCTGAGAAGGGGAGGACAGGGGCCGGGGGGCAGCTGAGAAGCCAGGTGGGATTCGAGAACATGTAGGGGAGAGGGAGAACTGGTGTTGGTGTGATGGGAATGAGCATAGTTTGTGGAACTCTGGGGGAGCTGACTGGAATAGAAAATTAAAAATACTGACAAATGAGGTTAAATAAACAAGGTGGAAGCCAGAGCTCAGTGAGGGACCAGGAAAGCAGACAAAAGAATCTTTATCTGCTGCCACTAGACACCGGAGGCACTGAACTTTCCAGCAGGGGAGCTACATGATCAGAGGCATTTCAGAAATGTTAATCTCACACTTAAGTGCTAGACAGATTGGAGGCAGGAGGAAAAACAGGAAGCAGCAGGGAGGTTGGAAAGGAGAATTATTTCATAAGCCAGGTGTGAGGTGATTATCGGGGAACCTGCCCCATTAGTCACGTAGGTTCTTTTCTATTTTCCTAAGCATCGGCCAGTTTGAGAAATAAAGGGACAGAGTACAAAAGAGAGAAATTTTAAAGCTGGGCATCCGGGGGAGACATCACATGTTGGTAGGTTCCGTGATGCCCCGCAAGCCGCAAAACCAGCAAGTTTTTATTAGGGATTTTCAAAAGGGGAGGGAGTGTGTGAATAGGTGTGGGTCACAGACATCAAGTACTTCACAAGGTAATAGAATATCGAAAGGCAAATGGAGGCAGGGCGGGATCACAGGACCACAGGACCGGGGCGAGATTAAAATTGCTAATGAAGTTTCTGGCACAATTGTCATTGATAACATTTTATCAGGAGACAGGGTTTTGAGAGAAACTGGTCTGACCAAAATTTATTAGGCAGGAATTTCCTCTTCCTAATAAGCCTGGGAGCGCTATGGGACACTGGGGTCTATTTCACCCCTACAGCCTCGACCATAGAAGATGGCCACGCCCAGGGGGGCCAGTTCAGAGACCCACCCCCAGGCGTGTATTCTCTTTCCCAGGGATGTTCCTTGCTGAGAAAAAGAATTCAGCAATATTTCTCCCATTTGCTTTTGAAAGAAGAGAAATATGGCTCTGTTCCGCCCAGCTCACCGGCGGTCAGAGTTTAAGGTTATCTCTCTTGTTCCCTAAACATTGCTGTTATCCTGCTCTTTTTTCAAGGTGCCCAGATTTCATATTGTTCAAACACATATGCTCTACAATTTGTGCAGTTAATGCAATTATCACAGGGTCCTGAGGTGACATACATCCTCCTTGGCTTACGAGATGACAGGATTAAGAGATTAAAGTAAAGACAGTCATAGGAAATCACAAGGGTATTGACTGGGGAAGTGATAAGTGTCCATGAAATCTTCACAATTTATGTTTAGAGATTGCAGTAAAGACAGGCATAAGAAATTATAAAAGTATTAATTTGGGGAACTAATAAATGTCCATGAAATCTTCACAATCCACATTCTTCTGCCATGGCTTCAGCTGGTCCCTCCGTTTGGGGTCCCTGACTTCCTGAACAGTGATTACATGGGGACAATGGGAATGAGGAGGAAGAATGAGAGGCATTTGCTAGAAAATGTATTCAAACTGATGGCTGGTCTGAAAGGGAGTTGTAGGCTGGGGTGATGAGAGACAGGTCTCATAGCAACAGGGTAAACAAAGTAAACTTGGCTTGGTTGGTGTTTTATTTATTATTATTATTTTTTTGAGATGGAGTTTTGCTCTTGTTGCCCAGACTGGAGTGCAATGGTGCAATCTCAGCTCACTGCAACCTCTGCCTCCCAGATTCAAGTGATTCTCCTGCCTCAGCCTCCCGAGTAGCTGGGGTAACAGGTATGTGCCACCATGGCCAGCTAATTTCTTTATTTTTACTAGAGACGGGGTTTCACCATGTTGGCCAGGCTGATCTCCAACTCCTGACCTCAAGTGATCCGCCCACCTTGGCCTCCCAAAGTGCTGGAATTACAGGCATGAGCCACGGCACCCGGCCTATTATTATTATTATTTTATTTCGAGACAGGGTCTTCCTCTGTCACTCAGGCTGAAGTGCAGTGGTGCAATCTCAGCTTTCTGCAACCTCTGCCTCCTGGGCTCAAGCGATCGATCCTCCCGTCTCAGCCTCCCAAGTAGCTGGGACTACAGGCGCATGCCACAAAGCTAGGCTAATTTTTTTTTGTATCTTTTGAAGAGGCAAGATTTTGCTGTGTCCAGCCTGTCTCCAGGCTGGTCTTGAACTCATGAGCTCAAAGCAATCTGCCCACCTTGGCCTCCCAAAGTGCTGGGATTGCAGGTGTGAGCCACTGCACTCGGCAGCAGTGTTTTAGATTGGGCTACCTTGAAGCAGAACCTGGGGTGGGGACTTTTGTTCAAGAGATACACTGCGGGAGGCTCTCAGGAGAAAGACTGAAGAAAACAGGATAGGGAAGGGAAAAAGGCTAAGCAAGGATGTGAGCTTCAGCCTGAGCTCATGGGGAAGCTCAGGGCAGCAAATTGCACCAGTCAATTGCACTTGGAGGCATGGGGGCTGGCGTTTTGTAGATCTGCTTTAAGGTCAGGCAGCCACTGGGAGTCTGTCCAGAGTGTGTGCAAGGGAGGAGGGCTTGGCTCCTGTTTGGCCCAGGGCAATTCTCCAGAAAAGGGGACAATTGTGTGTGGTTATCAGCTGATATTCCCAAAAGCTGGAAAGTGAGTGGACTCACTGGTGAAAAGGACCTGAGCCCAAACAGTGTCCATGATAGTGAATCCATTTTGGTTGTGTTGGATTTGAGGTGGCAAAGAAATAAGGAACTGGCATGTGACTGCGGGAAATTGGAGCTACAAGACAGGAGTTCAGGTGAAAAGATAGGACTAGGTATGTAGCTATTGGAGTGGGGGACTTCGGCGCACAGATGATAGGGTTTTTTGTTTGTTTGTTTGTGAGGGTTTTTTTGTTTGTTTGTTTGTTTGTTTGGAGAGAGGGTCTTGCTCTGTAACCCTGGCTGGAGTATAGTGGCATGATCATAGCTCTCTGCAGCCTTGACCTCCCAGGCTCAAGAGATCGTCTCACCTCAGCTTCTTGAGTAGCTGATACTACAGGTGTATGTCACCACTCCCAGCCAATTTTTTAAACATTTTTTTAGAGACTGGGGGTCTCACTGTGTTGCCCAGGCTGGTCTCAAATTCCTGGGCTCAAATGATCCTGCTGCCTCAGCCTCCCAAAGTTTTGGGATTATAGGTGTGAGCCATGGCGCAGGCCTAGATGATAGTTTAAACAAGAGGGAATTTGTATATTTGTCACTTTGGGGGTTGCTGGTGGCCTTTGAAGGAAGAGTTTCACAGCAGGACAGAGTACAAAACCATATGGTGACGTGAGGTCTAGTAATGCTTTCCACAGTTAATGTCCTTCCATTCTGACTAACTCTTAACACCTCTAGGGTACTTTCTCCTTCGACTTATGTGCTGCTCATTCTGGCTTGTCCTCTGTGTTCTGGTTATTTTTTGTTGTCCAACAAATTGCCTCAAAATTTTGTGGCATGAGACAACCCTTTATTACGTTCACGGATTCTGTGGGCCAGGAATTTGGACACACCGCAGTGGGGATGGCTTGTCTCTGCTCCATGTTATCTGGGGCTGCAGCTGGAAGACTCGAAAGCTGGGGGACTGAAATCGTCTGCAGACACTTTGCAGTGGATGCTGGCAGTTAGCTCAGGGACCTCAGGGTTTCTACCTGTGGTCTAGTTAGAGTTTCTCTTGCATAGTGGCTGGGTTGCTGTGAGGGAACCAGGCATGAACTGCTTTTTTTTTTTTTGAGGTGGAGTTTCACTCTTGTTGCCCAGGCTGGAGTGCAGTGGTGCAGTCATGGTTCACTGCAGCCTTGACTACCCAGGCTTAAGTGATCCTCCTGCCTCAGTCTCCCTGGTAGCTGGGGCTACTGCCAACATGCCTGGCTGATTTTTGTATTATTATTATCATTATTTTGTAGAGACAGGGTCTCACTATGTTGCCCAGGCTGGTCTCCAACTCCTGGGCTCAAGCAATCTGTCCATCTCAGCCTCCTAAAGTATTGGGATTACAGGTGTGAGCCACTGTGCCCAGCTGCATTCTTTTTATAACCTCATCTTTTTTTGATCTGCATCACCTCCCTCCTACCCTATTGGTCAGAGTAGTCACAGCCCCGCTCCCATTCAAAGAGAGGGAACATGGCCCCTACCTGGAGTGTCAGTCATGGGACAAGGAGAGCAAGTGGAAAGGGGCACCCAACTTTGGAAAATACCATCGGCCACACTCTATCGGAGCCTCCATTTGCTTTTTATGAGTGGCCTTCATTTATTTAGCTGTCATTGGGTCAACAATAACAGCAACTTGAGGAACCTCTTGAGGGCAGGGATCAGGCCTGTTACGTTTGTTTACTTTATCTTTATATCCTGAGCATTGGCCCAGGAATAAGTATCTGTGGAAGGACGGGATCCTTCTAAGTCTCTCATCTATTTTTCATACACGGCATCATTTAATTCTAAACTAGCTGTCATTACCATTTCACAATTGAAGAAACTGAGGCTTAGAGGCGCAAATGGTCTCTCTCAGATGACTCAGGTCTTCTGGGTTGATGTGGCTTTTATTAAGAACTTGTTGTCTCCAACAGCAAATAGCATTCCTAGGGGCTGGGGCTGTTTCTTCAAGGCCCCTGCCTCTGCACCCTGGTAGCAGCACAGGCCTAGCTGTAGGGCTGTGGACAGCGTGCCCTCGGCTGCTTACTGACTGGTTGGCATTTGATACATATGATGATTTAACATGAAGATTTAGTGTGATTTTGCATCTCTTCATGGGAGCAGGGTCAGGACCAGGTCCTGTTGCGGAATTCAGCTTTGGGGCTGGGTAGAAGACTGGGATGAAGTTGCTCCTCATCTCTGTGCCCTGGCTATGAGCAGGCAGCACCTGGGTCAGGAGTGTGAGGTGAGTGGGTGATGCTAAGGAGGGTTCAGGTGGAGCAGTCAGACTGTGCTGAGTAACTCCCCTGGAGGGGAAGGGGGACGTGGTGGAGGCAGTTCCTGGAGGCCCAGCTCAGAGCGGAGAAAGGAGCCAATTACCACCTCCTCCCAAGTCACATCCCAGCCCTGGGAATACTTCACAGGCTCCGGGGAAATCCCGGCCAAGTGGCAGAGTGGGTGGTGGGGTGCTTATCACTCATGATCAGGAGTGGGTGGGGGCGGATCTTAGAGCTTGCATCAGGCCTCAATTTTCCAACTCCTGCCTGTGATCCACCCCCGCGCCCACTGCACACCACCAACCAACCTTTGACTTTATCTCTTTAGTTGATTTCTCAGAGATTGCAGATCAGGAAGGGCCTTTGGAAACCACAGCTTCCACTTCCGCTGTGGGGGCAGAAAGCACGGGACAATCTAACCCTTTCGTGCCTGGAAAGTAACAAGGAGGACTCTGCCCTTACCAGGTTCCCAAGGTCCTGTACCAGCCCCACAGGGACTGCTGAGGGGAGCTTTTTCTCTCTGGTTCCTCATCCTCTCCTCTACTCAGGTGTAGGCTGTCCCTGCCTAGTTGGTCTGACAGTAGCTCCCTGCGACTTCTCATATCACCTCCGACTCCCCAGCCTCACCTCCACGGGCCCTGCTGCACTGGCTTCGGCTGTGTCTTTTGTGAGTCATCCTTGCTGCTTTGTTCCAGCCCCACTGATGGGCCTCCTGCCCTCCCCCATGCAGGACTTAGTCACCGCTCCTGTCATCAATCCCTCTGGAATGCACCCCTCCTCCAGACACCCATGCTCCCCACATCCTTTATTATTTTGTTAAAACTAGCAATGCCCCCCCCAACCCCCATGATTAAAATAGTACATGTTTGTTGTGGGAAATCTGTAATATGCAAAATATACACAAAAGAGAATAAAAAGCACCAATAATTCCATAACCCAAATTAGCTAACATTACATTCCGGTGGATTTCCATCTGGCATTCTCCTCGCCAGAACTCCGTCCAGCTTCAGGCCTTCATGTGTGCTTATTGCTTCTTTTACCTGCAGTCATGCTCTCTGTCTCTCCCCTCCTTCAATCTGTGAGCAAATCTACTCATCCTTATTATTTTAAGGGTCATTCTTTCAGAGAAACCTTCCCTCTACCCCCAAGCTAGTCTCTTTATTACACACTCACAATACCCAGTACTTTTCCTTGTAGTACTCACCACAACTAGAAATAAATCATCATTTTTGTCCTCTTGTGTTTAATGTCTGCCTAGCTACCTGACGTAAGGTCTGTGACTGGTTTTCTTGTTTACTCTGATGGCCCTAGCACCCATCACAGTGCCCTGTACTCAGAAAACATACATCATACCCAGATGCCTTCCCGGAATAACCATGTGCCTGTCTTCCCAGCACTTACAATAATCAATTTAACAAATATAATTAATCAATTACTATGTGCCTGGCTTGGTTTCAGGTACAGGATACCAAGCAAAATGACCCAGTTCTTACCCTCGAGGAGGTCTCAGTCTTTTGAGGGAGACAGATCAGTAATGGAAGCTTTCTAATGTACAGCTAAGTATACGGTGATCAATAGTGTTAGGTAAAGTGTGGAGGAGAGGTCCGTGAACAATCCTGGGGAGGTGACACCATTGTTTTATCTTGTTAATGCATTTACTTCACAGAATCACAGGATAATGGAATTGGACGGCACCATGAGATCAGCAGGCCCATCTCTTCCTGTACAGATGAGGAAACTAAAGTGGTGAAGGGTAGTGAAGCCACTTAGCCAAAGCCATTGGGTGACAGATCTGGGAATAGAACTTGGATCTTTAGATTCCCAGCCCAGGGCTCTTTCCACTGTACCTGGGGGCCTTTGGACTCCCCCTCCCCTCTCCTCTTATTCTGTTAATCCCCAAGTCCTTTGATTTTCCCCATGAAGGTCTCTCCAATCTCTCCACTTTTCCTCATCCCCACATCACCAGGCTCTAAGCCTCCAACATCATCTCCAGCCTGAGCACCTACCCTCACCTCCTACCTCATCTCTCTGCTTCTAGTCTTGCCCTGCTCAGATGCCTTCTCCACTCTGCCGCCAGAATGAGCCTCACAGATGTACGCATGTCTGTCCCTGGCTTAGAACTCCAGTGGCTTCCCACCAGGCTTTTAGAAATATACTCAAAATTCTTATATGGTGTATTAGTCAGCTCAGGCTGCCACAACAAAATATCCTAGACGGGGTGGCTTAAACAACAGAAGTTTATTTCTCACAGTTCTGGAAGCTGAGAAGTCCAAGACCAAAGTGCTGGCAAGGTCAGCTTTATTCAGACTTTCAGAGTCCTCTTTTCTTTCTTTATTTTATTTTATTTTATTTTATTTTTTTATTTTTTTTGAGACAGCATCCTGCTCTGTTGCCCAGGCTGGAGTGCAATGGCGTGATCTCGGGTTCAAGTGATTCTCCTGCCTCAGCCTCCCGAGTAGCTGTGACTGCAGGTGCCCGCCACCACACCCAGCTAATTTGATACTTTTAATAGAGACGGGGTTTCACCATGTTGGCTAGGATGGTCTCGATCTCTTGACCTTGTGATCTGCCTGCCTCGGCCTCCCAAAGTGCTGGGATTACAGGCGTAAGCCACCACGCCTGGCCTCTTTCTCTTTTTTTTTTTTTTTTTGAGACAGAGAGAGTCTTGCTCTGTCACCCAGGCTAGAGTGCAATGGCATGATCTCGGCTCACTGCAAACTCTGCCTCCCAGGTTCAAGTGATTCTCCTGTCTCAGCTTCCTGAGTAGCTGGGATTACAGGCGCCCACCACCATGCCTGGCTAATTTTTTATTTTTAGTAGAGACGGGGTTTCACCATGTTGGCCAGGCTGTTCTCAAACTCTTGATCTCAGGTGATCCACCCTCCTCAGCCTCCCAAAGTGCTGGGATTACAGGTGTGAGCCACCGCACCTGGCCCAGAGTCCTCTTTACTTCGTTGTAGGTGGCCGCCATTTTGCTCTGTACTCACATGGCCTCTTTGTGCATGTGGGGAGAGAGAGCTCTCTTGTGCATCCTGTTCCTTTTATAAGAACACCAATCCCATCAGATTAGGGCCTCACCCTTAGGACCTCATTTAACCTGAATCACCTAAAAACCCTATCTCCAAATATAGTCGCATTGAGAGTTAGGGGTTCAACATACGAATTTGGGGGGACACAATTCATTCCATAGTGTAGGGTCCACTGGGCCTTTTTTGGTTGAGCCCACCTTACCAGCCTCTTCTAAACCCAACTCACCTCTCTGTCTGTACGCTTTTATATCTTGGAATTTTTTTGGTTCCTCCGACTTGTCTGGATCTCTTGTAGCTCAGGTTCCCCCTCCCCCTGCTCTGATGTTTTTATATTTTCATCATTTTCAAGTCTCAGTTTGAACATTAGCTTCTAGGAGAGGCCTTCCCTGATCTGCATCCTGTGTTAGGTCCTCTGGCTATACATGCCTATGGTACCCTGAACTCCACCTTGTGTAAGAGTCACCACCTCAGTCCTGTGTGTTTCATATCTGTCCTTCTGAGCTCCACAAGGCAGGAAGATCTCTGTCTGGTTGGTTGCAGTATCCCCAGGGCTAGCACAGTGCCTGGTGCCTACTAAGCAGTCAAGATTAACTTTTACTGGTAGATGCTCAATACATTTCCATTGACCTGAGCTGTCCTCAGAGAGTATATGTATTTTGTTGTCTAATTTGGGTTGAAATCTCTCAGAAGGGTCCTATCTGTTCCTTACTTGAAATCTCCTATCCCGTGCCCATCCTGGGCTCCTTCATTCAGGAAACATTCCCATAAATGATTATTAACTGATCTCCCTACAACTTTCCCAACATGTATCACATTTGAAGGAACAATCATATTTAAAAGAATATGTTACATAGCAGGACAGTTTATTATGAATGTCATGTAACAACAATCTACTGAGAATTAAAAAGAAACTAAAGTGTTCCTCTCCTCTCCCACCTCTGGGCAACCAGGACTTCATTTCTTTGAAATTGTGGATTTCCTGACCCCTGAGGTGTTTGGCTTTTTGTGTATGTTTTAGAAGGAACAGAAAGAATCAGGCTGGGTGGGGCTGTAAAGGAAACCCACCCTAAGCAGGCCTCGTTTTGGAAGAGCTGGAAAGATACCTGTGGTGCCAGATGGTATGAGAGTACAGGGTGTGAGGGCAGGAGCCTACTTCTTGGTTGACTCTTAGACTTCCATGGACTCATGGAAAAGAGAAGGGGTGCAGGCTGGGCACAATAGCTCATACCTGTAATCCCAGCACTCTGGGAGGCCGAGGTGGGCAGATCACTTGAGGTCAGGAGTTTGAGACTAGCCTAGCCAACATGGTGAAACCCCGTCTCTACTAAAAATACAAAAATTAGCTGGGTGTGGTGGTGGGTGCCTGTAATCTCAGCTACTCGGGAGGCTGAGGCAAGAGAATCGCTTGAACCTGGGAGGCGGAGGTTCCAGTGAGCTGAAGTCATTCCACTGCACTCCAGCCTGGGCAACAAGAGCAAGACTCTGTCTCAAAAAAAAAAAAAATCAGAATGGTGGTTAGTTTGGAGTGAGGTGGGCAGGAAAGAGGGTGCTACATATTGACTGCAAGGGAAACAAGGGAGACTCCTGGGTTGAAGCTATCTTGTCTAGATGGTGGTTAAATGGGTAAATATAAATGTAAAAGCTCATCGGTTTGTTTCCTGCTGATAGCCAATTAGTTAATTAATTTAATTTAAAAAAACTAATTGGGGCCAGGTACACCGGCTCATTCCTGTAATCCCAGCACTTTAGGAGACTGAGGCAGGAGGATTGCTTGAGCCCAGATGTTCAAGACCAGTCTGGGCAACATGGTGAAACCCTGTCTCTGCAAAAAATACAAAAATTATCTGGGCATAGTGGTGCACGCCTGTAATCCTAGCTGCTCAGGCTGAGGCAGAAGGATCACTTGAGCCCAGGAGGTTGAAGCTGCAGTGAACCATTATCATGCCACTACTCCAGCCTGGGCAACACAGTGAAACCTTGCTTAAAAAAAGAAAAGAAAAGGAAAAGGAGAAAAACATCAAACTGCATACATTTTTAAAATGAAAAAAGGAAACAAATTACTGACACATGCAATGACTTGGATGAATCTCAAAGGCATTACGCTGAGTGAAAAAAGTTCTCAAAAGTTACAGACTGTATGATTCCATTTATGTGACACTTTTGAAAAGATAAAACGATAGCAACAGAGACTAGATCAAAATAGCAAAATAGCAGGGAGTTTGTCGGGGGCAGGAAAGAGGATGGGACTACAAAGGGGTAGCCCGAGGGAGTGTTTTAGGCAGTGGAGCTATTCTGTTTCAGTGGTGGTGATTACATGATCGATTGTGGTGATTACATGAATCTTTACACATGTGAAACTCATAGGACTGTCCACTGAAAAAAATCAATTTTACTTTATGTTAATTTTTAAAATAAAATTATTTTTAATTAAGAAGAGACCTTCTAGCCCCTCAATAGCGCAGAGGAGTTCCTGAAAGGAGGCGCTAAGGAACTGGCTACCCTGGAAAAGGCATACCACCTTCCCCGCCCTGCCCTGTACCAGGCCTGGGGATCTTCCTGGGCCCTCTGTGGTTCTCACTCTCCTTCCTTGTCCTCCTGCTGGGCCAGAGTGACCCACACATCCCCTCCTTTAGCATCTAAGTCTCGGGGTCTAGGAAGCCAGTGTGCTTTGCTCACTCCTACGTCCCCGGTCCCTGAGACACAGGTACGAGGTGGTTGCTCATTGACAGAGTGAAGGAATGTTCTAGCACCAGGCCTGATCCGTCTTGGCACACTCCACAGGCTTTTCTATGTTTAGCCTCCTTTCCAGCTGCCCAGAGGACACGCCATAGCTGGGAGACATCACTGTCGAGGTGTGGGTCACAAGCTTACCCCTCCCATGAGGCAGGGTTACCAGCTTTCCTATCGTTTGAAGAATTTAGCAATCTGAGTTTATTATTGCTGTCATTCTAATTTTGAAATACATTTTTATTATACAAGAAAATCTGTTCAATTAAAAAAAAAACAGTTAAAAAAAAGGGAGATCCGGTCCCACTTCCCAGACTCATAACTGTTACTAGATCCTTCTCTATCTATCTAGAAACATTTATGTGAAGGTAGGCATGTATGTCCACATATATGCAACAGATATGATTGCCCCACAGCTCCTGGGCTACAAGTAATGTCTTGTTTCTTTGTGGACTCACTCAAATAGACTCTGGGTCCAGCCCTGCCCACCACTGACTGGAACTCCAGTGTCAGACAGTTTTCAGGCTCCCTCCCTCAGGTCATACAAGATGCCCAGACTGATGCAGTACTGATGAAACGGAAGAGTCTGTTCCTCTGGCCACATGGTCAGCACTTGCCAGCTGCTTGCCCAGGTCGGTGGGGACCATTATGAGTCAGGCTGCTGGTGGGGTGTGGTGGCTCACGCCTGTAATCCCAGCACTTTGGGAGGCCAAGGTGGGTGGATCACCTGAGGACAGGAACTCCTGACCTAAGTGATCTGCTCTCCTTGGCCTCCCAAAGTGTTGAGATTACAGGCGTGAGCCACTGCGCCTGGCCTATTCTGACTTCTGTTACCATAAATTGGTTTTGTCTGGAAGGTTTCTAACAATTGTGGTGCAAGTTTTATAACCCACCTGGTTTTGTCTTGGGAATTAGAAGTCTCTCAATGTTTTGGAGAGAGATTCTGATGCCCCTCACCAGAAGTCATGCTCTGGGGCCAGTGAGCAAAGATGAGCTTCTTATCCTTTTTCTTCCTGGGTTCCAGCAAGCCAAGCCTCACAGCAGTGTCCAAAAAGTTGGTAGAAAAGGCCTAATTTTTTTTTTTTTTTTTCAGGCAGAGTCTGGCTCTGTCGCCCAGGCTGGAGTGCAGTGGCGCGATCTCGGTTCACTGCAAGCTCCGCCTCCCGTGTTCCCGCCATTCTCCTGCCTCAGCCTCCCTAGTAGCTGGGACTACAGGCGTCTGCCACCGCGCCCGGCTAATTTTTTTTGTATTTTTTAGTAGAGACGGGGTTTCACTGTGTTAGCCAGGATGGTCTCGATCTCCTGATCTCGTGATCCTCCCGCCTTGGCCTCCCAAAGTGCTGGGATTACAGGCGTGAGACACCGTGCTCGGCCTTTTTTTTTTTTTTTTTTTTTGAGACAGAGTCTTGGTCTGTTGCCGAGGCTGGAGTGCAGTGGCACCATCTCAGCTCACTGCAACCTCTGCCTCCTGGGTTCAAGTGATTCTCCGGCCTCAGTCTCCCAAGTAGCTGGGATTACAGGCACACACCACCTCGCCCAGCTAATTTTTTGTAGTTTTAGTAGAGATAGGGTTTAGCCATGTTGGCCAGGCTGGTCTCGAACTCCTGGCCTCAAGTGATCCGCCCACCTCAGCCTCCTAAAGTGCTGGTATTACAGGCATGAGCCACTGTGCCTGGCCAGGCCTAGCATCTTAAAAACCCAGTGGAGGGGAAGGTCACAGTCCTAGGAATCAAAAGGCATGGGTTCACTTCCTCTCTCTGATATTTGCTGCATGTTCTTGAACAAACTATGTAAACTTCTTGAGCCTCAGCTATTTCATCAGTAAAGTGGGAACAGTAACATCCACTGTGATTATCAGACCTATTTTTAAATACTTGAGGCCCTCTTTCCTTCAAAGGGTGTAAGAAAATTGAACTTTGCCACTCCATTTAACTCCTACCCACTAATCCAGGCGTGGCTACGTGACTTACTGAGGCCAATTAAAATGGTGCCTTCTAGGTGGAAGTTTTAAAAGCTAGTGTATGCTTTTCCACATTTTTTTTTCTCCTTCAACTATAGTAATTGGTGATATTCCACATAGTGGCTGCTCTGTCAACCTGGGTCCTGGAGTTAGGACAATGACAGCTCAGAGCAGAGCCTCGGCCAACCCACCATGGATATGTGGCAGGAGAGTCAATGAAGCTTTGCTGCATAAAAGCCATTGAGATTTGGGGGTTGTTTGTTACTGAAGCATAACCTAGCCTGCTTGGTTGATATACCACATTACACATTTATTACTAAGATTATGTGAAGTAAAATGTTTGGAACTTCTTGGTACATAATAAAGCTGATTTTCTTCCTTTCAGACTCTCCTTTTTTCTTTCTAAGAGTCATGAACCCAGGGATACTTTTTTTTTTGAGACAGAATCTTGCTCTGTTACCCAGGCTGGCGTGCAGTGGCGTGATCATAGCTCACTGCAGGCTTCCCCTCCTGATCTTAAGTAATCCTCTCCCACCTCAGCCTTCCGAGTAGCTGGGATTGCAGACATACCCTGCCATACCCAGCTGATTTTTTTATTTTTTGCAGAGACAGGGTCCCACTATGTTGCCCAGGCTGGTCTTGAACTACTGGGCTCAAGTGATCCCCCTGCCTTGGCCTGCCAGAGTGCTGGATTACAGGCATGAGCCACCGCACCTGGCCCCCAGGAATGTTCTTACCAGCTTCTAACCCTGGCTAAAGGGCAATAGAACAGAGAGCCACTCAACCACAAAAGAAAAAGGAAGAAGAAAGGATATAAAGCAACAAAGGTACAGAAATGTAATACAGAGGAAAGGAAAAGAAACAAAGTGATAAAGAAGGCGAGACAAAGTACAAAAACAGGGAAGAAAGAGGTACAGAGGGCCAGGCAGGGTGGCTCACGCCTATAATCCCAGCAATTTGGGAGGCCCAGTCAGATGGATCACCTGAGGTCAGGAGTGCAAGACCAGCCTGGCCAACATGCTGAAACCCCGTCTCTACTAAAAATACAAAAATTAGTTGGCCTTAGTGGTGCAGGCCTGTAATCCTAGCTACTTGGGTGGCTGAGGCATGAGGATCGCTTGGAACTGGGAAGCAGAGGTTGCAGTGAGGTGAGAGTGCGCCACTGCACTCCAGCCTGGGCCACAGAGTGAGATTCTGTCTCAAAAAATAAAAAATAAATAAATAAATAAAAATAAAAAAAACCAAAACAAAACAAAACAAAAAAACAGGTATAAGGGATGTCTGAGGCATAGACAGAGGTGATTCTCAGAAAAACAAAAGAAAACAAAAGGAAAAACCACTGAGGCAAAGGGAAACTGTATTTCTTGGAATTGTTGGCCCCAACCCCAGGCAAACAACATTTTCCCTTAAGACAAATGAACAAACAAACTTTGGCAAATAGAGCTTCTGGGTGTGCATTTATCAGTCTTTCCACTCGGTTTACTGGGCGCCTACTCTGTGCCTGACATTGTGCTTGGGCTGGCTTTACAGGGGCAACCAAGACCTAGTGCTGGCCTCTGCCTTCAAGGAGCCCCTAGACTGGTGTGAAACAGACACAAGAACAGTTGGGATTCAATCTGGCTTGTGCAATGATGGAAGTGCCAGGAGGAATTAAGGGAAGAGAAGGGGAAGCAGGCCCTGCAAAGGGGCTTTCTGGAAAATTTGAGCCTGAGTGTCTTGAAGGATAACTAGGAGTTAGCAATGGCAAGGTTTCTGAGGAGAAAGAGGGACCACGATGGGCAGAGGGGCAATAGGAGCCAGGTAGCTGCAGGTAGTCTGGGGTTGCTGGACCCTTGATGAGAGGCTGTGGGCAGCAGGAGATGAGGCTGGAGAGGGATTCAGGGTCCTATCACAGAGACTCAAATGTTAAGATGTTGGTCTTTAAGTGGATGGGCTCGGGGATATTTGGGCTGTTATGTGGGGAAGTGACATGGTCAGATTTTTAGCTAAATTGCTCTGCCTGCCATGTGGACAGTGTGTTGGGGCAGCATTTCTTTGCATGAGGTCTCTGGGGATTGGGCTGAATACCCACCCAGCCCAGGGCCTGCAAGTGGACAGGATGGCCTCTGGAAGAATCATCCTAGCCGCTGCTTCATCAGTGTCTCAGGGGAGTGATGGCTATCTGCGGTGGTGGCGTTGGGGTAAAAGAATTTACCAGCCGGGCGTAGTGGCTCACGCCCATAATCCCAGCACTTTGGGAGGCCGAGGCGGGTGGATCACCTAAGGTCAGGAGTTTGAGACCAGCCTGGCCAACATGGTAAAACTCTGTCTCTACTAAAAATACAAAAGTTAGCCGGGCGCGGTGGTGGGTGCTTGTAATCTAATCTCAGCTACTCGAGAGGCTGAGGCAGGAGAATTGCTTGAACCTGGGAGGCGGAGCTTGCAGTGAGCCGAGATTGCGCCACGGCACTCCAGCCTGGGTGACAGAGTGAGACTCCATCTCAAAAAAAGAAAAAAAAAATTTACCAAGGCAGTTGTAGGTAGAGAAAGGCAGATTTATTACAGTAATTAGGAAAACGCCAGGGTTGCAGGGAGGTAACTTGCATTTTTTTGTCAGCTGGGATGTCTGGAAAGTTGAAGTGTTTGATGGTAAGCAGGAAGTTTGTGAGTTCTGCTATCTGAGTAGGAGCTGGGGCTTGTAAAGCAGCCAACAGTTGAGCCTGCCTTTTGGCTCCGTGTTTGTTTTTTTCTTAGTCTTGTCCTCCTTATTTTGTTCTTGGTTATAAAGACTGAGGAGGCTAATTTGGTAATTTTCTGCATAGGGGTCATGCTGTGTTATACAAGAAAATTAGATGTTTCTTTTTGAGAGTTTGGCGGTAGAATTTGTCACAATTCTTTACAGCCTAGAGGCAAGTTTGCAGGAACGGACGGGGTTTGCTCCATGGTGGGACTGGAAAACATGCCGCTCTGGGGCAATGTCAATCAGGGACATGAACTGCACTTTTCTGCGGGGGGCATCTCACTGAGATGAACAGAGGGTTCCACTTACATCCACAGAGGGACTTGGATGCACTTTCCAAAGGGGGCATCCCACCAATTAGAAAAGACCTCCTGGCCGCTCAGGGGCCTCATGCTGGATGGCCAGTCCAGGCACTCACTTATGCTGGGTGATCAGCCCAGGCACGAGGAAAAAGAAGGGTAAAGGAAGATCTCTACCTGGTCTTGGCCCAGGAGGTGGGGTGGGTAAGAGAAGACTCACCGTTCTGAGGCTGTCTGACATCACCTGATTTAGCAAGGCCCAGAACAGGATGGCTGGCTGACTCCATAGGTGAATTTAGAGTGAGAAAGAGAGCGTCTGAGTTACCTAAAACGTGTGTGAGTTTGCCCCGAACAAGCTTCTGCTGTCAATTGTGTCACATATAGGGATGAGGGACTTGCAATTAGAGAAGATGGGCAACAGCCTTTCTCCCTTCCAGGCAGGGCAGCTAGCCCTGTTCACTCTGGGCCTTCAGGCAACACTGGAGAGTGGCCCTGGCCAGTTACCTTTGATTGCCAGAGAGATACTAGAAGCTGGTTGCTGAAAGACTGAAAAAAGAAAAAAAGTCAGGTCACTCACCCAAACCAGGCAATGATGATCAGATGCTTCCACATGGACAGACACCTTTCAGTCTCACTGGAGTGTAGCTCTGGCCAGAGACCTGCAATTGTCTTTGTGCTTAGATGCTGTCCTTCGAGGGTCCCGAGTTGGGAAAGGGAAAGGAGAGAGAGTCCCTGTATGGAGAGGGAGAGTTCCCTGTATGGGCCACCAAAATGTTTCAGGGGAGCAACGGCTATCTGGGCTGGCGGCTCAGGGGTAAGAGAATTTACCAAGACAGTTGTAGGTAGAGAAAGGCAAATTTATTAGAGAAAGTAGAAAAACAGGAGAGCAATGGGCAGGAGAGCAACGGGCAGGCCAGCAGAAGAGGAGCTGACTGCAAGGAAACAAAGGCTTGTTGGGGATTTTGTAGGATGGCTCTTAGGCTGTAGAGTGTTATGTGCAGTACTGATTATGCCAGGGTAGCAGGGAGGTAACTTGCATTTTTTTTTTTTTTTTTGTCAGCCAGGGTGTTTGATAAATTGAGGTGTTTGATGGTAAGCAGAAGTTTTTGAGTTATGTACATTATCTGAGCAGGAGGGCCATATGTCTTGGGCCATTTGCCTCATTTCTTTGCTTTCCCCTGGTCCCACCAGCCTGATTTGTTTTTTAATTATTACTCAACAGTGAGTGCTGTCACATGCTGGGCATTGTGCTATGTGCTCTATGTGGAGTAACTCACTTACTGTCCCCCTATCCCCCAAGACCATCCTGTGACATGGGCATTCTTTTTTTTTTGAGATGGAGTCTTGCTCTGTCACCAGGCTGGAGTGCAGAGGTGTGATCTTGGCTCACTGCAACCTCCGCCTTACGGGTTCAAGCGATTCTTCTGCCTCAGCCTCCTGAGTAGCTGGGACTACAGGTGCGTGCCACCACGCCCAATTAATTTTTGTGTTTTTAGTAGAGACGGGTTTTCACCACGTTGGCCAGGATGGTCTCAATCTCTTGACCTGGTGATCCACCTACCTCAGCCTCCCAAAGTCCTGGGATTACAGGCGTGAGCCACCACACCCGACCAGACATGGGCATTCTTATCCTCATTTTGACTGAGTAACTGGGCACAGAGAGGCTGTTATGCATCCCAATTGCAGAGCTAGGCAGCGGCAAGCCCACTTTCACACAGCGCCAGCTGCCTGGCTCTGGGATCAGCCTGTAGTCACTCTCCATTCTGCCCCTCAGGATCTGCTTCTCCCAGGAAGCCTCTCACAGAGGCAGAATTTTGCATTGGCATCCTGCTTCAAGCTTATGAAATCTTCTATACAGATGACCTCATTCCAGCCTTGCAATAATAGCTTCTGTGAGGTATTATTATTCATAGCTTTAAAAAAGCCAGTTGAAGGAAATCCAGTGATTTGTCAAAGGTCAGAAGTTAGGTGGCCGCTCTCCTGCTCAGACTTACGTTTTCTGACTTGGAGTACAGTGCTCCGCTCTCACGTTATCTGTCAGCTGACGCTGCAGCCAGCCTCATACTCAACACATCACATGGTTCGAAGGCTAGGCCACTTTCCACTACTATTGAGCTGCCTCCTCTCTATGAAAATGCTTTTCTGGATTGAGGGAGACAGTCATAGAGAAATGTGTTGTTGGCATCGATTTCCTATGGTTGGGCAATGGCTTCCGCCATCTGGACCAGGTGACGTCAGCTATCTGGATTTCTGCCAGCATTCCCCGGCCCAGGAAACAGACTTCCGGCTGTCTGGGCTCTGAGCCATCTTCGGCCTCCTGGGTGAGTGGGTCTTGCAATTCGCAAAGTGAGGAACTGAAAAGTCAGCTCTCAGGGAAGATTTCACTGTATAAAGTCAGGTAAAAATGGGGAAGAGGCATACTGGGTCAGAGAGACAGGGAGCCCTTCTATCTGAGTCTGGGGCCTTTCTCAGATGAGAGGGGAGGATCTAGTGATCAGACAGGGAAATTGAAGATCTTTGTGACTAAGACTCAAGTCAATTGGGGGTAGATGAGGAGTAAGGTAAGCAAAGCTAAAGAAATCTGGGGAAAGATACACATAAAGATACAAACACAGAAGGTCAAATACTGGCCAAGGATAGAATGTTGATCCCAAAACTCATGCACTTTTCTGTGGACACTGAGACTTGAACAAATCAATAACTTGAGAATGTAAGCAGCCCTCTGCCATGTTATACTTTGTTGAGTTATATAACAGTTGGGGGAAAACCTAAACAATGGTACATGTGTTAAGGTAGACAGTTAAATTGTCCCTCCACCACTCCCTGTCTCATTCCCAACCCTGCTCTCCAGGCCAGGCTCATAAAAGTTGTTACTCATTTTAGCCATTCCTTCAGCCAATATTCATCTTATTCATTCTTACAATCACCCTGTGAGGTAAGAGCTATCATTATGCCTTTATTTTGAAAATTGTAGTAAAATAGACATAGAATTTAGCATTTTAACTGTTTGTAAACATACAGTTCAGTGGCATTAGGTACATCCACATTATTGTGCAACCATCACCATCAGCCACATTCAGAACTTTTTCATCTTCCCCCACTGAAACTCCACCCAGCAAACAATACCTTCACATTCCCCACTTTCCTTAGCCCTGGCAACCACCATTCTACTTTCTGTAGAATGTAACCACTTTAGATGCCTTTTATTTTATTTTTTATTTATTTGTTTTTTTGAGACGGAGTCTTTCTCTGTCACCAAGCCAGAGTGCTGTGGCACGATCCTGGCTCACTGCAACCTCTGCCTCCTGGGTTCTAGTGATTCTCCTGCCCCAGCTTCCCGAGTAGCTGGGATTACAGGAACACGCCACCACGCCCAGCTAATTTTTGTATTTTTAGTAGAGACGGGGTTTCACCATGTTGGCCAGGATGTAGGTGCCTTTTATAAGTGGAATAATAGGCTGGGCGCGATGGCTCACACGTGTAATCCCAGCACTTTGGGAGACCAAGTCTGATGGATCACTTGAGGTCAGGAGTTCGAGACCAGCCTGTCCAACATGGCAAAACCCCATCTCTACTAAAAATACAAAAATTAGCTGGGCATGCTGCCGTGTGCCTGTAATCCCAGCTACTTGGGAGACTGAGGCACAAGAATTGCCTGAACGCGGGAGGCAGAGGTTGCAGTGAGCTGAGCTCACACTACTGCACTCCAGCAAGATTCTGTCTTAAAAAAAGTGGAATCGGCCAGGCATGGTGGCTCACGAGTGTAATCCCAGCACTTTGGGAGGCCGAAGTGGGCGGATCACCTGAGGTCAGGAATTCAAGACCAGCCTGGCCAACATTGCGAAACCCCGTCTCTACTTAAAATACAAAAATTAGCTGGGCGTGGTGGTGGGCGCCTGTAATCCCAGCTACTTGAGAAGCTGAGGCAGAAGAATCGCTTGAACCCAGGAGGCGAGTTTGTGGTGAGCCGAGATCGCTCCAGCCTGGGTGACAGAGCAAAACTCTGTCTAAAAAAAAAAAAAAAGGTGGAATCATAAAATATTTTTCCTCTTGTGATTGGCTTTTTTTTTTTTTTGAGATGGACTTTTGTTCTTGTTGCCCAGGCTGGAGTGCAATGGCACAATCTTGGCTCACCGCAACCTTTGCCTCCCAGGTTCAAGCTATTCTCCTGCCTCAGCCTCCCGAGTAGCTGGGATTATAGGCATGCACCAACACACTGGGCTAATTTTTTGTATTTTTGGTAGAGACAGGGTTTCTCCATGTTGGTCAGGCTGGTCTCAAACTCCTGACCTCAGGTGATCCACCCGCCTCAGCCTCCCAAAGTGCTAGGATTACAGGCATGAGGCACCACGCCCGATCATGATTGGCTTTTATTTCACTTAGCAGGATGTCTTCAAGGTTTATCCACATTGTAGTGCATATCAGAATTTTCTTTTTAAAAAAATATTCCATTATATGTATATATGTATTATACAATTTTTTTTTTTTTTTTGGGTGGAGACAGAGTCTCCTTCTGTTGCCCAGGCTGGAATGCAGTGGTGCGATCTCAGCCCACTGCAACCTCAGTCTCCCTGGCTCAAGTCAACCTCTCACCACCTTAGTCCCCTGAGTAGCTGGGACTACAGGTATGCACCACCATGCCTGGCTAATTTTTGTGTTTTTGGTAGAGATGAGGTCTCATCAAGTTGCCCAGGCTGGTCTCGAACTCCTAGGTTCAAGCAATCCTCCCACCTCAGCCTCCCAAAGTGCTTGGATTACAGGTGTGAGCTACCAGGCCTGGCCACATTTTGCTTATTCATTCATCTATTGATGGACACTTGGATGGCTTCCACCTTTTGGCTATTGTGAATGATGCTGCTGTGAATGTGGGTATACAATTTAATAACATTTATATTGAGATACAATTCACATACTATATAATTCACCTTGTAAGAGGTGGAGGTTGCAGTGTGGTGAGCCGAGATCATGCTCCTGCACTCCAGCCTGGGGGGTACAAAGTGAGACGCCATCTCAAAAAAAAAAAAAATCCACCCTTTAAAAATGTACAATGAAATGTGTTTTTTTTTTTTTTTTTTTGAGACAGAGTCTCACTCTATTGCCCAGGTTGGAGTGCAGTGGCTCAGTCTTGGCTCACTGCTACCTCTGCCGCCCTGGTTCAAGCGACACTCCTGCTCAGACCAGAGTAGCTAGGATTATAGGCTCCTGCCACCGTGCCCGGCTAATTTTTGTATTTTTAGTAGAGATGGGGTTTCACCATCTTGGCCAGGCTGGTCTTGAACTCCTGACCACGTGATCCACCCACCTCGGCCTCCCAAAGTGCTGGGATTACAGGCGTGAGCCGCCGCGCCCGGCAGAAATGGTTTTTAGTATATTCACAGAGTTGTGCAACCATCACCACAATTTTAGAACATTTTCATCACACTCAAAGACGTCCCATGCTCATTAGCAGTCATTTCCGGTTTTACCCCCAATCTCTCCCCTTCCCAGCCTTAAGCAACCACTAATCTACTTTTTGTCTCTATAGATTTGCCTACACTGGACATTTCATATAAACAATCATACAATATGTGGCATTTTATGTCTGGCTTCTTTCACTTAGCATAGTGTTTTCAGTGTTGTAGCATGAATCAGTACTTTCTTTTTATTGTTGAATACTATTTCATTGTATGGATATACCATATTTTATTTATACATTCATCAGTTGATGGACATTTATACTGTTTCCAAATTTTAGCTATTATGAATAATGCTAGTGTGAACATTCATGTATAAGATTTTGTGTGGACATCCATTTTCTCTTTGGTATACACTTAGGAGTGGAATTTCGAGGTCATTAACTTTATGTTCCACTTTTGAGAACTGCTTTCCAATGTTGCTGAGCCATTTGACATTCTCACCAGCAGTGTATGAAGGTTCCAGTTTCTCCAGTCTGTCTTTTTGATTCTAGCCATCTTAGTGGGTATGAAGTGGTATTTCATGGTGGTTTAGATTTGCATTTTCTTGGTGGTTAATGATGTTGAATATCTTTTTTTTTTTTTTTTTGAGATGGAGTCTCGCTCTGTCGCCCAGGCTGGAATGCAGTGGCACGATCTCAGCTCACTGCAACTTCTGCCTCCTGGGTTCAAGCGATTCTCCTGCCTCAGTTTCCTGAGTAGCTGGGACTACAGGTGTGCACCACCACTCCTGGCTATTTTTTTATATTTTTACTAGAGATAGGGTTTCAGCATGTTGGCCAGGCTGGTCTCAAACTCCTGACCTCAAGTGATCCGCCCACCTCGGCCTCCCAAAGTGCTGAGTCACCGCGCCTGGCCTGAACGTCTTCTCATGTGCTTATTGGTCATTTGTATACCTTTGGAGAAATGTTTATTCAGATCCTTTGCGTATTTTTTAATTGAGTTGTCTTTTTATTATTGAGTTGTAAGAGTTTGTTATAAATTCTAAATATAAGTCTCTTAACTGATACATAATTTACAAATATTTTATCCCATTCTATGGGTCTTTTTTACCTATTTCTTTCTTTCTTTCTTTTCTTTTTTTTTTTTTTTTTAATAGCGACAGGGTCTCGCTTTGTTGCCTAGGCTGATCTCGAACTCTTGGGCTCAAGCAATCCTCCTGGCTTGGCCTCCCAAAGTGCTTGGGCTACAGGCATGGGCCACCATGCCCAGCCTATTTTCTTAATGTCCTTTGAAGCACAAAAGTTTTAAATTTTGAAGTCCAATTTATCTATTTTTTTTTCCTGCTTGTGCACTGTGTCATAGCTAAGAAACCACTGCCTAGTCTGTGGTCACAAAGATTTACATCTGTCTTTTCTTCTAAGAATTTAATAGTTTTATCTCTTCCATGTAGGTCTTTGATCTATTTTGAATAAATTTTTGTCTATGGTATGAGGTAAGGGTCCAACTTCATTCTTTTGCATGTGCATATCCAGTGGTCTCAGCATTAGTATGCCTTGTTACGGAGGAATAAATTTTCAGCTTCGTAAGAAAAGGACCATGGGCCTGGCAAGGTTGCTTATGCCTGTAATCCCAGCACTTTGGGAGGCCAAGGTGGGAGCATCACTTGAGCCCTGGAGTTCGAGACCAGCCTGGGCATTAGAGTGAGACCCCGTCTCTACTTAAAAAAGAAAAGGAAAGAAAAGAAAAAGGACTGTGCCCGGTTTTGCTCACCATTATCTTCCCAGGATTCTCTTAGCCCCATGCAAGACACATGCTACATGCTCAATAAATATAGCCTGAGTGAGTGAACATATGAGTGACTGAGACTCAGTGTGGTTAAATAACTTGCATAGGTCAGTCAGTTGGAAGGTGGCCAGATATGGCTCAAACCCAGATCTTCTCATCTAATTCTTTTTTTTTTTTTTTGAGATGGAGTCTTGTCGTCAGGCTGGAGTGCAGTGGCATGATCTCGGCTCACTGCAACCTCCACCTCCCAGGTTGAAGCGATTCTCCTGCCTCAGCCTCCTGAGTAGCTGGGACTACAGGCGCGCACCACCACGCCCAGCTAACTTTTGTGTTTTTAGTAGAGACAGGGTTTCACCATGTTGGCCAGGATGGTCTCGATATCTTGACCTCATGATCCGCCTGCCTCGGCCTCCCAAAGCGTTGGGATTACAGGCATGAGCCACTGCACCTGGCCTTCTCATCTAATTCTAATTAAGAGTTTTTGTATAATACTTCAAAGTTTCTGAAAATTTCCTGAGTTACCAAAAGCTCTTTGTCACAAGAAACCATATTTCTTAGGCTGGGGGTGGTGCTCACGCCTGTAATCCTAACACTTTGGGAGGCTGAGGTGGGTGGAATACCTGAGGTCAGGAGTTCGAGACCAGCCTGGCCACATGGTGAAACCCTGTCTCTACTAAAAGTACAAAAATTAGCCGGGCGTGGTGGCAAGCACCTGTAATCCCAGCTACTGGGGAGGCTGAGGCAGGGAATCGCTTGAACCCGGGGGCAGAGGTTGCAGTGAGCCGAGATCATGCCACTTCACTCCAGCCTGGGCAAAAGAGTGAGACTCCGTCTCAAAAAAATAAAATAAAATAAAATAAAATAAAATAAAAATAAAAATAAAAATAAAAAATAAAAAGAAACGGTATTTCTCCAAAGTTTCATTTGCTGTCTCTGCTGTATGATCCCAATCATTTCATTGTTTGTGAGCAGCAAAACTCAAATCTAGGGAGCCTCATGTCCCTTCTGCTTCTGACTCCTCCCTCACTCGAGCCACAGAGTCAAAGATTCCACTTCCTTCTAGGGTAGTTTTATAGTTGGAAAGTTCTTCTAAATCTCGGACCACAACCTCCTGCTGCAAAATTGTGCCATAAATCCCCATGAGTGTTCAGTGTAACCATTGACTATAGGACCTGGTTTGATGTGGGAGGCATTTGGGGCTTGCGGAAAGCTTTATGTGCTCTGCCCCGTACAAAGGGCAGCCTTGGGGCAGCCGATGCCCTTGCTCTGGCCCTGACATGCTGCTCCCTTTTTGAAGTGTGGTTTCTGATTCTGGGTGCAGCTTGCCATATCAGAGGAGAATGAAGCTAGGTGGCATGAACCCCAGAAAATTTTGGTGAACTCACCTCTTGGAATGAGGACAAAGGAGAGTCTTGAAGCAGAAAAGAGCTGTGCTCCTTGAAGGGGTCCAAAGTTAAAGCTCACACTGGGGTGGATTGGGTAGACTTACCTGTCCCCTCTTTGACAGTGATGCATTTGAGCTTCTCCTATTGGGTCCTTTGGAAAAGAATTCTTTGAACTACTAGAAAATTAGGACAGGGTGGGGGCAAAAGAAAACGTATATTGAGAGCTTGCTCCATGTATTTGTTAGGCATTTAATCTAGGTATCTAATTTTATCTTCAAAGTAATCCTGTGGGTTGGTTTTATCAATCCTATTTTGCAGAGTTGGATGCTGAAACTTGCAGTCACACAAGGACTTGAACCTAGAGCTTTTCTAAAGCCCGTACTCTTTCCAGTACCCTGAGCCAGGGGAGCCAGCGGGCAGAAATGACGTGTGAGGTACCCTCTCTCTCTTCACTTCCATGTGATCTGTTACTCATTTTGTCAAGACATCCTGGGTCCCAGGTAAGCTCCAGTGATTCCCCTGAACCAGTGGTGTGCTGGAGCCAGCTCAGACCTGCTAGTGAGAGTGTTAAATATTCAGGAAATTTGCAAGCTGGTTGTTAAACTGTCAGTGGTTGGAAATTGGTCATGGGAGGAAGTATCTACACCACGGAATAACTACACACGGATAACTGCTACAAATCAGGGATCCCCATCTCCCCCACAAGCTGGTTTGCTAACACATCACTGTCTTTCTTTTTTTTTTTTTTTTTTTTGAGACAGAGTCTCACTCTGTCGCTCAGGCTGGAATGCTGTGGCGTGATCTTGGCTCAGTGCAGCCTCTGCCTCCCAGGTTTAAGCAATTCTCCTGCCCAAGTAGCTGGGATTACAGGCACGTGCCACCATGCCTGGCAATTTTCGTATTTTTAGTAGAGACAGGGTTTCGCAATGTTGGCCAGGCTAGTCTTGAACTCCTGGCCTCAAGTGATCCACCAGACTCGGCCTCCCAAAGTGCTGGGATTACAGGTGTGAGTCACCGCGCCCGGCCCAGAGCACTAACCTTGGGGTCCAGAGTGAGAGCTGAAGAGAACAGGGCCTGCCCCCAGCAGTCACAGAGTTTCAGCTGCAGACTGAGGGAAGACCGATAGTATCTATGGGAAAGTGTGTGCACAAAAGAGACAGAAAAGAGGCTGGAGAATATTGATTATTCACACATGAACAAAGTAAGTACCAATGTTATTAATCCCAGGGATTTTGCTGGGAGGAGTTCTGGCTTGTTATTAGGGTCCTTTTCTTTCAGATCAAGAAAAGGGAGATCTAATTCATGAAGAAACTAGAAAAGTGCCCTGGATTGGTGGGAGTGTGGTGGGGGTGGTGCTGCACAACACAGAAGAGGGGAACTTTGACTTTGAGCCTGAGGTCTTGGGATGAAAAGCAGTTTGTGGACCGGATTCCTGACCCTGGGGTTACAGTAGGAATCCCTTTGCCTGACAGGTGGTGACCTTCCTCTGGCAAGGTCCCCAGACTCCTAAGGCAGAAGCAATCCTCCCATCTCAGTCTGCCAAGTAGCTGGGACTACAGGTGCTCACCAACACACCTGGCTAATTTTTGTGTTTTTTTGGTAGAGATGGGGTTATTCCAGGCTGGGATCTGTGAAGAGCAGAACAACTCTAAGCCCCAGGGCAAAAATCTGCAGAGCTGAGTCTCATGCCACTTTGGGGCACTCCATCTGAGGCCTGGAATCAGAGGCCTTCCGCAGCTTGTGTAGATGCTGCCAAAAGGCTGAGCTCGGTGGCCCATGCCTGTAATCCCAGCACTGTGGGAGGCTGAGGCAGGCAGATTACTTGAACCTAGGAGTTTGAGACCAGCCTGGGCCACATGGTGTACCCCCATCTCTACAAAAAATATAAAAATTAGCCAGGTGTGTTGGTGAGCACCTGTAGTACCAACTACTTGGGAGGCTGAGGTGGGAGGATTGCCCCAGGGGTTTGAGGCTGCAGTGAGCCATGATCATGCCACTGTACTCCAGCTTGGGCAACAGAATGAGACCCCATCTCAAAAACAACCAAAAAGATGCTGCAAAGAAACAGCAGCCTCCTGTAACAAAATAAGTGGTACATCTTTTGTGATGGGAGCATCTCCCTGGGGAGCGAAGCTGGACGTTGCAGCCCTACCCTGTCCCCAGAGGTTTTTCTGTCCCTTTATGTCTATGAACAAGTACAGCTGAGGCCATCAGCACTGCACACACCTGGAACAGTCTTGTTAAAACAGGACCTCCCTAAAGGCCAAGAGCTAAGGAAAGAGAAAGTGAAGGACTGAGCAGCAGGTAACCAGAATCAGAGTCATTGAAGGCAACTGCAGGAGTTGCCCCTTCCTGGCTCCCTCCCATGGCAACTCCCTGAGTCTGAGTAGAGAAGGTTAGAGACGCATGGAGGTTCCCACCCCTCCTGTGAAAGGCTCCCTTCTGAGTTCCAGGTCCCTATCTGATGACCCACCTCACCTATGCCTGCCTAATACCTGAATGGCCATCTCTTTCAGAGACCACTCTTATTCCCAGGTGTGTGACCTCCTCCTACAGACTACAGTGGGAAAGACACCATCTCCAGGTAACCCCAACACAGTGAGGGGTGGAGCGGGGATGTGGTCATTCGTTCCAGGTATTGTTGATTCTCTTGAGGTTCAATCCAGGGCTAGAGATTGTGATTAAAGAGATACCCAGATTGGGTATGTGTGTAAAGGGCAAGAGCTATGAGACCAATGTGACATTTAGGATTAATTAGTCCCTTCCACAGGGCAGGCTGCCACTCACTGGTACAGCTCCTGGGCTGAGCCTGGCAGAGCTCATTAGCAAGGCAGACACTGGAATGTGTGTGCAATGGAGGGAGGCTTAAACTCAGAGGCTGCTGGTTCCTATTAAGCAGAGAGAGGTTAGAACTTAGTGGCACAGAAACTGATATCAGCTAAATATGGGTTAGTCACCAACCCTGCACCATCTTCCCTAACCTTTGAGAAAGTCTTTTCCTACTGCTTGTTCACATCCATTCATTCAACAAACAATTATGAATTTTCTCTTAGGTGCCAGGTGCTACACAAGATACTGGCTATAGCAGCGAACAGGACAGCCCGTCTCATCCTCATGGAGGTCACAGGACAATAAGAAGAAAGACTTTTTTATTTTTATTTTTTTGAGACGGAGTTTTGCTCTTGTTGCCGAGGCTGGAGTGCAGTGGTGTGATCTCGACTCACTGCAACCTCCGCCTCCCAAGTTCAAGCAATTATCCTGCCTCAGGCCTCTTGAGTAGCTGGGATTACAGGCACCTGCCACCACTCCTGGCTAATTTTTTGTATTTTTAGTAGAGACAGGGGTTTCATCATGTTGGCCAGGCTGGTCTCGAACTCCTGACCTCAGGTGATCCACCCACCTCGGCCTCCCAAAGTGCAGGGATTACAGGCATGAGCCATCGAACCCGGCCCAAGAAGAAAGACATTGAACAAGTAATTACAGGGTATTGGGTGTTATGAAAGAAAAGCATGGTACTGTATAATGAGGTCATCTAATTTAGTCTGGGGTGACAAGGAATGCCTACTAAAGAAGGTATCGTTTAAGACATACCTGGGGAATAGCGGTAGTGAAAATAGAAGCTCCAGAAATGCAGGGACCATGGCTGACATGTTTACCATGCCAGTGTCTGGCATGGAAGAGGCCCAATTCCTTTGGTTGAAAGGATGAAGTAATCTAGCTGAATAAAGGGTGTGTGCGTGCACGCAGGTGTGTTTGTAGTTAACCTTCCTTTAGCTCAGCTTAGGAAACAGCTTTTGTAAAACTGCGTAACTAGTAGTAGGTGAGAGAGGAATACGAATGATATACACACCATTAAAGACAACTTACTAACAGCATGAGTCCGACATAGATTCCTTCCTACTTGGGTTTGAACCCTGAGCCCACCACTTACTAGCTGTGAGAAAGTGAATGAGTTGCCTCCCTTTCCTGTGCCTCTGTTTCTTGTAAATTCTATTTCCAAGCATCATGAGGATAAAAGACAATGTATATACGTTGTTTGGCATATTACAGTCAATGCTTGGTAACTACTATTGTTATTTTTTAAAAAATTATTATTATTATTTTTTGAGACGGACTCTCGCTCTGTCGCCCAGGCTGGAGTGCAGTGGCGCTATCTTGGCTCACTGCAAGCTCTGCCTCTTGGGTTCACACCATTCTCCTGCCTCGGCCTCCTGAGCAGCTGGGACTACAGGCGCCCGCAACCACGCCCGGCTAATTTTTTGTATTTTTAGTAGAGACGGGGTTTCACTGTGTTAGCCAGGATGGTCTCGATCTCCTAACCTCGTGATCCGCCTGCCTCGGCCTCCCAAAGTGCTGGGATTACAGGCGCGAGCCACCGTGCCCGGCCCCACTATTGTTATTTATGTACACCAAATTTATATCCAAAGGGACTTTGATAGTTACAAGAAAAGACATATAAGTCCAGATATCATTGAACAAGAGTAAAATAATAAATCAAGTAGGAATGGAGGGGAGGATATGCATGCAGCACTAGATAATATCTATATAGAGAGAGGATGAGGTCTTGGAAGATGAGTCTGAAGACTTTCCTGTTGGAGAGGGGCTCTATGCTCGGCATGCTGACTGCTTTTACAACCCCACCCCCACATCTCATCTTAACCACAAGACAGTCTTGTTCTGGGGAGTTCAGAGCCTTTATTTTTTATTTATTTATTTATTTTTTGAGATGGAGTCTCACTCTGTCACCCTGGCTGAAGTGCAATGGCATGATCTCAGCTCACTACAACCTTTGCCTCCCAGGTTCAAGCGATTCTCCTGCCTCAGCCTCCTGAGTAACTGGGATTACAGGCACGTGCCACCAAGCCCAGCTAATTTTTGTATTTTTAGTAGAGATGGGGTTTCACCATGTTGGCCAGGCTGGTCTCGAACTCCTGACCTCGTGAGCTGTCCACCTCGGCCTCCCAAAGTGCTGGGATTACAGGCGTGAGCCACTGCGCCCGGCCCCAGAGTCTTTATTTATTATTTAGAGAGGGTCTCACTCTGTCACCCAGGCTGTAGTGTAGTGGTGCGATCTTGGCTCACTGCAGCCTTAACCTCCCAGGCTCAAGCAATCCTCTCACTTCAGCCTCCTGAGTAATTGGGGCCACAGGCTCACACCACCATGCCTGGCTAATTTTTTAAAAAAATTTTTATGGAGACAAGGTCTTGCCATGTTGCCCAGGCTGGTCTTGAACTCTTGGGCTCAAGTGATCCTCCTGCCTCAGCCTCCCAAAGTGCTGGGATTACAGACATCAGCCACCGTGCCCAGCCCAGAATCTTTCAACCCCCAAAATCCATTGGTGTGGGGTTAGATGAGGGATCCTAAAAGGAGAGGGAGGCTGCTGTGCAGTGATCCCACCGGCCTGCTTGCAGGAAGGAGAGCCGACCCTTTCTTGACCTCTACCAAAGACACTAGAGAGCTTTGTAAATCTTCCAATTAGATGATACATAAATACTTCCCCAGGTCTTCTAGGCCTGATTCAATAATATTTACTTCGAGAGGCTGCTGCTTCCTGTTTGTATTCTCTTACCACAAGTTATCTGCTGTTCCTACTTTCACTTAAGCTTTGTATCGTACTCTGTGAGAAATGTTTGAGCTGGCTGGACACATTTCCTGAAATCATTTCTCTAGTCTTTTACGAAATGTCTGCATTTATGCTGGAATCATAGAGCTGAACTATCATTGAGATAAAAATTCCAGTCTTTACCCCAATTTACAATTCCTAAAAACTGTCACTTTCTTAGATCTCTTCACATTTTCATTACTTCTTTTTTTTTTTGTTTTTTGTTTTTTGTTTTTTGAGACTGAGTTTTGCTCTTGTTGCCCAGGCTGGAGTGTAATGGTGCGATCTCGGCTCACTGCAACCTCCGCCTCCCAGATTCAAGTGATTCTTCCTGCCTCAGTCTCCTGAGTAGCTGGGATTACAGGCGCCCGCCACCATGCCCGGCTAATTTTTGTATTTTTAGTAGAGACAGGGTTTCACCATATTTGGCAGGCTGGTCTCAAACTCCTGACCTTGGCCTCCCAAAGTACTGGGATTACAGGCGTAAGCCACCACACCTGGCCAGACATTTTCATTGCTTCTATTACCTGTGTAAGCAAGTGGCTTTATTGGGAGGCGATTTTCACAAAGAAACAAGGTTTTTTAAAAAAGGTGTTTCCCGTAGGTTTCTGCCTGTGAGACCACCTGCTGAGAAATGCAGAGCCGCTTTGGGAAGCTGGGTAGTCAGCTCTCATCCATACTCACTCAACCATGCCCAGCTGGGCAGTGCCACTTGTGTCTGAGCCTCAGCAAAACTGCATGTCCCTAAATGTCAGGGGTCTTCACAGACAAGTGAAGCAACCAGAAATACTGAATTTTCAGATGGACATGTTTATCGTACTGAATCTCCATAGCCAGGAGGCACAGACAACTAATAAAGCCCTGTGCCCCATTATTGCTTCATTGATTCACTGAAATAATGCTGGGTATGATTGTGGCTACAGAGTTAAGCCCCATTGTTAATTATATGGTTTGGTGAGGGAAAGAGTTTTTTTTGTTTTTGTTTTGGCTAGACTAATGTAAACACAGTTCAAATGTTGCTCCTTCACTGGGGACAGAAAAATCCATATGTGGCTCACGCCTGTAATCCTAGCACTTTGGAAGGCCAAGGCAGGCAGATTGCTTGAGTCCAGGAGTTTGAGACTGGCCTGGGCAAGATGACAAAACCCTGTCTCTACTAAAAATAAAAAACAAAAAATTAATTTAATTTAAAAAACTGAGGTGAGAGGATCACCTGAGCTTGGGGATGTCAAGGCTGCCATGAGCCATGTTTGTGCCACTGCACTCCACCATGGATGACAGAGTAAGACCCCATCTTAAAAAAAAAATCCACGTAATATAGTTCACATCTTTGCTTCCCATGTAAATTCCTCTTTTTTGTGTGTCACTATCAGTATGTAATTATTGAAACTTCAAGGTATGACTCTTGTTAGGAAATGATAGAGAAAAAACAATTGCTCTATAATCACCCCTTACATTGTGACTTCTTGCAAATAAATACACCCCACTTTCAGCCTCACTCATTTATTATAAAATTGTAAGAGGTGGAACAAGCCTTTGTTTAGAGATGTGATTCATGTGTTGCTTGCTGGAGTTTCTGAAAACAAACAAACAAACAAAAAAACCCAAGATAGCAGATGGCCAGATGAGCCACTGGGAATGGAGCAATGGCTGGTCATGGCTTCTGTCAAACACAAAGCTCTGACTGGAGAAGCTTGGAATCTTCTGGATGTCTTTTGCAAAGATGACAAATTCTTTTAGATAGGCTGCTGCTTGAAGGTAAGATGGAAGAAGCTTTGTTCATTGTATTATGGAGGTCTTTGACCCCCACCTCCTCCCACCCCATGAACTCAGACCTTCCACATTAGACCTGGGCTGTCCCTCAGCATCTTTGCTGCACGTTGCATGAAACTTTTCAGTTATTACATATAACTTCCAGGTGTTTGAAATACGAAATGCGTAAGAGACATGTTCCTGAGATGTCGGAGTGAGGTTTCCTTTGAGAGAAGGAAGTGAGGGTTGTTGCCTACAGATTGTTGAGGGTAATAATGGGATGAGGCATAAAAAGGACCTAGCCTAGCAGCAGGCATGTAGTAAGAGCTCAGTAAGTATTACATTTGTTTAATTAGTGTCTGCCTACCAGGTTCAACCCTTGGCTTCACATGTCCAGCAACACTTCCTAACTTGCCCATTCTTGCCCTTCCTTGGGTCCTGCTGTTTATTCTGTTCTCTGAAATAAGGAGTTCCTCCCAGTATTGTAGCTGATAAGGTTAGAGCTCAAAGCAGTTAGGGACCTCAAGAGGTATCCTAGTCTGGTTCCTGGTCTAGATAAAATATTATCCCTTATTGCAGAAGTAGCAACTGAATCTAGGAAAGGTTGAGTGATTTGAGAGACTATAGTAGGCATAGGTGGGGATATTGGCTAATTCTTAGTTCTTCTGACTTAGGAGCATCTAGGTCGTGGACACAGAGTGTCCCTTTTTTCAAAGTGGAGTCCCACAGTGCATCATTTACAGTTATTCTAGCTGCTGGTGGTATTTGGAGGAGTATCCTAAACACTTCTCTTTCCAAATCACAGGCCCAGTTGGGATCAGGAACATCAACTCATATCACATGAGCAGAACTTGTTCATTTGGGGACATCCCCAATAATGCCAAAATCTATGCTCCAGATGAGTAAGAGTATGAATTGGAACCACTTTCAGGGAACCTCTTGTCTGCACCTCATTCTGTTTTTATTTATTTATTTATTTATTTATTTATTTATTATTTTTGAGATAGAGTCTCACTCTGTTGCCCAGGCTGGAGTGCAATGGTGCTATCTCAGCTCACTGCAACTTCTGCCTTCCTGGTTCTAGTGATTTTCCTGCCTCAGCCTCCCAAGTAGCTGGGACTACAGGCACGTGCCACCACGCCTGGCTAGTTTTTGTATTTTTAGTAGAGACGGAGTTTTACCATGTTGACCAGGCTGGTCTTGAACTCCTGACCTCAAGTGATCTACCCACCTTGGCCTCCCAAAGTGCTGGGATTATAGGCGTGAAATACCACGCCCCGCCTGCACATCATTCTGGGTGGCTGAATCCTCCACTCTCCTGGTTCTCTCCTCTGTGCTGGTAGGAGGGGAGGCTGGGAGAGAATGGGAGAGGTGGTCATGATCAGTAAAGAGACAATTGGAGGGAGATGGTCCAACCCTGTGGTTCTGGACTCTGAAGTGGTCTTTACTGAAAACAGCAGATTCCTAGGCTCAGAACAGTGGCAAAATAGCTTGGAATTTAGGGGTCTCTGATTTTTTTCAGATTCTCCCAAGCTGGAGTGCAGTGGTGTGATCTCAGCTCACTGCAACCTCTGCCTCCCGGGCTCAAGTGATCCTCCCACCTCAGCCTCCTGAGTAGCTGGGACTACAGGTGCATGCCACCACACCTAGCTAATTTTTGTAGTTTTGGTAGAGATCTTCCTGTCTTGCCCAAGCTGGTCTTGACCTCCTGGGATCAAGCAATCTGCCTGCCTCAGCCTCCCAAAATGCTGGGATTGCAGGTGTGAGCCACCGTACCCTGCCTCATATATTTTGTTTCGTAATAAGTTTACTTTAAATCAAGATCGAAGGCCAGGCACGGTGGCTCACACCTATAATCCCAAAAGTGTGATTTCAGAATACAAAATTTGGGATTATAATTTGTAATCCCAAAAGTGGGATTTGGGCATGGGCCACCACACCCGGCTGATTTTTTTTTTTTTTTTTTTTTTTTGATAGAGACAGGTTTTATACCACATTGCCCAGGCTGGTTTCGAACTCCTTGATTGAAGCGATCTACCTGCCTTGGTCTGACAAAGTGCTGAGATTACAGATGTGCCTTGCCTGACCTGATTATTGTTTTTTATATCTCCTTTAATGTACAGGTTAGCTCTCTCATTTTTTCCCCCTCTTGAAATAGGTTTGTTGGAGAAAATGGATTTTTTTTGTACTGTACAGCTTTCCAGTCTGGGTTTTGCTGATTCTACCCTGGAGGTGCTATGTAAGACACTCCTCTGATCGCTGACTTCTTGTGAATTGCTAATTTCATCTAGAGGTCTGATCAGATTGAAGTTCAGTGTTTGTTTTTGCAGGGCCCCTTCTCAGGGAATGTTGTGAACATTCACCCAGAGGTACATGCTGTCTGCTTGTGTCCGTCTCTTTTGGTGATGTTCTAAGTCATTCGTGATCATCGACTAATCCATTATTTCATTAGGAGTTGCAAAATAGTAATATTGGAATTCTATTATTTCTTTCTTCATTTATGTATTTATTCTTTTTTCTCCCCCACACCCACTCTCCTGCCCTGCTCGCTCCTTTCTTCAGTTATTAGGTAGACTGCTTGTGTAAGAGAAATTGCTTCATCAACCATGGGGTTCAGTTATGGTTTCTATAGGAAAGGCAGAATAAAGGATTTCTCTTTATTACCAGTTTTCAAGTTGTTGAGTTGGTTACGTAGAGTCCTCCACAAGTGACCAATTATTTAAGATACCATTATGAAATCATGGATTGAAACATATTTGATGTACTTCAGTTCACTATAGTCCATTATAGTGATTAGTCTTATGAATGCTCAAATTGTCCCGTCTTTGGCAAGTGGGAGTCTTTTCACCTCTTTCTGACACAGTCCAAAGAGACTTTGATAGCTTTTTGAGTTTCTGATTTGACCAGATATCGAAGCACATCTTGTACATTTCCGTTCCCAGTCTGAGAGCCAAGCATTTCTTTAAGAAGATCTGATTTCAGTTGAAGGGAAATGATAGACTGCCAGAGATGCTTGTTGCTGCTGGATTGGTTCTTGTTTCTAGGGCCTTTTAGTGGGAAGAAAATATAAACATATTTTAAAAATAAACTCATTGTCTGTTTATACTAATACTTTCTTTATTTTTTTAAAATTTTTTTTACCAGCTCTAGGATCAAGGAAAAAGATACTTTCCATTCAAATAGAGGCTCTCAGTGTTTTTATATAACTTCACATACTTGCATCTGTTTTTTTCTCCCAACCAAATATTCTAGTTTCCAAATCCACCAACGTTTGCTTTATCCCTCAATACTTATACACAGTCTTAAAATAACAACATCAATATTATCGCCATTAATATGATAATGCTTTTCCATGAAAGGGCCATACATGCAAAGTGGCCCCCAAAGGTCAAAGGAGCTGAGAAACCAAAGAACAAGGTAGGCAAGTCCAGTTTGTTGCTAAAGCGTGTTTCACTGGGGAACTTACAGACGGAAGCCTGCTCTTGGGCAGCTGCAAGACAGGTGGATCTCACACTGTTATCTCAGACCCAAGGCTTATTTATATACCATAGGGAAAGAGTATATGTGCTTAGTGCAAGACAAAGGCAACTGTCCAGAACAGGCTAGAATGCTATGTGCGTCACAGCCTATAATTTGTGTGATAACATCAAAGTTGATATATTCTTACACTAGGGACAGTAAATAAAGTAGGAATCAGGAGGCGTTCCTGGGACTGGGGCTAATCAGATGACGACATGGTGGATTAGCATCCAAGATGGGGCCACTTTTGTCTCCACAATAAAACTATTCTTTCAGTTCCTTTTTTTTTGTCCTTAGGGTATATCTCACTAGGAATATACAATCAAATTGCAGTGGTCTAAAGTTGTTTGAGACAGTTTTTCTCTCTGTAATTGTATCACTAACTCACTGTGCGGATAGTCTTTTATTTTTGCTTTTGATTTTTAGAAATTTAAATATATACATGTATATATTCTTAGATATAGAGTAGCATCCAGATTTCCCCACTTCTCTTTTTTTTAAATGAACATTGGGATAAAATTGACATACAGTTTGACCTTTCTTTACTTAACAATAGGTGCTGTCAATCAGCCCATGGCAGTATGTAGAGATATTTATTCTTTTTTTAATGCTCCATAGTACTTCATATTTAATTTAGTCAGTCCCTTGTTGTTAGACATTTGGGTTATTTCCAGTATTTATTTATTTATTTATTTTTAAAATTTGAAATAGAGATGGAGTTTCACCATGTTGCTCAGGCTGGCCTTGAACTCCTGGGCTTAAGCAAACAGCCCGCCTTGGCCTCTCAAAAAGTGCTAGGATTACAGCCACCATGCTCGGCCTATTTCTAGTCTTTTGTTATGACAAACAGAGCTGCAATAAATAGCCTACACAAATACTTTTTCATATTTTTGCCAGTGATGTTTTGGAATAGTTTCCTAGAAACTGTATTGCTGGAAATGCATATGTAATTTTGCTAGATACAGCCAGTCAAATTCCCTTCCATAGAGATTGCCTCATTTTGCATTCCTAGTCACAATGTACTAGAATGCCTATTTCCCTATAGCTTTGCCAACTACATGTATTGACAAATTTTTGGATTTTTTGCCGATCTGATAGGTATAATATGCTACCTTAGGATAGTTGTTTTGTTTCGTTTGTTTTGTTTTTTGTTTTTGTTTTTGTTTTGTTTTTTGTTTTTTTGCGATTCTCCTGCCTCAGCCTCCTGAGTAGCTGGGACTACAAGTGAGCGCCACCATGCTTGACTAATTTTTGCATTTTTAGTAGAGACGGGGTTTCACCATATTGGCCAGGCTGGTCTTGAACTCCCGACCTCATGATCCACCTCCCTTGGCCTCCCAAAGTGCTGGGATTACAGGCATGAGCCACCATGCCCAGCCAAAATTTATCACTCTTTCTCTTCAATTGCAGCTGAAGATTTAGCCATAGTTATGCAAGTCTTTTCCACTCCCAAGCTGTAGAAGAATTTATTTCCCTTTAATATTGTGTGGTTTTTGTTTTTTAAAGTCTCATATGGAATTTATCTTTTTGTATGTATGCTATGATAAGTGGACCAACTTTTATCTTTTTTCATATAGAGTCTCAAATTTGATATTACTAGCTCCTCTCTCCCACTCCCTCCCTTCAGCTTGATTTTTCCTGGACATTTTATTATTTTCTTGGCCAAAGCTGGACATGGATCAAAATAAACGTCTGTTCAACTCCCTGTGTTTGGTTCCATTTTGCTGCCTGTTTTTCTTTCCTGGATTCTTTGTGATTTCAGCACAGTGTTTTTCCAGCCATTCAAGGAGTTATGACCTTTAGGGCTTGAGGAAGAGTGCATTAAAGGCCTGTCCAGAGAATGATTCAAGCTGGAGTGGATCCTGTAGACGTCCAGGAGGGCCCAGCTCTACTTGGGCCAGGGGGTTGGAGAGCTGCTTCTCAGGAGCAGGATAGCCACTCACGCGTGTGAAGCACTCAGGAGCCCAGTTTTTTGTGTTTTTGTTTTTTCCTTGAGACGGAGTCTTACTGTGTCGCCTGGGCTGGAGTGCAGTGGTGTGATCTCGGCTCACTGCAACCTCTGTCTCTTGGGTTCAAGTGATTCTCCTGCCTCAGCCTCCTGAGTAGCTGGGATTACAGGCGCCCGCCACCACACCCAGCTAATTTTTATTTTTAGTAGAGACGGGGTTTCACCATGTTGGCCAGGCTGGTCTCGAACTCTTGACCTCAGGTGATCTGTCCAGCAGCCTCCCAACGTGTTGGGATTACAGGCGTGAACCACGGCGCCTGTCCTGGAGCCCAGTTTTTGTTGATAACCCATGTTTCCTGTTTCCACCCCTCCCCTGCTCTTGATTTCCATTAGGAATTTCTACCTTTCTAACTGGAAAAGACTGGGGTCAGGGGGTGGAGAAGTGGGCAGAGGAAGGGAGGAGTGGAATACAGAAATTGAAACCTGTCTTACTCTGCTCATGTAACTCCTAGCGCAGATCCATATCATTAATGCCAACTACCATTTAGTGGTTATTTCCTACCACCACGCATCAGATACTGCGCTAAGTACTTTATACAGAATAAATCATTTCATCTTGACCTGTTAGTTGGCTAGGGTGGTTACTTCCAGAAGGAAAAAGAGGCCCAGAGATAAGTTCACACAATTGGTAAGTAGTGGGATTTGGGTCTGTGTGACATCAGATTCCAGGCTCAAAACGTCTAAGTTTGTGGCCTCCGCAAAAAAGGCTCATAACAGTCTGTATTTCTGTTTGCTTTTCCATCTAAAGACTAACTTTACTCCACTTCACTGCCCAGATCTGCTGAGCTCAGATGTGAGCAGTGTGCTTGGCTGTGACTGCAGGCATCATGCTAGGCTGTAGGGACCCGTGGCTGGAGAGGGGCTCCGTCTTGCCCTCCGTCTGTTCTGTTGCCAGCACAGTGCTTGGCACACGTGGGCTCTCATCACGTATCTGTTGGATAATTAGATGAAAAAGGAGGAGGAAGAGGAACGTGTGCTGGAGATAAAGCGGCAGGAGTGGAGGAGGCGCAGGGGAAGAGAACAGATTTGGGAAAAACCAGTGGGACATGAGGATGCTGGGCAGGTGGGTAGAAGGTTGCCATGTGTTCAGAAGCACAGAAAAAGGGTGACTTCCAGGTCAAAAGTGATTTCAGGATGGGTGTGATGGCTCATGCCTGTAATCCCAGCACTTTGGGAAGCTGCCGGACGGATCACCTGAGGCCAGGAGTTACAGACTTGCCTGGCCAATATGGTAAAACCCTGTCTCTACTGAAAATACAAAAATTAGCAGGTGTGGTGGCAGGCACCTGTAATCCCAGCTACTCGGGAGGGCTGAGGCAGAAGAATCGCTTGAACCCAGCAGGTGAAGGTTGCAGTGAGCCAAGATTGCGCCACTGCACTCCAGCCTAGGCGGCAGAGTAAGACTGTCTCAAAAAAAAAAAAAAAAAAAAAAAAAAAAAAAAAAATATATATATATATATATAAACACACACACACATATATATACACACACATATATATACACATGTATACACACACATATATATATACACACACACATATATAAAGTGATTTCAGTTTTTTCACAACTTGATCACTGAGCAAGTGACTTAGACTGTGGTCATTTTCTGTTAACTCTTATCTGATCCAACTAGAAAGCAAAGCAAAACAAAAACCTGACTGCCTTCTACAGACAAGCCAATGTGAAGGTATTCAGCTCACACAGGTTGCAAAAGACAGAGAAACACCCAAGTTACCTCAGGGGATGGACATTCCCTAAGGATACACAGGTGAGTAAGGAAAATAGGAAATGGCTTCTGTAGGTCTCAAGAACTAGAGCACCATTCAGGATGCGATGGCCACACACAGTGTGGCCTGGCAGAGAGGAGGAAACTGCTCTCCATCATCAAGAATACAGCTCTAGGCCGGGTGTGGTTGCTCACGCCTGTAATTCCAGTACTTTGGGAGGCTGAGGAGGGTGGATCACCTGAGGTCAGGAGTTCGGGACTAGCCTGGTCAAAATGGTGAAACCTCGTCTCTACTAAAAATAAAAATAAAAAATTATCCGGGCGTAGTGGCGCATGCCTATAGACCCAGCTACTGAGGAGGCTGAGGCAGGAGAATTGCTTGAACCCAGGAGGCGGAGGTTGCAGTGAGCTGAGGTTGTGCCATTGCACTTCAGCCTGGGTGACAAGAGCAAAACTCTGCCTCAAAAATAAAGATAAAAATAAAAGCCGGGCGCTGTGGCTAACACCTGTAATCCTAGCACTTTGGGAGGCCGGGGTGGACAGATCACGAGGTCAAGAGATCGAGACTATCCTGGCCAACATGGTGAAACCCTGTCTCTACTAAAAATACAAAAATTAGCTGGGCATGGCAGCGCGTGCCTGTAGTCCCAGCTACTCAGGAGGCTGATGCAGGAGAATCGCTTGAACCCGGGAGGCGGAGGTTGCAGTAAGCCGAGATCATGCCACTGCACTCTAGCCTGGCAACAGAGCAAGACTCCATCTCAAAACAAAATAATAATAATAATAAATTAAAAAAGAAAATACAGAAATTTGGCTGGGTGCAGTGGCTCATGCCTGTAATCCCTGCACTTTGGGAGGCCGAGGTGGGCGGATCACTTGAGGTCAGGAGTTCGAGACCAGCCTGGTCAACATGGTGAAACCCTGTCTGTATTAAAAATATAAAAAAAATTAGCCAGGCCTGGTGGCAGGTGCCTGTAATCCCAGCTACTCAGGAGGCTGAGGCAGGAGAATTGCTTGAACCTGGAAGGTGGAGGTTGCAGTGAGCTGAGATCACGCCACTGCACTCCAGCCTGGGCAACAGAGCAAGATTCTATCTCAAAATAAATAAATAAATAAATAAATAAATAAATAAAAGAATACAGCTCTTCTAGTTCCCAGCCCCTCTGGGGTTCTTGTGTGAAAGAAAACATTTTAATGTGTCCTTTGATTACATGAAATTCAGGCAGAGTCTGATCAAAGAGATGCCCCATTGCTGAGCACAGTGAAGAGAAAGGATGTCTTCCTTGAGCAGAGAGGTGGTGAGAAATTTCCAGAATAGGGCACCTTGCATGGAGATTATTTTAGGAATGTCATCTCTGGTATGGAATTCTACTTGTCCCCTGTAGAATTCTGGGCTGGCCTACCCATGGTTCAAGCTTCCACTGAAGCTGTGTTGACCCCTAGTCCAGTGTCAGCTGGTAAAGGAAGGGAAGGGCTGAAGGAGCTGGACCCCCACAGGGAGGTGTTGAAAGAAAGGAGAAGCAAGAGGTGATATTGACCAGGGAAATGGCGCCACTTCCTGAGCCAGGGCCCTGGACTTCCTGTAGTTGTAGAAAAGTGCAGGCCTGAGTTATTTAACTATCAAAGAAAAAGTGGTGCTCTGTGTGTGGGAAAAACAACACTCAATGTGCTTTTTCCTACTCTCTCACTCACAACAATCATTAACACAGAAGGCTTCTGTGACCAAATGTGAGGAGTTTTGTCTCTACACATCAAGCAAGCAATTAAATCTGCAGCAGACACCAGTTGGGTGTCTTCTAATCCAATTCTGACACTGTCTACCTAGAGGTAGCATCAGATCCCACAGGTTGAGGGCTCAGTCCCCAAGACTGCCCCCCGACCCACATTGGTCACAGGTTTGGCCTTGGGAACTTCTGACCCACCAGCTTCAAGTTGGGATTCCCACAACCCCCTCTTTGGGTTCAGTTAAATGAACACTTGCATTTACTGGTTTATTACAAAGGCTAGAGATGAAGAGATGCACAGGGAGAAGGGGCACAGAGCTTCCGAGTCCTCCCTGTGTGCAACACCTTCCAGGAACCTCCATGTGTTCAGCTCTCCAGAAGCTCTCTGAACCCCGTCCTCTTGGGCATTTATGGAGACTTCACTGGACAGGCATGACTGAAGCATGGACAACCATGTCAAAATGTGATTGAACAAAAAGGATATGATCTAATACTAACAGACAGACTGGGGAAACCCAGTGAGTCCTGTCCAGATTCTTCTTGGCCTCTCTGTGCAGCCTTTCTTCCTCCAGGATATGGGGCATCCTTTCTGAAATGGGAGTCTTATGACCTATAGTCAGACAAGGTAGGTCAAAGACAGAAAGATGGGCAAAGATTCCTGCCTTGGAGAGATAAAGGAGCAGATGAAATGAGGGCAGGAGAAGGTCAGAGAGATTCCGTTTATTGAGACCTGCTTCTGAGGCTTAAAGCACCCAACATTACAACAACAGATGGTAACAAGGGCAATGGGAATTATAAGCCAGGAACCATGGACTAAAACCTATATATAAATTATAATAGCACAGAATCCCAAAGGCTGGAAAACTTGTGGGCTTCCCTTTCACCATATAGAGCCACTGTTCTCTCCACAGTGCCTGCATATTCCTGTCTCTTTCTGTTGAATGACTTTTTTTTTGACACAGTCTCACTCTGTTGCCCAGGCTGGAGTGCAGTGGTGTGATCTTGGTTCACTGCAACCTCCACCTCTTGGGTTCAAGAGATTCTCCTGCCTCAACCTCCCAAGTAGCTGGGATTATAAGCTCCTGCCACCACGCCCGTCTAATTTTTTGTATTTTTGTAGAGACAGGGTTTCACCATGTTGGCCAGCCTGGTTTTGAACTCCTGACCTCAAGCGATTCACTCACCTTGGCCTCCCAAAGTGTTGGGATTACAGGCGTGAGCCACTGTGCCGAGCCTGTAGAATGACTTTAAATCTCCACCCTCTACCTATAGCAGCCCACTTCCTCCTCTCTCTTCAAATCTCCTTTTTCTCACTTTCTTCTCCATCTTCCTTGCCCTTTTAGAAGCAGAAAAGGGCATACCTTTTCTGTGATACCTTTTCTCTCCATCATGAAAGTCTCGGCCACGGTCCTCTAACAAAAGACAGGTTAATGAGAGAAAAACATTTATTGAATCCAAGTTTTATGTGTCACGGTGGCCTTTAGAATGAAGACCCACAGGGGCCAGATGTGGCGGCTCATGCCTGTAATCCCAGCAGTTTGGGAGGCCGAGGTGGGCAGATCACTTGAGGTCAGGAGTTCAAGACCAGCCTGTCCAATATGGTAAGATCCTGTCTCTACTAAAAAAAAAAAAAATTTAGCTGGGTGTGGTGGCATGCACCTGTAGTCCCAGCTACTCATGAGGCTGAGGCAGGAGAATTGCTTGAACACAGGAGGCAGAGGTTGCAGTGAGCTGAGATCACACTGCCACACTCCAGCCTGGGCGACAGAGCAAGACTCCGTCTCAAAAAAAAAAAAAAAAAAAAAAGGAAAAAGAAAAGAATTAAGACCCACAGGGAAAATTCTCATTTTTTATGCTTAGAGTTGATGAAGAATGGATGGTCATGTGGAAACATTATGGGACAGAAAGGGTATGATCTCCTGGAGGAATCCAGCAATGCCTGTCTGTCCGGATTCTTCTCGGCCTCTATGTTGTAGCATTTCTGCCAGCCAGGTATGGGACTGGACCCCTCTGGAATGAGGATCTTATTGTGTCCAGAAATGGTGGGTTCTTGGTTTCACTGACTTCAAGAACGAAGCCACAGACCCTCGCGGTGAGTGTTATAGCCCTTAAGGTGGCGCTTCTGGAGTCTGTCCTTTCTGATGTTCAGATGTGTTCGGAGTTTCTTCCTTCTGGTAGGTTCATGGTCTTGCTGGCTCAGGAGTGAAGCTGCAGATCTTCGCAGTAAGTGTTACAACTTATAAAAGCAGCATGGACCCAAAAAAGTGAACAGCAGCAAGACTTATTGCAAAGAGCAAAAGAACAAACCTTCCACAGTCTGGAAAGGGACCCAAGCGGGTTGCCAATGCTGGTTCGGGCAGCCTGCTTTTATTCTCTTATCTGGCCCCACCCACATCCTGCTGATTGGTAGAGCCGAGTGGCCTGTTTTGTCAGGGTGCTGATTGGTGCGTTTACAATCCTTGCGCTAGATACAAAGGTTCTCCACGTCCCCATCAGATTAGTTAGATACAGAGTTTGGACACACAGGTTCTCCAAGGCTCCACCAGAGCAACTAGATACAGAGTGTGGACTGGTGCACTCACAAGCCTTGAGCTAAACACAGGGTGCTGATTGGTGTATTTACAATCCCTGAGCTAGACATAAAGACTCTCCACATCCTCACCAGACTCAGGAGCCCAGCTGGCTTCACCTAGTGGACCCCACACTGGGGCTGCAGGTGGAGCTGCCTGCCAGTCCTGTGCCGTGTGCTTGCACTCCTCAGCCCTTGGGTGGTCGATGGGACTGGGCGTCGTGGAGCAGGGGGTGGTGCTCGTCGGGGAGGCTCGGGCCGCACAGGAGCCCTTTGAGTGGGTGGGAGGCTCAGGCATGGCGGGCTGCAGGTCCCGAGCCCTGCCCCGCGGGAAGGCAGCTAAGGCTCGGTGAGAAATCGAGCGCACCGCCGGTGGGCTGGCACTGCTGGGCGACCCAGTACACCCTCTGCAGCCACTGGCCCGGGTGCTAAGTCCCTCATTGCCCGGGGCCGGCAGGGCTGGCCGGCTGCTCTGAGTGCGGGGCCCTCCAAGCCCACGCCCACCCGGAACTCCCGCTGGCGCCCAAGCGCCGCTCGCAGCCCCGGTTCCCGCTCGCACCTCTCCCTCCACACCTCCCTGCAAGCTGAGGGAGTGGGCTCCAGCCTTGGCCAGCCCAGAAAGGGGTTCCCACAGTGCAGTGGTGGGCTGAAGGGCTCGTCAAATGCCGCCAAAGTGGGAGCCCAGGTAGAGGAGGTGGCAAGAGCAAGCGAGGGCTCTGAGGACTGCCAGCACGCTGTCACCTCTCATTATGGCCCACCATTAGACAAGCGTAGGTCAGACTATTTATTTATGGTCATGTCTTAGGAAGCAGTAGAAGAAATAATTCTAGTTTTTATGGCTGGCTTTGGGGAACAGGGGTTCTGGTTTCTATGACCTTAGGGAGGACTAATTCTGGCTTCTGTGGCTCACTTCAGGAGAGAATGAGGGGCGAGAGACAGGAGGGGCAGAAGGTCAGAGGGATCTTGGTTTCGAGGCTGCTTCTGAGTCTTCCCAATGTCCTTTAGTTCAAAGTATTCAGCATGCCAAAGTGCCACACTTTGGGGTATTGTTTTCTGAGCCCCAGTGTTTTCTTCCTCTCTTCTTCATTCTTTCTCAATCTCTTCTTCTTCTTTTTTTAATTGAGATGGAGTCTCACTCTATCACCCAGGCTGGAGTGCAGTGGCGTAATCTCCGCTCACTGCAACCTCCGCCGCCGTCCGGGTTCAAGTGATTCTCGTGCCTCAGCCTCCCAAGTAGCTGGGACTACAGGCACATGCCACCATGCCTGGCTTTTTTTTTCTATTTTTAGTAGAGATGGGGTTTTGCCATGTTGGCCAGGCTGGTCTCGAATTCCTGACCCCAGGTGATCCGCCTGCCTTGGCCTCACGCCTGCTGGGATTATAGGCGTGAGCCACTGCATCCGGCCCCCAATCTCTTCTCAATCGCATTCATCAATATTTTTTTTCTTCTTTTTTCATCCCATCACCTTGGGTCTCTCCTTGTCCGTCTCCCAGTCTTTCTTACTGTCAGCTAGCCCCTTGCTTTTCCCCTTCCTTTCTTTGCAACAGCTTCCTATCTCATTTGTTCAGCATAATAGAAGTGCAAACCGATGGCCTACTGCCTGAGTATCTGCTCTGCAGAAACATATAATTTGCTAAGAGAACGTTTATCCAAAATATTGTCTTCAGGAACTGGGAGCAGTGGCTCATGCGTGTAACTCCAGCACTTTGGGAGGCCGAGTTGGGAGGATTGCTTGAGCCCAGGAGTTTGGGACCAGCCTGGGCAACACAGTAGGACCCCGTCTTTATAAAAAATACAAAAATTAGCCAGGCATGATGCTACACACCTGTAGTCTGTAGTCAGCTTCTGGGGAGGCTGAGCTGGGAGGACTGCTTGAGCCCAGGAGGTCAAGGCTGTAGAAAACTTTGATTGTGCTACTGCACTCCAGCTTGGGTGACAGAGCAAGACCCTGGCTCCAAAAAAAAAGAAGAAAAAAAGTCTTCAATCTCAACAATTAAGAATTGGAGATTTCACATAAAAATCCAGATTTTATCCTGGGCAACATGGGCAACACAGTGAGACCCTGTCTTTACAAAAAATAATAAAAATCAGCTGGGTGTGGTGGTTCACACCTACAATTTAATTTGAGAGGCTGAGGAGGGAGGATTGTTTCAGCCCAGGAGTTCCAGGCTGCAGTGTTTTATGATAGTGCCATTGCACTCCAGACTGGGGTGAGACCCGGTCTCTAAACAGAAATCCCAGTTTTACAGCTTAAAAAAAAATCAGGCTATCTGGCATCATGCGACCTACACCGATTGCTAGTAACAGTTGATGGAGCTGGGCGGTGGCTGCCCCACTCTGTTCACCAGTGCCCACTCCATGCCTCCTGGCCTCCTTAACACTGAGGGAAAGTGCCAATTGGCATTTATTATTTAGCTTGAGTAGTTATTTTTTCCTCTAGCAGACAAATTTTAGTTTCTACCTATATCTTTACTGAAAAAAGGGAAAACAGAGAACAAGAGCCAGGTCTTTCTTATCCCAAGCCTGCTACCTCATTTGCATTTTCTGCTTTGCCCCTGCAGGTGGCTGAATTTTCAACCTTCGCTATAGACAAAGGCTCAGGTCTCCCTTCCCAATTTCTCACCGTGCCTCACTTCTCTTTTACTCTCTCCATATATCCTCGTTTCTCTTTTTGTTCATATAAGGTTAATATTTAGGCCGGGCACAGTGGCTCACGCCTGTAATCCCAGCACTTTGGGAGGCCAAAGCGGGTGGATCACTTGAGGTCAGGAGTTCGAGACCAGCCTGGCCAACATGGTGAAACACCATCTCTACTAAAAATACAAAAATATTAGCCAGGCATGGTGGTGCATGCCTGTAATCCTAGCTACTTGGGAGGCTGAGGCAGCAGAATCACTTGAACCCGGGAGACAGGAGTTGCAGTGAGCCGAGATGGCATCACTGCACTCCAGCCTGGGTGACGGAGTGAGACTCCATCTCAAAAAAAAAAAAAAGTTAATATTTAATGCATTGATGTAAAGCTAACTTCAGGACCACTTTTGAAACTTTTTTTCAGACTGTTTTGAAATCTTCAATCTTCAGAAAAAGTCTGTGAAAAATCATTTTATTTTCGCACTAGTGTGTGTGTTTGTGTGTGTGTGCACGCACATAGATGAGAGTAGTTACTCTGTGAAGGATCTGTTACTTATCTTGCTATTTTTCTTGTTTGACTAACAGCCTATTTATATGGATAAGATCTGAGAATCGGTTACTAGGCCGTATGAAAGAGGAGTCTTCTTTAGGATCATTATCAGTACAGGCCTGGCATTCACCTAACCAGTAATAGAAACCTGAAAAACAGTGGCATAAAAAATTGAGAGTTTAATTTTTCTGCATTTAGAATAAATCTAGAGGTGAGAGCAGGGATCCTAATAGCATAGCAATATTGGCAAGAACCTAGTGTAATTAACCATGTTTTCTAGTTTCTATATTCTGATACTTCCACATCGTGGGGTCTTGCTGACCCTGGAGTGACTGCCTCTCCCAGGTTGAGCTAATTCCTAGAAGCAAAGAACTCGCCTGTCATATGTAGATCAACCAAGCTAGACCCCATCCTCCCAACCACCACCTTCATCAGGCTCTGCCACTCCTAGCTGCAATTCCCCTAGTCAGCCCAGGACCAGTACTAGAGAGCTAGGGACAGCCCCTATGCCCCAGAGGCTGCTGAAATTATTCAAACTAGCCGAGCCTGAACTTGCTTACCTGCCTGCACACTCCTGCCTGTGAAACCACAATAAAGGCTCTTGCCCACATTTTCCTTTCACTCCCACTGCCTCCTGACTGACTCAGGTGCTTCCCCATGGGGCACCCCTGCACGCCATGCCATGCCTCATGCATGTTTCTAGGGAACTGTGAGTAAATGTCTTCCTCCATGAAAGTGATTCCTGTGTCTGCACGTCTTGCCACACCTGATTAAAACAAACCCTGGCTACCTTTACAACCCCCAGGTCCATCCAGCCTTCTGAGCCACCACCCTGACTTGATCGAGCATCAGGAATCTCATTTCTGGGCGGGGTGCAGTGGCTCACGCCTATAATCCCTACACTTTGGGAAGCCAAGGCTGGCAGATCACTTGAGGTCAGGAGTTTGAGACTAGCCCGGCCAACATAGTGAAATCCTGTCTCTACTAAAAAAAAAAAAAAAAAAAAAAATAGCTGGGTGTAGTGGCATATTCCTGTAACTCCAGCTACTTGGGAGGCTGAGGCACGAAAATCACTTGAACCTGGAGGTGGAGGCTGCAGTGAGCCGAGAATGTGCCCCTGCACTCCAGCCTGGGTGACAGAGTGAGACTCTGTCTCAAAACAAACAAACAAACAAACAAAAATAAAAAGAATCTCATTTCTGGGTGGTGTGGTGGCTCACACCTATAATCCCAGCCCCTTGTGAGGTTAGGATAGGAAGATCACTTGAGGCCAGGAGCTTGAGACCAGCCTGGGGAATGTAGCAAGACTCCGTCTCTACAAAAATAAAAAATAAAAAAAAAATTAGCCAGATGTAGTGGTATACACCTGTAGTCCCAGCTACTCAGGAGGCTGTGGCAGGAGGATCACTTGAGCCCAGGTGTTTGAGGTTACAGTGAGCTATGATCGCACCACTGCACTCTAGTGTGGGCAACAGAAGGAGATGGAGTGAGAGTGTCCCTAAAGATAATAAGAATCTCATTTCTTAATTTATTTTCCTTAACACTTACCATATTCTGAAATACTATATATTTGTTTGCTTATAATTTGTTTCCTCTCACTAGACTGTAAGCTCCTTGAAGCCAGAGATTTTTATCTGTTTTCTTTATGGTAAGTTCCTAGAACTGAAAACAGGGCCTGGCATGTATTTACTGAAAAAGTGATTAAGTGCTCTCCAGTTGATGGCTGGAGTTCAGACCATCATGGTTTTGTTTCAGGCTGGAGGAAGTGGGAGAGTAAAAGGCAAAGGGGGCCCATGCCAGTTGAGTCAGTCCTAGAAAAGAACTTTTCTGAAAGTCCCCTTTACATGACTTAGGCTAACATCTCATTGGCCAGCCCTATGCCACACCACCACTCCTACCTGCATGGCAGTTTGAGGCAAAAAAAAATTTAAAGCATAGAACTTTGCTAAACAAAATAAAATTGGGGTTCTGCTAGAAGAAGGAAGGGACAATGAACACTGGGTCTCTGCAAGGGGGCTGTTGGCTGCACTCCAAATGCCCGCAGCATTATACACGAATCATACATGGAGCTCTTTTTTTTTTTTTTTTTGAGGTGGAGTCTTACTCTGTTGCCCAAGTTGGAGTGCAGTGGTGTGATCTCGGCTCACTGCAAGCTCCACCTCCTGGATTCACACCATTCTCCTGCCTCAGCCTCCCGAGTAGCTGGGACTACAGGCGCCCACCACCCCCGGCTAATTTTTGTATTTTTAGTAGAGACGGGGTTTCACCATGTTAGCTAGGATGGTCTCGATCTCATGACCTTGTGATCCGCCCGCCTCGGCCTCCCAAAGTGCTGGGACCGCAGGCGTGAGCCACCGCGCCCAGCCCTACATGGAGCTCTTTACCCTGGCCTGTGCTTTCCTCTCTATTTACTTTTTTTTTTTTTTCTTTCCTGAGAGGGAGTCTTGCTCTGTCGCCCAGGCTGGAGTGCAGTGGTGTGATCTTGGCTCACTGCAACCCCTGTCTCCTGGGTTCAAGCGATTCTCCTGCCTCAGCCTCCCATGTAGCTGGGATTGCAGGTGCCTGCCACCACACCCAGCTAATTTTTGTATTTTTAGTAGAGAACAGGGTTTCATCATGTTGGCCAGGCTGGTCTCAAACTCTCTACCTCAAGTGATCTGCTCGTCTTGGCCTCCCAAAGTGCTAGAATTACAGGCGTGAAGCCACCACGCCCGGTTTCCTCTCTATTTACTCTTGTGAGTAACATCAGCTTCTTTGAACTTCACCAAACTTAATTCCTTAATTCCATACTAACTGTTTATTTGTTGAGTTTCCAAGATGCAATTGCATATAATTCCAGGAACTGTGAGTAGTAAGAACCCCCTTATCAGCTGTCCTATTTTTAGATATCATGATTCCTACTGAAACATTCAGTGGCTTAAGCTCTGCCCAGCATGTTCTTGACCCTGTGTGCCTGTGGGGTGTGTGTGTGTGGTGTGTGTGTGTGTGTGTGTGTATGTGCACACAGTCATGTGCACTCTCACATCACATAAGGGGAAGATAAAGGGAGACTCTCCGTGGCTCTTCCTCCTTTTTTCCAAGGCTGATGTTGGCCCTTTCTGAAAATGCTTTAATGTGTAGAAAGCAGCCCACAGATAGGCACTCCCTGTGATAAAGCAGTCACAGCCAGAGCAGGGTCCCTCCCACCTCAGCCTCCTAAGTAGCTGAGACTACAGGTGTACCACCACGCTTAGGTAAGTTTAAAAAAAAAAGTTTTGTAGAGATGGGGGTCTTACTATGTTGCCCAGGCCGATCTCAAACTCCTGGCCTCAAGTGATCCTCCCACCTTGGCCTCTCAAAGTGCTGGGATTACAGATACGAGCCACCACACCTAGCTGAGAATTTCTTTATGGCCATCTTCTGGACAAAAAGTCAAGGAGAGTTTAGAGTAATAATTCCAGTTTTTATGGCTTTTGCTTCGGGGAAAAAGGGTTCTAGTTTCTAGGACCTACCGTGGGGAAGAGGATTCTGGTTTCTATGACTCACTTCAGGGGAGAACGAGGGACGAGAGAGACAGGAGGGCAGGAGCAGGTCAGAGGGACCTTGGATCTGAGGCTGCTTCTGAGGCCTTCCAATGTCCTTTAGTTAAGTACTCATCGCCATACTTTGGGGTATTGTGTTCTGAACCCCAACAGAAACAACTCACTCTCTCGGCATCAGCCTTGTGCCTATACCCACAGGAGCAGGAGCACAAGCCATTGCAGGTGCGGGCTCCTCAGATGGAGCAACTCCAATGTCACCTGCTCCTCACCTGTACCCAGTGGACTTTTTTGGCAGCCTCCCCCATCTTCTCGTGTGGCTCCATATCTTTATATCTTCTGTGGCAGACGTAGCCTGCTGCCTCCCCAAACTCTATCGTCCTCTTCTCCTTCAACCATGGAAACTTGATTTTGTCTGTGGCATCCATGTGCCTCTTTGAAACACTCACCTCCTCAGACTGCCTTGAATCCAGGCGTGGCCACATGACTGGGTAATGAGTCACCGGTAGAAGTCGGCTTGATGGGGCTTTTAGGGAAACAACGGCTTTCCTGTTTTTGTTTTTCTTCTTCTTCTTTTTAAATTTTCTCCTGCTACCCCTCCCCTTGTTTGTTTTTAAGATGGATTTGTTCGGAACACATCTTTTGCTCTTTCCTTCTCCTTTCTGCCTGGAATGTAAATGTGATGTCTGAAGGCAGAGCAACCATCTTGCACATGTGACATAGAAAGGTAGATGTGAAGACATCTAGCAGGAGATTGCATCTCTGGTGATTGGAGCAGCTGTATCAGCTCTGGACTGCCTGCTCAAGTCTTCTTCATAACTGGGAAAAATAAACACCTATGAAGTTAGGCCATTGTATTGAGTTTTTGTTACTCAAGAACCAAACACAATATTTATTGAGATGGCATTTCACTCTTATTGCCCAGGCTTGTGTGTGGTGGCCTGACCTCAGCTCACTACAACCTCTACCCCCCATCCAGCCCTGCTCCAGGTTCAAGTGATTCTCCTGCCTCAGCCTCCTGAGTAGCTGAGATTACAGGCGCCCACCACGTCTGGCTAATTTTTTGTATTTTTAGTGGAGACGGGGTTTCACAATGTTGGCTAGGCTGGTCTTGAACTCCTGACCTCAGGTGATCCACCCTCCTCAGCCTCTCAAAGTGCTGGAATTACAAAGGTGAGCCACGGCACCCGGCCTTTTTTTTTTTTTGAGACAGTCTCGCTGTTGCCAGGCTGGGATGCAGTGTGGTGTGATCTTAGCTTGTGTCCGGAATTGGTGGGTTCTTGGTCTCACTGACTTCAAGAATGAAGCCACGGACCCTCACGGTGAGTGTTATAGCTCTTAAGGTGGCATGTCTGGAGTTTGTTCTTTCTGATGTTCAGATGTGTTCGGAGTTTCTTCCTTCTGGTGGGTTTGTGATCTTACTGGCTTCAGGAATGAAGCTGCAGACCTTTGCAGTGAGTGTTACAGCTCACAAAAGCAATGTAGACTCAAAGACTGAGCAGTAGCAAGATTTATTGCAAAGAGCAAAAGAACAAAGCTTACACACTGTGGAAGGGGACCGGAGCAAGTTGCCACTGTTGGCTGGGGCAGCCTGCTTTTATTCTCTTATCTGGCCACACCCACATCCTGCTGATTGGTAGAGCCGAGTGGCCTGTTTTGACAGGGTGCTGATTGGTGCGTTTACAATCCCTGAGCTACATACAAAGGTTCTCCACGTCCCCATCAGATTAGTTAGATACAGAGTATGGACACACGGGTTCTCCAAGGCCCCACCAGAGCAGCTAGATACAGAGTGTCGATTGGTGCACTCACAAACCCTGAGCTAGACACAGGGTGCTGATTGGCGTGTTTACAAACCTTGAGTTAGATACAGAGTGCCGATTGGTGTATTTACAATCCCTGAGCTAAATGTAAAGGTTCTCCAAGGCCCCACCAGAGCAGCTAGATACAGAGTGTCGATTGGTGCACTCACAAACCCTGAGCTAGACACAGGGTGCTGATTGGCGTGTTTACAAACCTTGAGTTAGATACAGAGTGCCGATTGGTGTATTTACAATCCCTGAGCTAGACATAAAGGTTCTCCAAGGGCCCACTAGAGCAGCTAGGTAGAGTGTCAATTGGGGCACTCACAAACCCTGAGCTAGACACAGGGTGCTGATTGGTGTGTTTACAAACCTTGAGCTAGATACAGAGTGCCGATTGGTGTATTTACAATCCCTGAGCTAGACATAAAGACTCTCCACGTCCCCACCAGACTCAGGAGCCCAGCTGGCTTCACCCAGTGGATCCAGCACCGGGGCTGCAGGTGGAGCTGCCTGCCAGTCCTGGGCCATGCGCTCACACTCCTTAGCCCTTGGGCGGTCGATGGGACTGGGGGCCCTGGAGCAGGGGGCGGCGCTCGTCGGGGAGGCTTGGGCCGCACAGGAGCCCACGGAGGGGGTGGGAGGCTCAGGCATGGCGGGCTGCAGGTCCCGAGCCCTGCCCCGTGCGAAGGCAGCTAAGGCCTGGCGAGAAATCGAGCGCACCGCCGGTGGGCCGGCACTGCTGGGGGACCTAGTACACCCTCCGCAGCCGCTGGCCCGGGTGCTAAGCCCCTCACTGCCTGGGGCTGGCAGGGCCGGCCGGCTGCTCCGAGTGCGGGGCCCGCCAAGCCCACGCCCACCCGGAACTCCAGCTGGCCCGCAAGCACTGCACGCAGCCCCGGTTCCGCTCGCGCCTCTCCCTCCACACCTCCCTGCAAGCTGAGGGAGCCGGCTCTGGCCTTGGCCAGCCCAGAAAGGGGCTCCCATAGTGCAGCGGTGGGCTGAAGGGCTCCTCAAATGCCGCCAAAGTGGGAGCCCAGGCAGAGGAGGCGCCCAGAGCGAGTGAGAGCTGTGAGGACTGCTAGCAGGCTGTCACCTCTCAAGCTCACTGCAACCTCTGCCTCCCAGGTTCAAGTGATTCTCCTGCCTCAGCCTCCTGAGTAGGTAGGATTACAGGCGTGTGCCACCACACCCGGCTAATTTTTGTACTTTTAGTGGAGACAGGGTTTCACCATGTTCGCCAGGCTGGTCTCAAACTCCTGACTTCAGGTGATTCACCCACCTTGGCCTCCCAAAATGCTGGGATTACAGGCATCAGCCACTGCTCCTGGCCTCTGTGTAGTTTTGTTTGGAGCTGCAGTAAATAGTGTCTAATCTTTTCCTTCCTTACAGGCTATTTCTCCATATTGCTTCCCAGATACAAAATTCATAAATGTATACAAGCCATACCCATGTTACCCACTCCCTCAGGCCCTGCCAAGGCCTTGAGAAACTAGACTCAGACTGTGTCTCCATGTAGGGGGATTGCACATAGCATCTTTGAACTTCAGTTTCTCTTTCTGTAAAATGGGGAATTTTGACTACTTAGCATGCGTCATGTGTTAAAACCCTAACCTCGTTAGCAATTATAACCACTATCAGTATCCCATACTCTGGTTTTTTTAGGGCTTTCCCAAGGCAAATGGGAAGATTTGCTGCCAAGCTCACTTCGGGAGGTCACCAGGCCCAGAACATTCTTGTCCTCACAAATTTTCACTTCCTTCATTTAAGAACAAGGACTAGAGTGTTCTCACTTAATTACAACTGGGATAGGTGGGAGGGAGTTACCCATGTGGGCAACATTAGGGAAACTTTTTCTTTGAGACAGGGTCTTGCTCTGTTGCCCAGGCTGGAGTACAGTGGTGTGATCATGGCTCACTGCAGCCTCGACTTCCTGGGCTCAAGCAATCCTCCTGTCTTAGCCTCCTAAGTTCTGACAGCCCTTAGGGACTACAGGCGCACACCACCACACCCCATTCATTTTTGCATTTCTTGTGGAGATGCGTTTTTTCCATGTTTCTCAGGCTGGTCTTGAATTCCTGGGCTCAAGAGATCCTTAGGGAAACATTCTACCAAACCAGAAGTGATGGATCAACTCCCAGCAAGCCTTTAGTGGGCATTGTTCTTTTCAGGGAGCTGGATAGAAGAGGGGTCTCGGAGCCACAACACCCGTGCTGCCCATGATGGTAGAAAAGGGAAGTCTAAAAAGAGTTTGGGTCTGAACTGGGGCCTAGGAAAAGTTAATGGGGCAGTGATTTTGGCCTTTTCTACCCACCTCCTTGTAATAATATTATTTTAACAATCTGGCTGGGTATGTGGCTCATACCTATAATCCCAGCACTTTGGGAGGCCAAGGTGAATGGATCACCTGAGGTCAGGAGTTCAAGACCAGACTGGCCAACATGGTGAAACCCTGTCTCTACTAAAAATACAAAAATCATTCGGCCGAGGTGGTGGTTGCCTGTAATCCAAGCTACTCGGGAGGCTGAGGCAGGAGAATCGCTTGAACCTGGGAGGCGGAGGTTGCAGTGAGCTGAGATTGCGCCACTACCCTCCAGCCTGGGTGACAGAGGGAGACTCCTTCTCCAAAGAAAAAACCTAACCGCCCCCCCCAAAAAAAACCAATCAAACAAAAAACCAATCTTACCCCCATGACGTTGCCTCTCTCTAGCCTCCCAGGGTATTTCTGTAGTCTCAATATTTGGCCTTAGCTATAAGAAAATTTCCTTACCATTACTCTTTGTTTATTGTGCAATTCTCTGAAGATATTCTTCTGATGGCATTCTTTCCTCTCCATTCCTTGTGTGTCATCATTATTTCTTGCTTATTCCTGTCTTGTGCTTACTTCCTGAAATCTGATCTATCCTTTAGGCCTATCTCAGAAGCCTTTATGAAGCCAGCCTGCACGGAGACACTTTCCTTCTCTGGAACCCATGGCACTTAGCTGCTATGGCTTTTGTGCTCATCAGCAAACTGGAATGCGCTTCCATTAGACTTATCCTTTCACCTTAGATTCCTTAAGGCAGGAACTGTCCTGTACTTAGCCTTGCTCTTGTCATGTTGTATTTACTTGATAATTATTCCTTGAATTTAACTGGAAATTCCGGTTTGGAAGGAGAGGACATATATACACGAAGCATGGTATATTTAAATAAACTGGAGTTAATTTTCCTTCAGAAATACCTCCTATTTAAGCCTTTGCCACACAGGTATAGGCCTGGAAATAAAAGGTGTGGCTAAAAGCTACCTGCTCAGAGAACTCTTTTTTTGTTGTTGTTGTTTTGAGATGGAGTCTCGCTCTGTCGCTAGGCCGGAGTGCAGTGGCGCAATCTTGGCTCACTGCAACCTCCGTCTCCCGGGTTCAAGCGATTCTCCTGCCTCAGCCTCCCGAGTAGCTGGGACTACAGACATGCGCCACCACGCCCGGCTAAATTTTTGTGTTTTAATAGAGACGGGGTTTCACCCTGTTGGCCAGGCTGGTCTCAATCTCCTGACCTCGTGATCCGCCCGCCTCGGCCTCCCAAAGTACTGGGATTACAGGCGTGAGCCACCGTGCCTAGCCCAGATAACTCTTTTCTTCAGATTTTCTTTACAGATTCTTCAAGCTGTAAAATAAATGAATACCATCTCTCATCACCTATACCTAGGAAGTGCTGAGTAACTCTTTCCTGTGGACCCACTGAGTCAGAGGTTCACATCTGGTTGGGCAAGTAGTGGGTGTGATCAGTGATGAATATTCTTTGGTTTCAGCACCAGCATCAGCTATTTATATGTCAGTGATGCAAATCTCCATATGCAGAGTCCTTGATACTGTTCGGAGTGCTTCCATACCCATGCCCAAACTGGACCCAGCGGGGGTGGCTGCCGAGAAAAGAAACTTGACAGAGCAGGTTCAAAGGGTCCCTGGTTTCTTGCACTGGAAGAATTAGGGTGGGAACACAGTGGGAGAAGAGAGGTGGAATGTCACAGTTCTGACAGCCCTTAGCATGGAGATAGCCAGCAGCCAATTAGATATGGGAATCGGAAGCCTAGCAGAGAGGATAGCTGGAGAGTACATTTCAAAGTCACTGCCATATAAACAGGAATTAAAACCCTGATAGTGGGTGGGATCGCCTGGGAGAGTACGGAGGAAGAGGAGGATGGATTCAGAATGGAGTCCCAGTGCTTGGGTAGTGCATGGAGGACAGGACCCCTGAACAGGCCGGCAAAGTGTGGGTAGAGAGGTCAAGGAGAGAGAGGAGAAGTTACTGTAGAAATCGATAACTTCAACAAATGAGAGAGAGGTCAGCTGTAAGGTAAGAACCAAGAAGGGCCCACTGGATTTGGCGTGGAGCAAAGGGATGGAGTGAGTGGAGTAAAAGCGAAGATGGAAGGTGGATTTCAGTGGTGCCAGAGGGGAATGGTAGTAAGGAGAGCGTAGTGGACATGGAGATGTGCTGCTCAGATCTCCCCCAAGGAAGGACTTGTTGCCCAGCTATGGGAGAGCAGTCAGCAGACAGCCTCCAGCCATCAGCTCCTTCAGGGTCCCCTGGCTGCAAAGAGCTGCCTGGTCCCTCTTCCTGGTCACACCCTTTCTCCTGGCAGCTCCATGTGGTGACTAAGCAGGGCTGGATATAAATGCCTGGCTCTTTCAGTTCAACTTGCTTTGCTTTGATAGACAATACTGCCCCAAGCTCTCTGCAGAGTTATGAGAGGTGTGGTTGGGCCTGCAGCTCAGTTTAACTTCTCCCTCTGCCCACTCCTGCTTCCTTGCCCTTATTCACAGGTGTTAATACCTAATTAACATCTTGCATCCCAACTTTATCTCAGTATCTGTTTCCAGAGAACATGGTCTCCAACAGAATCATGGGAACAAGTCTTCTGAAGAGTTTGAGAGCAGGAGTCGAGGGACGGGAAGGAGGTGTTAAAAAATTAGTAGGGAATGGTGACACGCCTATAGTCCTAGCTATTGGGAGGCTAAGGTGAAAGGATCACTTGAGCTTAGGGGTGACTATACTCAGCTCTTCTCGGGGCTCACGAAACACTTTACAAAACATCTTTCTGTATCTCATTTGAGGGTTTTTGCCTACAGTCATTGCCAAGGCCACTTATCTGTAGTTTTCTTTTCTTTTTTATTTTTGAGACAGAGTCTCGCTTTGTCACCCAGGCTGGAGTACAGTGGCCTGATCTTGGCTCACTGCAAGCCTTGACTTCCTGGGCTCAAGTGATCCTCCTGCCTCAGTCCCCCAAGTAGCTGGGACTACAGGTGTGCACCACCACACCTGGCTAATTTTTTTTTTTTTCTTGAGATGGAGTTTTTGCTCTTGTTGCCCAGGCTGGAGTGTGATGGCACGATCTCGGCTCACTGCAGACTCCACCATCCAGGTTCAAGCAATTCTCCTGCCTCAGCCTCCCGAGTAGCTGGGATTACAGGCATGCGCCACCACACCTGGCTAATTTTGTATTTTTAGTAGAGACAGGGTTTCTCCATGTTGGTCAGGCTGGTCTCGAACTGCTGACCTCAGGTGATATGCCTGCCGCGGCCTCCCAAAGTGTTGGGATTACAGGCGTGAGCCACCGTGCCCAGCTAATTTTTGTATTTTTTGTAGAGATGGGGTTTTGCCCAGGCTCATCTCAAACTCCTGAACTCAAGTAATCCACCTGCCTCAGCCTCCCAAAGTGCTAGGATTACAGGCGTGAGCCCCCACACCTGGCCTGATCTGTGCTTTTCAACATTCATCTTTTTTTCCATCTTTGGGAATCAGAGCCACACAATCTCCAACTTCTAATACCTTTCTGCCTCTTTGTGATTTCTCAGAGATCGTTGATAGTGACTTGGAGATACTCTCAGTTAATTTTTATTTTGGTACTTAGGAATGTAATCCATTCAGACCAGGAGGTTTGAACACATTTGGAGCAGCTACTCTTGCTGTTATTATTATTTTTTTCAGGTGTTATGGTGATTCCCACTTAGCAGTGGCCGTTCTGCTGTTTCCTAGTCAAATTCCATGCTGCTTACTGATAAGCTGGGGGCACTGGCTTCTGCTCTTGCTCTTTCTTCTGGAAACATTATTCTGTTCCTTTGGACATGGGCAAGCGTCCTGTCCCTAACTTGTCCTTCTTTTTCTTTTGATCTTAACCAGTGTCACTTGTACCAAGACCAAACTTTCTTACCTTTCCATGCAGGGAAACAGGCACCATCAAGATCAATGCCCTGGTACTCCTTATGTAGTGAGTGATAGATGCTCACGGAAAATGGGGAGAAAACTAAGGGGTGAAAGGGAATAACTCTAAAAAGGACACGTTCACACTTTCTGACAGCATAGTTGCATGTTTTCAATTTATTTTGGCCACCAGATGGCATAACTGAGCTCATTAAGATAAACAAAGAGAATGGCTACTACTCTGAAAAAACAAAAAAAAAAACTCTAGATAATTAATGGTGAAAATGCCCCTGAGAAAGCTCATTTCTAATTCTTACTCCTAGCTGGCTTTTTATACACAGGCAGGGGAGACCCATCTTTGGAATTTTAAGGTTCAAAAAGGAATTTGTCTGTACCTGATGGCCAGAAAACCACACTGAAATCGTCAACTGGCATTTAGAATTGTCTGTTCTAAGAGTTAGAAATGAGCGTGTCTCTACCTGCTTCTAGCACACACCTTCCTTTGAGGTAAACTCCTTACTGTTGAGCCCTTGAATCTCGGAGTGGATGAAGAGGGTGATGAGGGATTGTAGCTAATATTAGCATTGTTGAGCTAAAATACCATCATATTTTGTCAGGAGAAGTGCTGACTGTCCTGTGGAATCTGAGGATGAGTGGCATTGGTCCCTAAGGATTAGCTTGTCCCTTTCGGTTACTTTTGAATATGATTTGGAACTTGTGGGGTTTGGGTTATGACAAGAAGGGAACTGAGAAAGTAAAAACATTCATTGCTTGTTTTGTGCTTCTACATATTTTTGACTCTGGGAGATTTTAAAGGTCTATTTCTAATATTTGTTCTAGGTGCATAGATTTGTTTATTCAACAAGCATTCCAGGCACCATATAGGGGCTGGGAAGAAAGAGTAAATAAGGCAGAGTTCCAACTTTCAAAGAGCTTTCTAATCTTGGTTTTTAGTCCCACAGGGGCAAGATGGGAATGCCATGAGAGGCTCTTTGATTGTGGCCCAAGGGAACACTCAGTGCCTAGATGTGTGAAGTGGGATGCAGCTCCTGGTGAAGGCAGAAGTCCTTTAAAAGTTTATTGACTGCAAAGAATAAACCAAAATGGGCCGGGTGCAGTGGTTCACGCCTGTAATCACAGCACTTTGAGAGGCCAAGGCAGGCGGTTCATGAGGTCAGGAGTTCAAGACCAGCCTGGTCAACATGGTGAAACCCCGTCTCTACTAAAAATACAAAAATTAGCTGGGCATGGTGGCGGGTGCCTGTAATCCCAGCTACTTGGGAGGCTGAGGCAGGAGAATCGCTTGAACTCGGGAGGCAGAGGTTGCAGCGAGCCGAGATGGCACCACTGCACTCCAGCCTGAGTGACAGAGTAAGACTCCATCTCAAAAAAAAAAAAGAATAAACCAAAATGACAAAGCTTCTTGATAACATCCCAGCCCATTTCTTCTTCTTCTTCTTTCACTTCTCCTTCTCCTTCTTCTTCTTCTTCCTCTTCCCCTTCTTCTTCTTCTCCTCCTTCTCCTTCTTTTTTTTTGGAGATGGAGTCTTGCTCTCTTGCCCAGGCTGGAGTGCAGTGGTGTGAGCCACCCCGCCCAGCCATCCCAGCCCATTTCTTATACAAGAAACATTGAGGGTTTACTAAAGAAAGAAAGAGACAGTAGAATAATGGGAACCACGTTGCAAAAATGTAAATCGCTCACTGGTGACTGCCAGGATTTTGATGATCTAATAAAATGACTGGCATATGAGGTGGGGAAAATGTACCCTCCTGTGATCAGCCAGAGGTTTCAGCAGCAGTGGAAGATGCATACCAGAAGGCGGTGCAAAGGGGGATTAGAGAGGATCTAAACTGGTATCAGGGATTGGGTGTGGTGGCTCACATCTGTTATCCCAGCACTTTGGGAGGCCAACATGCGAGAATTGCTTGAGCCAGGAGTTTGAGACCAGCCTAGGCAACATAGTGAGACCTCATCTCTGCAAAAGTTTTAAACAATTAGCCAGACATGGTGGTGCATGCCTGTAGTCCCAGCTACTCAGGAGGTTGAGGTGGGAGGATCACTCAAGCCCAGGAGACGGAAGCTGCAGTGACCCATAATCACGCCACTGCATACCAGCCTGGGCAGCAGAGCAAGATCCTGTCTCAAAAAAGAAAAAAAAACACAAAAACTGGTGTCGGGAAAAGTAGTTGGGAAGCTATGGAAATTGCTCCAGTGAGAGGTGATGAACATCTGAATTAGTGGCAGGAGTCTCTCTGAACCTATTCAGTTTCAGGGGATTGCTTGATTTAAAAAAAAAAAAAAAGACAAATTAGCCGGGCGTGGTGGTGGATGCCTGTAATCCCAACTACTTGGGAGGCTGAGGCAGGAGAATCACTTGAACCCGGGAAGCGGAGGTTGCAGTGAGCCAAGATGGCACCATTGCACTCCAGGCTGGGTGACAGTGCGAGACTCCATCTCGAAAAAAAAAAAAAAAAAAAGGCAGTGGTTAAGGGACTGAGTGGGGACAGATGGGAGATGGATTTTAGGGTAGGAAGGGTGGATGTAAGTGTGAAGGAGAGGAAGAATGACTCTGGAGAGAACACCAGCTCCAGTGGCCTGACCCTAAGTCCTGTGTGCTTTCTCGCATATTGTGCTGCCTCGTCATATAACGAAGATTCCACTTTAGTCCAACTCTTCCATTTTACAGTGAAAGGAGAAGATTAAAACCCAGAAAATGGAAACCCTCATTTATGTTAAAGCTGAGAAATCAAGTGTCCCTTCCCTGATCCAATCCTCTTCCGCAGGTTCATGACAGGGTGCACATTAGAACTACCTGCAGAGCCTTCCAAGCGGCACGTGCCTGGCCCATCCCTAGATCCAGTGAACCAGAATCCCTGGGCTGGGACCACTGGCTCATTCCAGACAGTGCACAAGCATCTCTTCCTGGTGCAACCTTCCATAGCACGTTCCGCTTGGATCACTTTCTCTTTCTCTGTTTTATAATTGTCCATTACATACAGCCACTGATAACTGAAAAGGCTCGCAGTGTTTGGATGAGGAACCATATGCAAACAAATACCACAGTTCTTCCTTATAGACCCACTTAACTGATTTGCAAACATCTCACTGAAACCGCAGGGGAGAGGTTTTAGAAGGCTATGCTCCAGTAAGGAAAAATTAATGGAAGTAATTGTTCAGTAAGCAGTTACCAATCTAAGTTTTATAAAATTGATACTCTCTTTATGAGTGTATTTTAGTAAAAATAGGGAATAGCTTTTTTTTTTTTGAGACGGAGTCTCGCTTTGTCACCCAGGCTGGAGTGCAATGGCGCCATCTCGGCTCACTGCAACCTCTGCCTCCCAGGTTCAAGCGATTCTCCTGCCTCAGCCTCCGATTACAGGCGCCCGCCACCATGCCTTGCTAATTTTTGTATTTTATAGTAGAGACGGGGTTTTGCCATGTTGGCCAGGCTGGTCTCGAACTCCTGACCTCAAGTGATCTGCCTGCCTTGGCCTCCCAGAGTGCTGGGATTAGAGGCGTGAGCCACCGTGCCTGGCTGGGAATAGTTTTAAAACATAAAAAACGCAAAAGTTTTAAAAAACATGGGTTTTCTAAAGATTTCAGTATTCCCTATCCCTAACTTTTCATAAAGTCCTGAGTTTCTTAATCACAATGTTTTCATCCAAGGAGGCTTTTAGGAACAGGACCCCAGGGTTAGGGCAGGAATACACTATTGTTATTTTAACAGTCTATCAACTAGAAAGGCAAAAAAAAAATTAGATTTTTTTCAATATTAATGAAGTTGAATTGTTCGTTGATAATTGTTAATTAGTTATGGTGTTTCTGTTATAAATTGTCTGTGTCTGAATTTCTCACACAGTACAATATAAAATACAAATAGCTGTGGGGTATTTTCTAGGTGCTGGTTACTGTTCTAAGAGCTTTAAATGGAGTAATTCAGTTAATCCTGCCTCACGGTACAATAATTAGTCTCGTATGACGGAGGAAATAGAAGCCTGGAGAGGTCAAGTAACTTGCCCAAAGTCATACCCAGAAAGGCTGGATTCAGAGACTGTTGCCAACATTTTCCTTATTTATTTGCATTCCATTTTTTTCTATTAAATATAAAAATTAGCCAGGCGCAGTGGCTCACACCTGTAATCCCAGCACATTGGGAGGCCGAGGAGGGTGGATCACTTGAGGTCAGGAGTTCAAGACCAGCCTGGCCAACATAGTGAAACCCTGTCTCTACTAAAAATACAAAAAATCAGCTGGACATGATGGCCTGTGCCTGTAGTTCCAGGTACTCAGGAACTCGAGAGGCTGAGGCAGGAGAATCGCTTGAATGTGGGAGGTGGAGTTTGCAGTGAGCCAAGATTGTGCCATTGCACTCCAGCCTGGGTGACAGAGCGAGACTTTGTCTCAAAAGAAAAAAAAAAAAATTTAAAAACTTTTTGTAGTTAAATCTATGCATATATTCCTTTCTTTTGTTGGCCTATTGTTTCAGTTAATTTGTTTTTTTACTTTTTTCCCATGTTTTACTTATTACTTTCATATTTCTTGTATGATATTTATCTTAAAATCTAGTTTTATTTTTCTTTAAGAGACTGGGAGTCTTGCTATGTTTCTCAGGCGGGTCTCGAATTTCTGGGCATAAGCGATCTTCCTGCCTCAGCCTCTCAAGTAGCTGGGAATTACGCCACCAACACACCTGGCTTCTTTCAGCTAATTTAGAACATCCTACCCTTTTCAGAGATTAAAAAATATTTAGATTTGCTCAGGATATGTTAGATGAAGTGAGGATTTACATCTACTATATGTATTTTCCCAAATATTAATAATTATTTCTCCTGAACCATTTATTGCATAATATTTTTCTGTTCCATTGTTATATGACAGCACGTTTCTGCCTGGTTGTAATCTCATAGTGGCTTGATTTTTAAGTGAACATTATATGTTTAACTGCCTCCTTGAGGATACTGAAGACTCTTTCCAATGATTATATTCTTTTCACTTCACCTGTCATGCATCAAGTGTTGATGTTGCTGGCTGCCTTTCTCAGTGTTAGTTTTTATGTGTTTTGGAATTTCAGCTTCCAGGTTCATTTCCAGGCTTTCTCTGTCTCCCTTCTCTTGTTCCTCACTCCTCCCTGCCTAGTGGCTGTGCAGTTGCCCTTCCCAGGGGCCAGTGTTCAGGACTAGGTCTTATATGGCAGTCGGGGCTCCTGCCCTGGGATAACCCTGGGAATGACTCACATCCAGCCCCATGGCTGTGGGTGGCTCAGTTAAGCCCAGGTGTGGTGCCGTTTGGTAACCACGGGCCTCCCTAGGCCACAGTCCCAGGCGAAGTTAGTAGCAAGCTATTTCAGTCTTCTTGAAGAGGGTGGAAGTGTGGGCAAGAGGGGAATCTGAGTCCCTAATATTTTCACAGTGACCATGACACTGGTCCCCCACCTCAGTGGGCAATTTAATTCTATCTCACCACTCAGTACTCAACAGGACTTGACTTCCCAGCTGCCTTTAACTGTACCCTGAGTCAGAACCCAACAGGCCACAGCTGTAGCCCTGTTCATCTTTTGCATTTATATTCAGTTTCTGGGAATATCTTTGGGGATATTCTCCCTTTGTGGAGCATTGCTTTTTAATTTTCTCTAATATTATATCTATCATTGCTCTGTATTGAAAGCCCCTGGGCTAGCCTGTTTCACTTGTGTCTATTTTTTAGAAGCATTTACTGTAGCTTTATACTACATATTTGGGGATCACTAACAATTTTTTCCGGTCACACTCTAATCACTTTCTCAAGGCTGGATCAGGTGCGAGACTCTGTAGCAGTAACCTGAAGTTGAGAATTGAGGAAGTAGTGCTGCTATGAGAGGAGACCTGCGGTGGCATCCCTAGGATGGGGTGCTGGTGGGGGGTGGGTGGCAAGGGGGAAAGGGGGTTTCTGCCTAAGGGAGTTTCTGCTCCATGCCAGCACTTCATCAGAGGTCTTGAGCCAGGGTGGAATCCAGCTCCAGGGAGCATATGAGAGCAAACAATGGAAGCTTGACATGATCACTGGATGAACATCTGAAGTTTCATATGTGATGGGATCTCCCCAGAAAACAATAGTGCACATCACAGCCAGGAGGCACCCAGAGCATTGTGTTGCTGTGTTTTTTGAACCCAGTGAGTTAACTGTCCAGTGTTCCACATCATTCTGACCTGGGTCAACAGATGGAGGCAGGGCACACTCTTGGCTGTAGCTCGATCCGCCTCTCCTGCTGCAGCAGGACATTTCTCAGTAGCACAGGCAAGGTGCTCCGGGCAGGGGACTGCATAGTAAGTGGTGCCTCCTTTGCAATATAAGCCAAACAAGGCTTCCTGCTGGAGCGCCTCTTGGCTAATTCAGGGGCATGAGAGGCAGCATCTACCCTTGCCCAGGGGCCCTGGCTCCCCTTTACTATGGGGGGTGGCCTGTGATCAGGCCCAGTGGGACTGAGGAGCAAATGTGGACAGTCTTCCCCGGCACACATCGGCTGACCTGCATGCCCAGACTGTCTCCTGGGGCGCCTGTACAAGTTGGTCCTAGAATCCAATTCTTCCTGGAACTGGGTGTCATTTCAGGACAGAGAATACCGGGAGTCATAAATTGGCCCTGAAGCAAACGAAAGTCTTCCAATCCTGCATGACATAGCAGATTGTTTTGCTTGGGGCTTTGGCTTGGTCTGGGGCGTGCAGTTCCATGGGGGAACCTCTGGCAATCCCACCAGGGGGAGCCCTTTCCCCATCTTGGGGCTGTGGATCTCAGCTTTCCAGAATATTTGTGTGCATGTGAGTGAGCACATCTGACTTAATTTTTATATTCAGTATAGAATCATGACTCAGCTTTCCCTGTTAATGTAGTCAACTTAAGCTACTGCCATGGTTCAGGTTCCATCATGCTTCAAATATAGTTTATGACTGTAGTTACGTAGTGTGGCAGCAACACAGGGCAACTTGGGGCTGGGGAGAAGTGAGCGTGTCTTTCCCTCCCCAAATGCAGTCATTTAGCATCTTCCTCTTCCAGAGTCCTGTATCCCAGCGATGGGGATCAAGATTCAGACTTAAGGACACCCTACCTGGACCTTGGCAAGGAGATTTTTACAGTGGGAATCTGGTCCAGCCTCTCTCTGGCCCCAGGCCTCTACTGTCCACCTTTTACAAATGCCACATGGTAAGGAGTCAACTGAGCTACCTTCCAAGGAGCTGGATTGGTCTCCTGGCTCTGCCTGACCTTCCTCAGCCCCTCCGCAACCCCCACCTGCTCGCTTCTCCTTCACCTCCTCTCCTGTTCACCTGTACCTTCTTTCCTTAGATGTGGCCACACTCTGTTCCCCCAGGCAGCGTCTTCACTGAGTAGTCTTTGAACCATTAACCACCTGCAGCCCTATCCATGTTCTCTAGGGCACCTGCAAGAGGAGGAAGGGGAATTTGCTGATAGCCACAGCTGTGCATCCTACTGGAGGTGCCTTCCGGAGGGCAGCATAGTTAATCTAGACATCCAGCATTCTCAGTCCACTTCCATGGCCTTCTCTTCCCATTGCCTGGGTCTCAAAAGGCCCAGGACAATCTCATGAGGTGGACCGAGCAGTATTTGGGGAGGGAGGATAGAAAAGAGACTGGGATATCTTTAATTAATAGATACTATTAAAACCTCCTCCCCAGCAGCAGTAGTAGGGATCGTTAGTGGCAGCAAATCCATAGGGGTCTGCAGCAACCTCAATTCTTGCCTCTTTGGTCACTTACTGGGATCTTATTGGGAAACTGCTGATCACCAGTTTCAGATGTTTCTATTGGGAGACTGCCTGTCTCTGGTGCCAGCTGTGACCAATTATTTTAGAGAGCCCGTTAACCACTGCCTGACCCTCACCTGATGTTTGCCTGACATTCCTGTGGGTGTGTGTCTGGGGCGCCCTCTCCTGCCCTGCTCATCCCTGACTAGCTACTTACTCTAACAGGATGAGAAGACATACAAAATAGAGGCTACTTTAAAAAAAAAATTCTCAGAGTGTAGTGTGTAAACGTTCACCTCCACTATAAAGACCTCCTTGCCAGGGGTAGGAAGCCTTTAGTCTGAACCTTGAGCTCCGTCGCTGGGATACAGGACTCTGAAGAGGAAGACGCTAATGATGACATTGAGTTGACTCCACAGCATCTCACAATTCTTTCTTTTTCTAAGTCATCTGCATTTAGTATCCACTGACCAAGCAGGCAGGAAATGTAATTGAAGTTTTATTAGGGACTCCCCTATCTCTTCTCCTATGGGGTCCAGTGACCATCCCAGGGGTCTGACCCAGCCTAGAACATTCAGAGTCTGGGCCTCTGACCTTCAGACACAGCTGATATGAATGGGAGTCTTTGTGGTTAGTAAGGCCAAGGTTCTTAGCTAGTTTCCTTTGGAATCCCTGACCTCCCTCCATCCCCACTGTTGTGTGTGGGGTTCTATGTGGGAGCAGGGCTTCTCCTCACTACTCCAAGGACCCCCAAACCACATCCCTTCCACAGCATCTGGGAATCTCCCCCCACCCCCCACTCCCTTGAGCAGCTTTTGCCTCCTTCAGTCCAGTGTGCTTACCTCTCTCCCCTGGCAGAGAACCCAGGTGCTGGGGGGGTCTCCTCTGGATGCCTTGCCAACTTCTTTTTTTTTCTTTCCAACTTCTTCTCTTGGTGAGGCTACGCAAAATCTTCTGGGGCCAGGATGTGCAAACGCTTCCTGGAATGGGGTAGAACAGTGACAAAACAGGAAGAACAAAAAAACACATGTTAATATCTCAAGAAAGTATCCAGCCACCATAATGAAGGGGCTTCCAGGCTCTGAGGGAAGACCACTGAGCTGAGGGGCCTTTGCACTCTATTCCAGGGAAGATAATGGATGCCCAGAAGAAGTGGGACATTTGGAGCCCCAGACAAACCAATGACACAGACTGAGACACTGTGGAGCTGGATGCCTTTCTGTGTGTTTGTTAGAGTATGAGAAGCCCGCTGGGAACAAGTAAGGGCATCCCTAACCATCAGTGTCCATTGCCCAAGAGAGATGGCAGAAGTGGGTTGGTCCAAATCCTTTCCGTTGTAAATGTGGAGGGCTAACATTTTGAAATATTCTCTGGCCAGGTGCGGTGGCTCACACATGTAATCTCAGGTACTTGGGAGGCTGAGGCAGGAGGATCACTTGAGCCCAGGGGTTCCAGGCTGCAGTGAGCTGCAATTTTGCCACTGTACTCCAACCTGGGTGACAGAGAGAGACCTCATCTCTAGAAAAAAAAAAAAAAAACTTCTGATTTATTTCATCTGTATCTCTCCCTCCTCCCCTCCCACTCCCCAGCCTTTCTAGCAGTTGGGGTAGGAGGGTGGGCGGTCAGCAGAAAGCAGAGCCAAGCAGCATCTTCTGCCTCATAAATTTCAAACATGAGACCTCATGGGAACTGAAAGGATTTATGACATAGGCCAGGTATTTAGGAGAAATGGACACTAAGAACAACCATCCCCTCACCTTCCAACAGAAAGGGGTTCCCTTGTGCTGGTGGGGCAGAGGGGCCATAATAACAATGTGCACATTTGTGGGTATTAGAGAAAGGGGTCCCTGGGCTGAGTCCTGGGGAGGTGGCAGAAATGGCAGACAGGTTTGTGGGGTCAGACAGAAAGCTCTGTCTTGCTTCGTCTTTGAGCCAAAGGGGACCTGGTGCCCCTGAGTTGGGGGCACTGTGTGGTGCCCAGTCACACTCTCCGTGGTGTCCTCAGTGAGTGGCACTCATTGAGGGACAGGAGGAGCAGAGCTGCTCCCAATAGAGAAGCACTGGAGCCCACACTGCCTAAAGTGGGAATGACCCAAATAGCCTTCAGCAGGAGAAAGGGGAGGAAAATTGTGGCATATGCATGCAGTGGAATATTTCTCAGCACTGAAAATGAATGTTCCTATAACTGCATGTGATAACAGGCAAATCTGCAGACATAAAGTCGAGTGAAAGAAGCCAGCTGTGAAAGAGCACATTGTATGATTCCATTTATATAAAGCTCAGGTCCAGGCAAAATGGTAGTAGTGAGGAGAGAGGTTGTCCTTTGGGGAGGGTAGTAACTAAAAGGCACAGGAGGGGGCCCCTGGCATCCTGGGAATGTCCTTTCCTTAATCTAGGCACTGGTTGCATGCATATGCTGTTTGCGAAAGTTCTTTGAGCTGTACATTTAAAATTAATGCACTTCTCTGTATGTATGTTTTATTTATATAAAAACATTTTTTTAAAAGATAGAAGTAGCTGGATGCAGTGGCTCACGCCTGTAATCCCAGCACTTTGGGAGGCCAAGGCGGATGGATCACCTGAGGTCGGGAGTTCGAGACCAGCCTGACCAACATGATGAAACCCCATCTCTACTAAAAATACAAAAATTAGCCGGGTGTGGTGGCACATGCCTGTAATCCCACCTTCCTGGAGGCTGGGAGGTGGAGGTGAGCTGAGATCGCACTACTGCATTCCAGCATTCCAGCCTGGGCTACAAATGAGACTCTGTCTTTCAAAAAAAAAAAAAAAAAAAAGGACTTTCTGCTCTTTCCTGCTTGACATCTTCCTTGACTCCATCTTCTTTTTGATCACCTTTTTATGGCTTCCTGAATTGATCTCATGGATTTTTTATCTGCATCAAAAATGGAAATGGATTAGATGTTGCGATTTTTAGGGTATAAAATTCAATGATTAATTTTATGTGTCAATTTGATTGTGTTGCACTACAGGGTGCCCAGATTAAATAACATTTCTTGGTGTGTCTCTGAGGGTGTTTCTAGGTGAGATTAGCATTGTGGACTCAGTAGATTGTCTTCGCCAGTGTGGTGGGCATCATCTAATCTGCTGAGAGCCTGAACAGAATGAAAAGAGGAAAGAGAAATTCACTACTGTTTCTTCCCGCCTGCGCGCTGGAACTGGAATATCAGTCTTCTTCTCTCCTTGGACTGAGATTTGTACTATTAGCTCCCCTGGTTCCTCTGGTCCACAAGATTGTGGACATAGACTGGAATTATATTACTGGCTTTCCTGGGTCTCAGTTCGCTGATGGCAGACTGTGGGACTTTAGAGCCTCCATAATAATGTGAGCCAATTCCTCATTCTATCTATCAATCTATATATCGATTGATTGATCGATCGATAGATCGATCTATCTAATCTATCTACTTATCTATCTATCATATCATCTACTGATTTCTCTCTCTTCTTTTTTTTTTTTTTGAGACAAGATCTCACTCTGTTGCCTAGGCTGGAGTGCAGTGGCACAATCCTAGCTCATTGCAGCCTTGACTTCCCAGGCTCAAGCAATCCTCCAGCCTCATCCTCCTGAGTAGCTAGGACTACAGGTGCCCACCACCATGCCCAACTAATTTTTAAACTTTTTTTACAGATGAGGTCTCACTATGTTGCCCAGGCTGGTCTCTAACTCCTGGGCTCAAGCGATCCTCTCACCTCGGCCTCCCAAAGTGCTAGGATTACAGGCATGAGCCACCGTGCCTGGCCCTGATTTCTCCTATTGGGTCTGCTTCCCTGGAGTACCCTAATACAGATGGGTTTGTGTTATTGAGAGCCCTATTTGCTGCCTCCTTCACAAGATGCTAGCTGAACTCTTGAGCATGGGCATCAGCATTGGTAAATCTGGCAGTAAGGCCTGTGGGCTGCTCACATCAGCCAGGCAGACATTTGATTAAGTTTGAGATCTTGATGTCTTCACCAGAGCCACTAAGTTTTATATATGCCATTGTTGAAGCCAACCCCAACTCACCTGGCAATCAGCTGGAGGAAGGGGACTACTTCTATTCATTGCAGATTTAAAAGTTGGCTACATATCCTTTGCTACTTCTCCCATTGGGAGGTGGGGACCCCTTAAATCTGGGTGGCTGTGTGGCTGCTCGAGCGACACAAATTGTTGGAAGTGATGCTAAACCAGCTTCCAGCACAGGATTCAATAGCACCTTCCACCTCCTGTCTCCTGGAGCATTCTCTGGGAGCCTGAATCACCATGTAAAAAGTTCAAAATCAGGCTGGGCACGGTGGCTCACACCTGTAATCCCAGCACTTTGGGAGGCTGAGGCGGGAGGATCATGAGGTCAGGAGTTCAAGACCAGCCTGGCCAACATGGTGAAATGCCGTCTCTACTAAAAATACAAAAATTAGCTGGATGTGGTGGTGCGCACCTGTAATCCCAGCTACTCAGGGGGCTGAGGCAGGAGAATTGCTTGAACCCCGGAGGTGGAGGTTGCAGTGAGCTGAGATTGCACCACTGCACTCCAGCTCTGGGTGACAGAACAAGACTATGTCTCAGGAAAAAAAAAAAAAAAAAAAAAGTTTCAAATTCAGGCTGGGCACAGTGGTGCTCCGTAATCCTAGAACTTTGGGAGGCTGAGGCAGGGGGATTACTTGAGGTCAGAAGTTCAGACCAGCCTGGTCAACATAGTGAGAGTCCATATCTACAAAAAAGAAAAGATTAGCCGGGAATGGTGGCTCACGCCTGTAGTCCCAGCTACTCAAGAGGCTGAGGCAGGAGGATTGCTTGAGACCTTTAAGGTTGTAGTCAGCTATGACCATGCCATTGCACACCAGCCTAGGCAACAGAGCGAGACCCTGTACCCCTCTTCCCCCCAAAAGAAGAAGTTCAAATTCCCTGCCACTGCCTGCTGGAGTGGCCGAGTATGGTACTCTGGCCAACCACTAGCAGAGCCCAGCTGTCCCCACAAAGGTGACAAAAATGTGAAGGAAGCTGTCTTGAACACTCCAGACCAGCCAGCTGCCGAAGATGGCATTGAGTGACTCCAGTTAACATCAAGCAGAGTAGAATTGCTGAACTGACAGACACAATTTTTTATGTAAGGAAGTGGCTGTTGTTGTAAGCCACTAGGTTTGGGATGGCGGTTGCTCAGTGATAGATAACTGAAACAGCTGTATCTGCACCTGGACCAGAGCTTTCATGCCCAGGGTGAGTAGCTTCTTGGTTCTGTAAGGCTCTGTCTCCTTCAACTCACTTTGCCGGGTTGCGGCTACAGCATTACCCAGCTCTTCATTCCATTACAGTTCATCAAAGCTCCCATGCCAGGCTTGTGGCAGGGTAATTTACTGTGGAATTGTTTTGTTTTGTTCTTGTTGCTCTGTGTATACTCCCCTCACCAAGAGAGTTACTGGGCTTTTTGTTCCCAATTCTGAGGCTCTTTCTTGAGTATGGAGAAGGTGGGTAGTGATGGCATTTGGATTATGCGCAAACACCTAGGCTAAGAGAGGCAGAAGTGGACTGTGGGTGTGTCTTGAGCAGAGGTTGAGATTCTCTAGGGTCTGGAAATTTGGTGCTTTCTCCCCACGAGTGAGGAGACCCCCACTTCTGCCCAGAGCATTCCCAGGCTGAAGGATTGCTGGAGAATGCCCAGAGAAGCCATGATTTCTCCCAGCTAGGGGCACAGAGGCCAGGGTCCCCAGGGAGATTCTACTATGGGTGATGTGGACATTGCTGATGTGAGGGGAAGTGCTGGGCCTGACCCAGAGGACATCACTCCAGGACTTGTCTGTAGCCTCTGAAAGTAGAGGCAGCTAGAGAAACAATAGTGGCTTCTATGGGCTAAATGTCTCTGTCCCCCCATAATTAATATGTTGAAAACCCAACCCCCAGTGTGATGATATTTGGAGGTGGGGCCTTTTGGAGGTACTTAGGTTTAGCTGAGGTCATAAGGGTGGAGCCCCCATGTGTGATTAGTGCCCTTATAAGACGAGTTAGAGACCAGAGCTCTCTCTCGGCCATCGGTAGTGAGAAGGCTGCAGTCTGAGAATCAGGAAGAGAGCCCTCAGCAGACATCAAATCTGCTGGTACCTGGATCTTGGACTTCCTAGTCTCCAGAACTGTGAGAAATACATATTCATTCAGCTGGGTGTGGTGGCTCACACCTGTAATCCTAGTACAGGTTTGGGAGACCAAGGTGGGCAGATTACTTGAGCCCAGGAGTTTGAGACCAGCCTGGGCAACATGGGGAAAACCCCATCTCTACAAAAATACAAAAACTTAGGCTGGCATGGTGGCTCATGCCTGTAATCCCAGCACTTTGGGAGGCCAAGAAGGGCAGAACACCTGAGGTCAGGAGTTCAAAACCAGCCTGGCCAACATGGTGAAACCCCATCTCTACTAAAAATACAAAGAATTAGCTGGGCATGGTGGCGGGCACCTGTAGTCCCAGCTATTCAGGAGGCTGAGGCAGGACAATTGCTTGAACCTGGGAGGCGGAGGTTGCAGTGAGCCGAGATTGTGCCACTGCACTCCAGCCTGGGTGACAGAGCGAGACTGTGTCTAAAAAAAAAAAAAAAAAGAAAAATTAGCCAGATGTGGTGGTATGCACCTATAGTCCCAGCTGCGCGGGAGGCTGAGGTAGGAGGATCACCTGAGCCTGGAAGGTTGAGGATGTAGTGAGGTGACATTGCAACACTGCCCTCCAGCCTGAGTGATACAGTGAGACCCTGTCTCAAAAACAAACAAAAACATATTTGTCATTTAAGTCACCTAGTCTCTGGTATTCTGTCACAGCAGCTAGAGCGAACTAAGTTGGCTATCCTGAGTACTAAGGACCTGGCCTTGCTCCCAGCTTTTCTGGTACTGCCTAAGCCCCTGGTATTTTGTAATGTGTTGGAGGGAGGAGACAGCCCCACTAATGACTAGGGTTGAATTTCCTCCCAGTCTTCTGGGTAGGACACAGAGCAGATTACATTTGATTGAGTAAAAGTAAGGAATGTGACATTTCATGCACATTTTATAGCCCCAAATGACAAAAATAACATGCTTCTCAAGCCACCTGGAACATTTTATAGCTTTCTGTTTTTTTTGCATTGTAGGCTCCTGTGTCCATCAATTTATCAGCATTTTTCTTGGCAAGGATTCCCTGAAATGTCTCCAAGTTTGGAAATTTTGTCTTTATGAAAAGTGGGGCATGGGACCAGAGGAGGGACTTGGTCAGAAAAACAAAATACGATTATTTTTGATCCATGTCCTTATTTCTTGGTTACTAAATAGCTGCCCTCTGTATTTCTTTGATTTTAATAAATCGTCCAGATATGGATTTTTAAAATTCTATGTATGTTTTTTGAGACAGGGTTTTGCTCTGTCACCCACGCTGAAGTGCAGTGGCTCACTGAAGCCTTCAACTCTTGGGCTCAAGCAATCCTCCCACCTCAGCCTCATGAGTAGCTGGGACTACAGCTATGTGGCACCATGCCTGGCTAATTTTTAAAATTTTTTTAGTAGAGACAAAGTCTTGCTATGTTGCCAGGCTGGTCTTGAACTCCTGAACTCGTCATCCTCCCACCTTGGCCTCCTAAAGTGCTGGGATTACAAGTGTGATCCACCACACCCAGGCCTAGTTTTTAAAATGATATTTCATTTATGTAGTTCAAATAAAAATGACATCAATAAGTACATGAGAAATATCACTCCTACCCCACACTTACCCTCTCTTTTTCCCCTCACATTGCTCGTCAGTAACCATTTTTACCAGAATAGTGCCTTATTTATTCTCCCAACGTTTCTTTATGCAAACATAAATAACATACTTTTATTTCCTCTTTTATTACACAAAAAAAGCATGTTATATACATCTTGCTCCTTCCTTTTAAAATCGTAACTAAATATACTGGGTATCCTTCCCTATCACCACGTAAAGCTGTTCCTCCTGCCTTTTTCATTTTGACAGCTCTATAGTATTCCATTGGTGGATCGACCAGAGCTGTGTGTTCGCCAGTCTCCTATTGCTGGGTTGTTGGGCTGTTTCTGATCCGTTGTTATTATAAATAATGCCACAATGAATAACCTTATACCTAAGCAAGTTTACCTTTGTGTAGGTGAATCTATAAGATAGATTCCCAGAAGGGGGATCTCTGGGTCAAAGGGTTTGTGCATGTATAGTTCTGGTAGATATTGCAGGTCTGCTCCACAGAACTGTGCCATCTGCACTGCTGCCAGCAATGCATGGGACAGTCTGTTTCCTCTCAGCCTCCTTCACACACTGTGATATCATATTCTGGACTCTTGCCAACCAAGGAAAGATTTATGTATAAGTTCAACATGGATGCACTTAGGCTAATTCTCCTTCCTGCATTTCCTTCAGAACATCCTCAGTCTCCTCACTCATTTCAGATACCTTAATTAGCTTCCATTTTTCATGACACAGGTTAGCCATGTTTATATTTCCTTTGTGATCATCACAGTTATGAAAGATTTCTTCTTGGGTTGATAGGTTAAGTAACCATGGTCCAGTATTGGTTATTGCAATCAAACCAACAGCTACAGGTGGCTTGGATTGTTTTAGATGGAATTGGTCTCAAATTTAAAAGGTCACTTTGTCATTCTTTGTATCATTGTTATTCATGTCTGTATCTTTTACAAATATATTTATTTAATATTTAATAAGACAAATAAAATGTTAAAAATTATTTTGTCCTGGGAAAGCCCAAGCCTTCCTGCACAGAAGTTGAAATATTCAAAGGACAAGAAAAGGCCTCTGGTACGGTCCTGTCTTGGACAGTTTCCCCGGCCACCCAGCAGGCTGCCTATTGTGCTGTTTGAGATGCAAATGATCTCTTCTTATGCTGGGGAACCTTCTAGGCATGGCAGGGGCAGTGGAGAGGCTACTTCCTCTCTCTCTTTTTTTTTTTTTTTTTTTTTTTTTTTGAGACGGAATTCTCACTCTGTTACTAGGCTGGAGAGCGGTGGCATGATCTTGACACACTGCAACCTCTGCCTCCAGGGTTCAAGTGATTCTCCTGCCTCCGCCTCCCGAGTAGCTCGGACTACAGGTGCATGGCATCACGCCCAGCTAATTTTTGTATTTTCAGTAGAGACGGGGTTTCACCATGTTGGCCAGGATGGTCTCAATCTCTTGATCTCGTGATCTGCCTGCCTGAGCATCCCAAAGTGCTGGGATTACAGGCGTGAGCCACCGCACTCGGCCACTTCCTCTCTTTTTTTGCCCACTTCTCTAGCTAGTCCCAAGACTTGTTCAACTCTTTCTTATGGATGGTTTTGCAGAATACATACATGGAAACCGTCCACAAATTCTAGCCCACCAATTAATGCTGTCAGACTGGGAACTTCATGAAAAGCCTGCTTGAAACAAAAAATTGAAAATAAGTGGCTTAAACAAGGTAGATATTTATTTCTCTGCTTTATCCACGAGGTCTGAGATGAAACGTCCAGGGCAGGTGTGGAGGCTCCCTGGCATGATGGACCCAGGCTCCTGTCTTCTGTTCCTGTCATCTTAGTGTGCTTCCTTCTACCCTTAGGGTGGCCTCATGGTCTGAGATGGCTTCAGGACTCTCCACTTCAGGCCTTTTGGAGTCCATGATTTCTTTTCTTTTTTTTTTTTTTGAGATGGAGTTTCTGTCTTGTTGCCCAAGCTGGAGCACAGTGATATGATCTTGGCTCACTGCAACCTCTGCCTCCCAGGTTCAAGCGATTCTCCTGCCTCAGCCGCCCGAGTAGCTGGGATTACAGGCACCTGCCACTGTGCCTGGCTAATTTCTGTATTTTTAGTAGAGACAGGGTTTTACCATGTTGGCCAGGCTGGTCTCGAACTCCTAACCTCAGGTGATCCACCCGCCTTGGCCTCCCAAAGTGCTGGGATTACAGGAGCGAGCCACCGCGCCCATCCATGATGTTCTCATGGCCAACATCCTGAGGTCTCCCAAAGGCAAGGGCTTCTTTGCTTGCCCACTGGTTTGGGTACAGATATATTTGTGGACTCTGGAGTCCAGGTGTCAGGGTATAGCTTCCTGAGGTGCCCCAGGCAGCTGGTCTCCTCTGAGGCCTTGATGATAGCCCTTGACATGCCTGGGGCTGTGGAGCTGGGGATGGTCTCCACCCCACAGGGATCCACCTACCTCAGCCGGTATCCAGTCCAGGGCCTCTGTCTTCTTGGCTGCCCTCAAGGCACTGGGCTCCTTTAGACACTCCCCACCACACCCTTAATCCTCTCAGGGAACTCCAGTCTCCAGCAAACAAAGGCCTGAAAAGTGGCTACAAGGAAATTCTGAGTTCAGGTTTCTGAGGTGAAGGAGCACAAAGTCCTTTCTCCTGGCTTGGAAGTGCAGGGTGGTGCGAAGAGTGGGAGGGAGGCAGGGTTAGGTGAGGAAAAAACAGAAAACACAAATTAATTTGACAATGATATGTTAACTTAAAAATCACAACTTTAGGCTGGGCAGACAGTGGCTCTTGCCTGTGATCCCTGCGCTTTGGTAGGTGGAGGTGGGAGGACTGCTTGAGGGTAAGAGTTCGAGACCAGCCTGGGCAACATAGTGAGGCCCTTTCTTTACCAATAAATAAATAAATAAATAAATAAAAATTAGCTAGGTGTGCTGGCACACGCCTGTAGTCCTACCTACTCAGGAGGCTGAAGTGGATCCCAGTAGTTTGAGGCTGCAGGGAGCTATTTACTCCAGCCAGGGCAACAGAGTGAGACCCTGTCTCTTAAAAAAAAAAAAAAAAGAAAAGAAAAATCATAAATTTGGAAAGGAGAGCTTTATTTCTTTTAAAGAGTTACTGCTGACTGGGCATTGTGGCTCACATCTGCAGTCCCAGCACTTTGGGAGGCTGAGGTGGGTGGATCGTTTGAACCCAGGAGTTCGAGACCAGCCGGGCAATACTGATGCAGAACTTTGCTCCTCAGTTCAGCTAAAACCGGGTTCTTGTCACATGACCAGGAAAAGTTAAGCAGGCAGACACTTTGAAGGGTGAGGGGAATGGAATTTTTTGGGTGAAAAAGGAAAAGAAGAAAAGAAAAACCTCTCAGCAAAGAGCAAGGGGGGTTCCTGCCAACAGGTCCCCACTCCACAGATTGATTCCAGGCCACACACAGTAGCTGAAGAGGCCAGGCTCCTCCCCGACCACTGCACACTCGGCACGAACTTCCCGTGGCTCCACCCCATTTTCCCAGTATGCAGGCAGGTGATTCTCCAGGGACCCTCCCCTTTATCTGTCTCCTGCATCTATCATTATCTATTTTATTTTATACATTTAAAACACTATTCTGCCGGGTGTGGTGACCTGCATCTGTAGTCCCAGCTACTCAGGAAGCTGAGGCAGCAGGATCTCTTGAACTCAGGAGGTGGAGGCTGCAGTGAGCTATGATCATGACAATGCACTCCATCCTGGGCAACACAGCAAAACCTTGTCTCAAAACAAACAAACAAAAAACAAAACCCCACCATTATTCTCAGAAGTACAGCAGCTTTCACAAATTGCCAAAGGGGTCTGTTTTAGGTTAGTTTCCTTCAGAAGCAGATCTGGAGACAAAGATTTGAAGCAAGGAGGTTATTAGAGAGGAAATCCCTGGCATAATTGATAAAGTAGACAGGAAAGGGCAGAAGCCAGCATGGGGTGCATCGATGAGCAATGAACTTAATGAACTCCTTGGCTCAATCCCACTGGGACCTTCAAGAGACTACTGTATAGAGCATGCCTCGGAGTCATCCTACCCTTGAGGAAGCTGGGGTATTTCTTCACCAAATCCCATTTCACTTGAGGGCTGCCCCCAGGGCACTGACATTTCTAGCCTGCCCTACCCATGGGTAGTGCTCCTGTGACTAGGGTAAGTCCTCAACAGTGTCAGAGGCTTAAAGACGGAGCCATCTGAATGGCAACCTTAGAGGACAAGTGGGTAGGGCACAAAGTTTGGCTACAAGGCCTGCAGCACTAAAAGGTTAGGAACGCCTCAGAGCTGCCCCTTTTAGGATGGACCCACTCAGCTCCCCGGTTCCCACTCCCTGACATCTGCTTTCTGTCCGCTGCTCAGTGTCTCCAGTGGATTCACAAAACAACTGCCTTTCTCCCTTTCCACCTCAGTTCATTATCAAGAACAACCCTGGGGTTTCCCACCTTAATCAGGCTGCTCCGGCCTCTGCCCACAGCCCTTCTGACACCTGGTTTATGTGTGACCCTGCCACCCTTAACCCCCAGCAGCAGGGGATGTCAGCTTTCTTTCAGGGAAGAACACAGACTCCTTTTGAGAGACTATAGTGAGATAATTTTGTAAACTGAAAATAAAATCCTAAGCCCCCCAGTTGACTTAATGGACCCCCTCTTGGCCAAGGGGACCCCAGAGAAACCTTAAAAACTGAGTTCCCAGGCAGGAGAGGATGGGAGGTCAGACACGCCTCGTCATACCTCATCCCTTTTGTGGTTTAGACAACCACTGACCAGCATTAATAAACCAGAGATCATAAGACTGACAGAACAAAGTATTTGAGCCAATGAAAGACCAAACTATAAACAAGACTTAAGGCCATGGCAGGTCAGGGTTAAGTCACACACCCCTGCACTTAAAGAAAAAGTGTTCTGCCACAAGGTTTTAATTTTTCTCTAGCAGCCAAACGAACATTGGCCTTGAGATAAGCAAGATTAAAACAACTTGCAGATCGTCCATCAGCCAAAACTATAGCTTGGGTTGAACACGAGACTGATTTCAGTAACCTTCTCCTGATAAGAAGACTACTGACCATGGACTGGTTCTGGCTGGTTTACAGATGCTGCATACTTGAGTTTGCTTGTGTCCTGAAAAGACCTTTTGATGTATAAGACCTAATTGTAATACATTTATTTTTTTTTAATTAATTTATTTTTTTTTTGAGACGGAGTCTCACTATCGCTTAGGCTGGAGTGCAGTGGTGCGATCTCGGCTCACTGCAAGCTCTGCCTCCCAGGTTCATGCCATTCTCTTGCCTCAGCCTCCCGAGTAGCTGGGACTACAGGCACCCGCTACCATGCCCGGCTAATTTTTTTTGTATTTTTAGTAGAGACGGGGTTTCACCCTGTTAGCCAGGATGGCCTCGATCTCCTGACCTCATGATCCATCTGCCTCAGCCTCCCAAAGTGCTGGGATTACAGGTGTAAGCCACCGCGCCTGGCCAGCTGTAATACATTTAAATGCTAAGTCTCCACCCTACGGTGCACATGGGTCATATGCAATATACTAGTTTATTCAGTATATGTGCTTCAGGACCACTTTCATGAATATTCATAGCTCCTTCTGTAACCTGTTGAATATGTATACTTGGCCAACCCAGTCAGATTAAATTCCTTTCTTATTCCTCCTCGTCCCTCAAAGTTCATTCTCTAGGCTCTGCCAGAGGCTATGCTTCCCACTAGTCCGAATGGTACATTGTAGGCTGCAACTCTTTATTTTTATTTTATTTTTAAATTTATTTTTGAGACACGGTCTCACTCTGTCACCCAGGCTGGAGTGCAGTGGTGCAATCACAGCTCACTGCAGCCTCGACCTCCCGGGCTCAGGTGATTCTCCAACCTCAGCCTTTCAAGTAGCTGGGACCACATCCGTGCACCACCAGGCCCAGTTAACTTTCACAATTTTCGTGGAGACAGGGTTTCACCATATTGATAGATGCAGGAGGTAGATAAGGGAAAGGGTCCCCAGAGAATCTCTGACCTGCCTATGCACTTGGGAGAAGGGGGTGGAGCCACGGGAAGTTCGTGCCATGTGCAGTTGGGGAGGAGCCTGGCCTCTTCAGTTCTTGTGTGTAGCCTGGAATCAGTCTGGGGGTGGGGGTGCTGTTGGCAGGAACTCTTCTTGCTTTGCTGAGAGATTTTTTTTTTCTTCTTTTCCTTTTTCACCCAATAAATTCTGTTCCCCTCACCCTTCAATGCGTCTGCGTTCCTAGCTTTTCCTGCTTGTGTGACAAGAACCTGGTTTTAGGGTTTAAGGAACAAAGTTCTGCATCAATAAGATTCAAAAGAAATCATTCTATTGAAATATGATTCTAGGCACAGGCTAGTTGGGGGTCTCTGAGCCCCAGATCCCACAGCTGTGCTGAGATGCCTGCCCACAAGCTCAAGGAGCATGTCTAGGAGTCCACGGAGGCAAGCAGAGGCAGGAAGAGGAGACCAGAATTCAGCTGCCGGTGGTGAGCCTCAGGAAACTCTTTATCAAAGCCTAGAAAAGCCAAAGGTGGGCCCGAGAGGGAAGAAAGAGACAAAGAGATGGGAAGAAGATGGAAGTAGGACACTTAGAGTGGGAAGGAAAAAGAGCAAGAGAAAGTGAGAGGGAGCAGCAGAGCCCTGGGAAGGGAGCTTGAAGGGGTGGGGCACGTTTGGAAGCCTCTGTGATTATTTGGGGAAGGCTGATTTTCTAGTGCCTTGGGCTGGGCCCATGCAGGTTACTTCCTACCCAGCTACCTTCCTGGCTCTTCTGCCCAGGGAGCTCCTTCTGCCAGTCCCCAGCCTACTGCACTTCTTCCTTATATGCTTGGAGTGTGTGGAATGCTGCTCACCACTCTGGGGCAGTTGGAGACTGAGATAACTCCCTCCCTGGAATGTAGGGAATTTGGTGTGCTGGAAAGAGAGAAAGAGAGAGGGAGACAGAATGTACCTTGCAGCAGCACAGCTGGGTTCTGGATGGGCTCCATCTCTGAAAGAGAGGGGCAAAAGGGTTGGGGAAGGGGTAGCTGCCGGTCTTAGTGAAGGGTCCCCGAGGCACTAGCGTGTCCTCACATTTGTGCTGCCTGCTTCCCAGAAGACTCAGCACATGGGGAAAGTGGTGCCAAGGGCACACCCACCAGCCACACTGTGGAGCTTGGACACCTGGGGCAGGATATTCAGTAGTCGGCCTGGGGACCTCCAAAGATGCTTTCCCATTCCTTAGCCTGTCAGCCTTGGTAGGGACATCACTTTCCTCCTTATCCTTCAATGAGGACATTCAAGACAACATCCCTGAGCTGGAGGAAACCCAGCCTCACCTCCTCCTTCCACCCCTCATCTCCTAAGCTCCCCATCGGTGGTGTCTGGGGTGTGGAACGTGGGGAGGCAAGGAAGACAGCTCACCTGGCCCAGGCTTCAATGCTCAGCCCCTCTTATTCCTTCTAGCAAGAGCTTCTTGCAAATACCTCAATTTTTTTTTTTATCTTCTGCAGCTGATGCTCAAACTGTCAACTTGTTACTTGAGACCATGAATGTTGGTTATAAGAATTTGTTGACTTTTTAAAAAAATAAAAATGATGTTTGCCCACTTAAAGTTTTAAATTCTGTTTTTCAGAGGAGTTTTTTTTTTTTTTTTTTTTGAGACAGTCACCCTCTGTTGATATGGCTCTGATGAGTGGAGGAACACCAGGGCTCTTGTCTCACATCGAATTAGATAAGATGACACGAACACACGTGGAGTGGTTTTAAGGAGCGGAGAGTTTAATAGGCAAGAAAGAAGGGAGAAGAAAGAAAGAAGAAACTCCCTTGTACAGAGACAGAGGGAGGGGGGCTCCAAAGCCGAGAGATGGAACCCCGCACTTAGGTAATACCAGCCAGCTATATTCGATGGGTGGAGGAGGCAGTATCTGATCTGCATAGGACTCAGGGGATTGGTTTGACCAGGCATGTCATTCATGTAGCCGGCGAAAAAGCTGGCCCTCCCACCCTAGCCTTTTAATATGCAAATGTAGGGCTGTGTCATGTTCCACACACGTGGGGATATGTGGGGGCGGCCATGCTGCCAGGCACATGTAGGGGCAAGGGCAAGAGGACAAAGGTGGGAATAGCCTTGTTGGGTGGACCCAGTTTCTAACAGCTAGCGTTTGCATATAAAAGGTTGCTGGCCCAAGTCTAAGAGCCAGGGCTTTCATGCTAGACAAGAGCTGTGAAAAATTTTCCATGGACCTTTTTCCTCTCTATCTGCCTAAAATAATTTCTTAATAACTCCTACCTCACTGTAGCCTAGGTTGGAGTGCAGTGTGGCAACATCTCGGCTCACTGCAACCTCCGCCTCTCGGGTTCAAGCAATTCTCTTGCCATAGCCACCCACATAGCTGGGACTACAGGCACCCACCACCAAGCCCGGCTAGTTTTTTGTATTTTAGTAGAGAGGGGTCTCACCATGTTGGCCAGGCTGGTCTTGAGCTCCTGAGCTCAAGCAATCCACCTGCCTTGGCCTCCCAAAGTGCTGGAATTACAAGCATGAACCACTGTACCTGGCCTTTCATAGGAGATTAATGGCTGATTTTACCCACCAACCTGGTGATCATGAACCAGCCATCTATAACCTTGTTGATCTAGCTCAACCCATTATATAAAACTGTGCTTGGATTGTATGGAATGCTACACACTTACAATTAAAGATATTTAGAGCTGGGCATGGTGGGTCACACATGTAATCATAGCACTTTGGAAGGCCAGGGAGGGAGGATTGTTTGAACCTGGGATTTCCAGAGCAGCCTAGGCAACATAGTGAGAACCCATTTCTTTTTTTGTCTTTTCTTTTCTTTTCTTTTTTTTTTGAGATGGAGTTTTGCTCTTGTTGCCCAGGCTGGAGTGCAATTGCGCGGTCTCAGCTCACTGCAACCTCCGCCTCCTGGGTTCAAGTGATTCTCCTGCCTCAGCCTCTTGAGTAGCTGGGATTACAGGCACGTGCCACCATGCCCGGCTAAGTTTTTGTATTTTTAGTGGAGATGGGGTTTTACCATGTTGGCCAGGCTGGTCTCGAACTCCTGACCTCAGGTGATTCACCCCCCTCAGCCTCCTAAAGTGCTGGGATTACAGGCATGAGCCACCATGCCAGGTGGGGGTAGGTGGGGAAGCCCATTTCTATTAAAAAAAAAAAAAAAAAAGGCCAGGTGTGGTGGCTCATGCCTGTAATCCCAGCACTTTGGGAGGTCAAGGCAGGAGGATCACCTGAGATCAGGAGTTCGAGACAAGCCTGCCCAACATGGTGAAACCCCGTCTCCACTAAAAATACAAAAAATTAGCCGGGCATGGTAGCACGTGCCTGTAATCCCAGATACTCGGGAGGCTGAGGCAGGAGAATCACTTGAACCCAGGAGGCGGAGGTTGCAGTGAGCTGAGATCCTGCCACTGCACTCTAGCCTGGGTGACAGAGGGAGACTCCATCTCCAAAGGAAAAAAAAAAAGAGAAAGTAAAATTTGTACTTCAATTCAGAGATTATAAACAATGTATACTTGACTTTGTGGCAGTGATCACTATTGTACAATAGTTACTTAAACTCAGGAGGCAGAGGCTGCAGTGAGCCAAGATAGCTCCACTGCACTCCAGCCTGGGTGACAGAGCGAGACTCTGTCTCAAAAAAAAAAAAAAAAAAAAGTTACTCACTCATTTGTTCTGCAGAATCTATTTATTGCTGTGTTCACAGAAAAGGAAGCATCAAGACGGCAAAGCTCTTTGATGAAAAGCCAGGCGTACTCACACACACAACTGAGAAAGTTCTGGAAGTAGGAGAAAACGTCTTTAAGGCATATAGGCTAAACTTATATAAATATTGTTAGTGTTTGCCAAAACAGGGATAATCTAGTAAAATCAGAGATACAAAGCCAGAACAGAGAATTGGTAAGTAAAAAATTGTTAAGAATGTATATTGGCTGGGCGCGATGGCTCATGCCTGTAATACTAGCACTTTGGGGAGGCTGAGGGGGGCAGATTGCTTGAGCTCAGGAGTTTGAGACCAGCCTGGGCAACCCTTTCACTACTGAAAATACAAAAAAAAAAAAAAAACAAAAAAACAAAACTGGGCGTGCTGGTGCGCACGTGTGGTCCCAATTACCCTGGAGGCTAATGTGGAAGGATCGCTTGAGCCCAGAGCGTGGGGGTGGGGGTTGGGAGGCAAGGTTGCAGTGAGCCTGGATTGCACCACTGCACTTCAGCCTGGGTAACAGAGCGAGACCTTGTCTCAAAAAAAAAAAAAGTATCAAAAGGCCTAGGAATTTGTTCTCCAGGTAAATCTGCCCTCCCTCATCTCTAACCTTTATGAAATCACCCAAATGGAGACATCACAGCAAGGCCCCGACAAGGAAATGACAGGAATGTAGGTGGATAAGGGACTGGAATAGTGCAGCACAACACTAACTACAGGTTTCAGCCCCAATGAGATTGCCCTCACTTCCGCCGCCAGCCACAAGTGTGGAGGTCCCCAGGCTACTCGCTCCTCTGACCAACTGGCTACTAATCTGGGGGGTACCCACAACCCCCTCGGGTTTGATAATTTGCTAGAACAACTCACCAAACTCAGGAGAATGTTATACTTACGATTACAGGCTTGTTACAAAGGATACAAATCAGGAGGACCAGACTAATGAAGACACACGTAGGGCGGGGTCTGGGCGGGTCTTCCATGCAGAGCTTCTGTGTCTTCTCTCTGTGAATCAGGTTGTGTCACCCTCCTGGCACATGGATGTGTTCACCAACCAGGAAGCTCCACCAAATTTTGGCGTCCAGAGTTTTCATTATATAGGTACAATTGGTTGACTCATTTGCCACCGAATTGAACGCAATCTCTAGTCCTCCCACCCTCCGTCGAGGTTGGGCTGGCTCTAAGGCCCAATCCTTTTATTATGTGATCTTTCTGATGACCAACCTCCCATCGTGAGTTCTCTCTTAGCATAAGCCCAGGTGTGATCCAAGGGGCTCATGAATAACAAAGATACTCATATTACTCAGGAGATTCCAAGGATTTAGTTTCCCTCCTAGGAACCAGGGACAAAGGGCAGTCAAATTCTTTATTGTTATCACAGAGACACAGTAATATAATATGATACAGCAGAAGAGAGGTGAAGAATGTTGCCATGCCTTGAGAAGCCTATCACAAGAGCTTTAAGGAATTCACACTTAAATATTAATAGGTACATTATGAAAGAAATCAGCCAAGTACAGTCTTTTCTTATTATGGAATCTAGTTATTGCAGGAATTGAAAAATTGATGTAATAAAGCCTAGAATGCAATAAAGGAATCGGCATTCAAGTAGATGAGAGAGGTTGGGGAATATGTCAAGATGCAAAAGTGAGAGAGCTGTCACAGTTTACTTACTCTGCAATCTCTGAGGATGGAACAGGATCAAAGATGAAGCCAGGAAGCACAGAGTAGTTTTCTTCCTCCCTAATCTCATCCCTTGTTTTCATTTGGCACTTTAAAAAATTTCCACATTTATATTCATATGGAATTGATTTTGAGTATAGAGAGATAATTCTAATTATTATTGTTTTTCAAATGTTAGCCAGTTGAACCATTTATCATAATCAAGGTGATCATATGGCTTATTTTCTTTGGCCTACAGAGATGATAAATTTGAATATATTTTAAAATATAAAACTATCTTTAAAATTTGAATATATTTGAATATGATACATTTGAATATATTTTAAAACATAGTGCTATCTTTGTACTCCTGGTTAGTCATGGTGCATTTTTTTTTAATACTTCATATTAAATTTTTACCTTCTGGATTGAGACACTAGAGTTCTTAAAGGTTCTTTCAGAAATTCTTCCTATATTCAGTATGCTACCAGAAAACCTCTTACAACTAACCTTACAGAAGATACTGTTTTCTTTGTACTTTGTCCAATATCAAAGGAAACCTCCAAGTTCCAAGGAGGTCAGGCTACTAATACCCACAAATGAATTCTGATGAGATCATTACACAATAAACAATAACTGTTGCTTATTACATGCTTACTTTGTACTAGGCAGGACTAAGATAAGTATTATTTAAGTTTTAAGATCATTCTTAATTTCTTGTCAAAAGTATACTGGTTTGCAAAGTAATGAATAAAATAAATCTTTAACAATATCCCTATAGTAAAGACAATGGTGAACTTCTTATGCCTCTTTTAAAAAACTCTGCTTATGATGACAATTTCAAACATACACAGAAGCCGTGAGTATATAATGAGTCTTGCTGTATCCATCACAAAGTTTTAAAAACTGTCAAAAGTTGACCATACTCACTTAATCTACTCCTACCACTTTTTCAGCTGGAGATCTTTTAAAGCAAATTCTACACATTGTACCATATCATCCATAAATTATTTTGCATTACATCCCATTCTTATTGAGTCCCTGCAAGCTGAGAGCCGACTGCCAAAGCACAATTCACTGTAAGAGATTCTGTGAAGGGTTAAAACAAACAGTCCAAATTCACAGTGCTGCAAATGTCTGTAATTGCATAATCTGCAAAATATATTCTTCAAGAAATCCTCTGTGCACTTGGTTTCCCTTAACTGAGTTTTTTTTTCTTCTTCAGACCAGATTAATTGATGAGAACTGACAAGCAGGGGAGAGAGGTGATGTTTAAGGTTATATATTTTGGCAAAAAATTATGAGTGTAAATTGTGCTTGTTTCTGATTAAGAGAGGTCCATTAATCAGAAAGTAGACTTGGCATCCTTGTAGAAAAATCACATAGCTTAACAAGAATTCATGACTCTGAATTGCTGCACAGACAGGTAGCATGAGTTCTTGGCAGGATTCTTTCAGCTGAGCTGTTTTCCATTAGAATGGTGTCTGATATGGTTTAGCTGGGTCTCCACCCAAATCTCATCTTGAATTGTAGTTCCCTTAATCCCCACGTGTCATGAGAGGGACCTGGTGGGAGGTAACTGAATCATGAGGGGCAGGTTTTTCCCATGCTATTCTTCTTGTGATAGTGAATAAGTCTCATGAGATCTCATGGTTTTATAAAGGTAGTTCTGCACACGCTCTTGCCTGCTGCCATGTAAGACATGCCTTTGCTCCTCCTTCATCTTCCACCATGATTTTGAGGGCCTCCTCAGCCATGTGGAACTGTGAATGCATTAAACCTCTTTTTCTTTATAAATTACCCAGTGTCAGGTATTTATTCATAGCAGTATGAAAACGGACTAATACGGCTGGGTGCAGTGGCTCATGCCTGTAATCCTAGCACTTTGAGAGGCCGAGGCAGGTGAATCATTTGAGGCCAGGAGTTCAAGATCAGCCTGGTGGTCAATATGGTGAAACCCCATCTCTACTAAACAAACAAACAAAAAAAATTAGCCATGCATGGCGGTTGGCGCCTATAATCCCAGCTACTTAGGAGGCTGAGGAAGGAGAATTGCTTGAACCTGGGAGGTGGAGGGTGCAGTGAACCGAGATTGTGCCACCGTACTCCAGCCTGGGTGACAGAGCAAGACTGTCTCAAAAATAAAAATAAAAAAAGAAAATGGATTAATACACTAAATTGGTACCAGTAAAGTGGGGTACTGCTATAAAGATACCTGAAAATGTGGAAATGGGTAACAGGCAGAGGTTAGAAGTTTAGAGGGCTCAGAAGAAGACACAAAAATGTGGGAAAGTTTGGAACTTCCTCAAGACTTGGAGGGCTCAGAAGACAGGAAAATGTGGGAAACTTTGGAACTTCCTAGAGACTTGTTGAATGGCTTTGACCAAAATGCTGACAGTGATATGGACAATATTTGTCCAGGCTAAGGTGGTCTCAGATGGAGATAAGGAACTTGTTGGGACCTGGAGTAAAGGTCACTCTTCCTATGCAAAGAGACTGGCGGTATTTTGCCCCTGCCCTAGAGATCTGTGGAACTTTGAACTGAAAGAAATGACTTAGGGTATCTGGCAGAAGAAATTTCTAAGTGGTAAAGCTGTTCAAGTGGAAGTAGAGCATAAAAGTTTGGAAAATTTGCAGTCTGACGATGCAATAGAAAAGAAAAACCCATTTTCTAGGGAGAAATTCAAGTTTGCTGCAGAAATTTGCATAAGTAAAGAGGAGTGGAATGTTAATCACTAAGACAATGAGGAAAATGTCTCCAGGGAATATTAGAGAACTTCATAGCAGCCCCTCCCATCACAGGCCTGGAGGCCTAGGAGGGAAAAAGGGTTTGTGGGCTGGGCTAAGGGACCCCTGCTCTATGCAGCCTGGGGACATGGTGCCCTACATCCCAGCTACTTTAGCTCCAGCTGTGGCTAAAAAGGGCCAACCTACAGCTCAGGCCATTGCTTCAGGGGTTCCAAGCCCCAAGCCTTGATAGCTTACAAATGTGCTGGGCCTGTGGGTGCACAGAAGTCAAGAATTGAGGTTTGAGAACCTCTGCCTAGGTTTCAGAGCATGTATGTAAATGCCTAGATGTCTAGGCAGAAGTTTGCTGCAGGGGTGGAGCCCTTATGGAGAACCTCTGCTAGGGCAGTGCAGAAGGGAAATGTGGGGTCAGAGCCCCTACACAGAGTTCCCCACCGGGGCATTGCCTGGTGGAGCTGTGAGAAGAGGGCCACCATCCTCCAAACCCCAGAATGGTAGATCCACCAACAGCTTACACCATGCACCTGGAAAAGCTGGAGACACTCAACACTAGCCCATGAAAGCAGCTGGAAGGGGGGCTGTACCCTGCAAAGCCACAGAGGCAGAACTACCCAATGCTGTGGGAGCCCATCTCTTGCATCAGCATGACCTGGATGTGAGACATGGAGTCAAAGGGGGAGCATTTTGGAACGTTAAGGTTTAATGACTGCCCTACTGTATTTCAGACTTGTATGGGGCTTGTGGCACCTTTATTTTGGCCAATGTATCCCATTGGAATGGGTGTATTTACCCAATGCCTGTACCCCCATTGTATCTAGGAAGTAACTAACTTGCTTTTGATTTACAGGCTCATAGGAAGAGGGACTTGCCTTGTCTCAGATGATACTTTGGAGTTGGACTTTTGAGTTAATGCTGAAATGAGTTAAGACTTTGGTGGACTGTTGAAAGGCATGATTGTGTGTTGAATTGTGAAGACATGAAATTTGGGAGGGGCCAGGGGAGGAATGATATGGTTTGGCTGTGTCTCCACCCAAATATCATCTTGAATTGTAGTTCCCATAATCCCCATGTGTCATGGGAGGGACTTGGTGGCAGGTAACTGAATCATGGGTGGCGGGTTTTTCCCATGCTATTGTCATGATAGTGAATAAGTCTTATGAGATCTGATGGTTTTATAAAGGGCTGTTCCCCTGAGCATGCTCTTGCCTGCTGCCATGTACAACATGCTTTTGCTCCTCCTTCACTTTCCACCATGATTATGAGGCCTCCACAGCCATGTGGAACTGTGAATCCATTAAATCTCTCTTCCTTCCTTCCCTTCCTTCCTTCCTTTCCTTCTTTCTTTCTTTCTTTCTTTTCTTTTCTTTTCTTTTCTTTTCTCTTCTCTTCTCTTCTCTTCTCTTCTCTTCTCTTCTCTTCTTTTCTTTTCTTTTCTTTTCTTTTCTTTCGAGTCTCACTCTGTCACCCAGGCTGGAGTGCAGTGGCATGATCTCGGCTCACTGCAACCTCCATCTCCTGGGTTCAAGTGATTCTCCTGCCTTAGCCTCCTGAGTAGCTGGGATTACAGGTGTGTGTCATCACAGCTGGCTAATTTTTGTATTTTTAGTGGAGACGAGGTTTCACCATGTTGGCCAGGCTGGTCTTGAAATTCTGACCTCAGGTGATCCGCCTGCCTCAGCCTCCCAAAGTGCTGGGATTACAGGCATGAGCCACGCGCCCAGCTCAGAATTATAAATTACCCAGTCTTGGGTATTTCTTCATAGCAGTATGAAAATGGACTAATACATTATCTCTTGGAAGTGAATGGCCAGAGTGAAAGAAACCAGAAAAAAAAAAAAAAAAGAATACATACTATATGATTTCATTTATATAAAACTCTAGGAGAAGCAAATAATCTACAGTGACAGAAAGCAGATCAGTGAGTGTTTGAGAATGGGCATGGCAGGAGGGAAGGAAGTATAACGGGCATGAGAAAACTTTTGAGAGGTATGGATGTGTTCACTATCTTGATTGTGGTGACAGTTTCATAGTATACAAATACGACAAAACTGATCAAAGTGCACACTTTAAATCTGTGCAATTATGTCTCAATAATTTTTTTTTTTAAAGAATAGCCAAGGCCGGGTGCGGTGGCTCATGCCTGTAATCCCAGCACTTTGGGAGGCCGAGGCGGGCGGATCACGAGGTCAGGAGATCGAGACCATCCTGGCTAACATGGTGAAACCCCGTCTCTACTAAAAATACAAAAAATTAGCTGGGCAAGGTGGCAGGCGCCTGTAGTCCCAGCTACTCGGGAGGCTGAGGCAGGAGAATGGCGTGAACCCCAGGGGGCGGAGCCTGCAGTGAGCTGAGATTGCGCCACTGCACTCCAGCCTGAGTGACAGAGCAAGACTCCCTCTCAAAAAAAATAAAAATAAAAAAATAAAGAATAGCCAAGTGGTAGAAAGCCTGCAGATGCTGTTCCAGAGCTGTGCCCACAGCTCTGGGCCCAGGTCACAGGTATAACCTGCAATAAGAAGAGACAAGAGTCTGAGGGCTGACCATCTGTGGGCCCACAAGTTAAGGAAACCAAAGTTTGGGTGCACAAATCATTACTGGAAAGGGATCCTGATCCAGTCACTTCTCAAGAGAGGGTTCTTAGACATTGTGCAAGAAAGAATTTGGGGCGAGTCCACAGAGTAAAGTGAAAGCAAGTTTATTAAGAAATAAAGGAATAAAAGAGTGGTTACCTCATAGGTGGAGTGGCTCTGAGGGCTGCTAGTTGGCTATTTTTATGATTCTTTCTTTCTTTTCCTTTTTTTTTTTTTTTTGAGACACAGTTTTGCTCTTGGAGTGCAATGGCGCGATCTCAGCTTATTGCAACCTCTGCCTCCTGGGTTTAAGCGATTCTCCTGCCTCAGCCTCCTGAGTAGCTGGGTTTACAGGCATGCACCACTCCCAGCTAATTTTGTATTTTTAGTAGAGATGGGGCTTCACCATGTTGGTCAGGCTGGTCTCCAACTCCTGACCTGAAGTGATCTGCCTGCCTTGGCCTCCCAAAGTGCTGGGACTACAGGCATGAGCCACAGCGCCTAGCCAATTATTTCTTAATCATATGCTAAACAAGGGGTGGGGTATCCATGAATTTTCTGGGAAAGGGATGGAGATTTCCTGGAACTGTGGGTTCTTCTTCCTTTTAGATCATATAGGGTAACTCTGGGACATTGCCATGACATTTATAAACTATCTTGGTGCTGGTGGGGGGTGACTTTTGGCATGCTAATGCATTATAATTAGCATGTAATGGGCAGTGAGGATGACCAAAAGTCACTTTTGTCACCATCTTGGTTTGGGCCGGCTTCTTTACTGCATCCTATTTTATCAGCGAGGTCTTTGTGGCCTGTATCTTGTGCTGACCTCCTATATCATCCTGTGACTAAGAATTCCCAACCTCCTGGGAATGCAGCCCAGCAGGTCTCAGCCTCATTTTACCCAGCCCCTATTTAAGATGGAGTTGCTCTGATTCAAACATCTCCGACAAAACCACTGATTGGGTATAGAGTCCCAACCAGCCAGTTATTGAAATTTTGTTTTTTTGTTATAACAGCCTAGCCTAATCTAACTAAAGAAAGGGGGATCAGGAAGCAACTTTATTTTCACTTCACCGTGTCCCTTTACATCCATTTTGTGGGATTTCTTCTCCTTTTGCCCCAAGATGAAATTTGGAGCAAGCCCCATGAACTTTCTAGTCATTTGTAGGTAATCTAAGGTCATTGGGTTACTCCAATTCCCCAAGGAGTTTAATAAGTAATTAAATGGTCCAATCTCATGTAATAGTAGAAACTTTAAACTTTATTTAAATTTGAGATTTCTTCCCGTACTTTATGCTATTTACAGACCAGCCACCCTCAATGGGAATTGAGGTGTGTGGTGACCTCTGATTTCCCACTTTGCGCTTTGTGGCAGAAATTGCAGTTATCACCAAATATTCATTCTCCTCTTCTTCCTGATTAGTAAGACTCCCAAATTTTTGCTGGACTTATGGCCAGCCTGAAACAAGACTACATTTTCCAGTATCCCTTGCAGCCAGGTGTGGCTGTGAGACTAACTTTTGGCCAACGGATCTGAATCAGAACAACATAAGCAACCTTTTGTTCTGCCCTCAAACAGCATGGGTGGCATTAGTTTCCCCTTTCCTTCTTTCCCTGGCTGGAATGCTGACCCAGCAGATGTGGGGAGCCATTTCAACCTTTCAAGAGAGAGCAGCCCTCGATGCAATGGCAGAGCAGCAAGACAGAAGGAGCTGGGGTCTCCAACACCGCGGAGTCACTCTATCCAGCCTAAGACTCCTGATGTTGGAACTGTTAATGAGAAACACACTTTGTCTTTTGACATACAGTTTTTCTCTCAGCTGCTGAACCTGGATTCTACCTACACAGGTTCATTGTGTATGCATGCTTCTATCCCTCCTCCCTCATCTTGCTAACTTGGACCCTGGACCTCTCCAGGGTTCCAGTGGTGAGAGGGAGGGGCCAGGAGGTATCATTGCACTAGAATTACTGTGAGATGGCAGAAGCACTGCCTGGGTCATTAGGCATAGCTGATTCTTCCTTTCATCAGGCACTTCCGTTGATTTTTCTGAGCTAACACCTTCCCTTTGCTACGATTTCTCATCACCTAATTCCCTGAGGTGGACAAATGCCCTTCCTTAGGCTGGTCAACTATATTTCTTTCTGCAGCTTCTAAGAGTCTGACGATTCATCCCTCTATTAGGATCACCAAACCCCTTCAGATGACCCTTTTAGACAGAGTCTAATGCCATCCCCTGCCATCTCTCTCTTATGGTGGCCCCACCTGTGGTCCACAGGAAACATGAATCCAGTGCCCCCGGCAATTGCGGAAGGCTGGCAGCCCTGAAACCCAGCTACCTCCCTTGTTCCACCATCAGGGCAGGTAGCCAGACTCCTGGTGTTCTTTTTTGTTGTGTGTGTGTCTTTGTGTGTATATGTGTTTTTCCATTTCCAGAAATGAACCAGCTAGCTGCTCACCCTGTCCTCCAAATTGCAGGAACATATATTCAGCTCCCTGACGGGTACCACCAAAGGCCCTTTCCTGGGGCTCGAAGAAATACCCTCACTGAATTCAATTTCCTCAAGTAATTGAAGATCTTCCCCTTTCCCCTTTCCTGTTCCACTCGATGGCCCCCACTTTATGGGGACACTCCCAGGCCGGGGACTGCAGAGTTGCTCTGCTACTTTTGGACTCTGGTCCATCTCATTTTTTCCCCCCCTCTCTTCCATTTAAGAGGAGATTCAACCTTTTTAGAAGCTCACTGTTTTGAGTAAGAGCCACTGTTTGCCAGATCCCAGCCCCCTCTGCCTCTACCATCTGCCTCATCTCTTCTATAGCTGCAGAGGAATTAACATCCTCGGAAGATCTAGTGAAGCTGCCTTCACTTTCTCTTTCTGCCTTCATATTTCTTTTTCAGCCCACCTCAACCTGAGGCCACAGGCAGCTGGGCTCCACCAGTGCCACTGCCACCATCCCAAAAGGCCAGGGGCTCTCATCCCAGTAGTAGTAATTAATCTGTCATGCACAATTCATAGTATTTCAACATTAGGTTCCAAATAAGTAACCTGAGCATCCCTGGGTCTTGCTAACCTATGGGAATGTGCAAATGGGGCCACCTTAAGATAGTAACAACATTTCAGTGTCTCCTTCTCTGCCCAAGTATTTCTGGGGGTCTGAGGGAAATCTCACTCGTGCTCCTAAATCCAGGCACCCAGGCCAACAGCAACTCTCCATCGCCTGCTGAGCATTCCCCCAGGGAACCGGAGCCCTTCAGGCATCAATTCTGCATTGGGCAGAGCAGTGTCTATGTCCAGTGGGGAAATGCCTTTCCCCTCTTTTGTGTTCCTGTTCACGAAGGGGCCACCCAAGCAATGCTGGTGGGCTCCAGCATTGTGCAGAGCTTGTAGAACCACAGCTTCTATGTTGACCTTCAGCTTTCTTTTTGCTTCGGATGGAGGCAGGACTGGACTAAATGTGGTGACAAACAACATTCATTTACTCTTTTATTCAACACATATTTCCTAAATTCCTTATCCATGCTAGCCACATGATGAACATGATAAACAAGATAAACGTGGTCTCTGTGCCCATGGAGTTTATGGTTTGGTACAAGATCAAAAAGCGGTATACACATACACAAACACGAACAAAAAAGCAGTTATGATTTAATGTCCAAGACTTTGTTATTGGTTCAAGTTTATCATGCATGGATGCTTCTTCTGCTTGGATGAGTTTTGTGCGTGCAGCTTGTCAACTCTCAGGCAAACAAACAGACCCTGTCAACCCACTGCGACCTCACTGCTCCCGGGCTGCCTGCTGGGGCCCAGTGAGGGAGGTTAACTCTTACTGTGCTAAAGTGTCTGATTTGTTTCAACACTCTAACAACCAAAGAAAACACTGATTGTATCTCTTAAAGAGCTTTTCTTCCTTCCCCATTCCACACTATGAATTTATGAATTCCAAACTTCACACTTTATGTAAATTTGAAGCTTCTGGCCAAGCGTGGTGGCTCATACCTGTAATCCTAGCACTGTGGGAAGCCAAAGCGGATGATTGCTTGAGCTCAGGAGTTCAAGACCAGCTTGGACAATGTGGTAAAACCCCGTCTCTACCAAAAATACAAAAATTAGCCAGGCATAGTGGCACACGCCTGTAATCGTAGCTACTGGGAGGCTGAGGAAGGAGGATCACTGGAGCCCAAGAAGTCAAGGCTGCAGTGAGCCATGATCATACCACTGCACTCCAGCCTTGGAGACGCAGCAAGACCCTGTCTCAAAAAAATAAAATAAAAATAAAATAAATAACATTTGAGGCTTCTTCACTTACTTTGTGCCATTTACAGGCCAGCTGCTCCTGGTGAGAATGGAGGTGTGTAGTGATCTCTCACTTCCCACTGTGTGCTTTGTGGCAGAAACTGCTGTTGTCCCCAAGTATCCATTCTCCTCTTCTTCCTTACTAATGAGACTCCCAAATTTTTGCTGGACTTGTGGCCATCCTGAATCAAGACTACATTTCCCAGTATCACATGCTGTGGGACTAGCTTTTGGCCAACATGATCTGAATCAAATGATGTGAGCAACCTTTTGTTCTGCCCTCAAATGGCAGGGGTGATGGCAAAAATTCTGGCAGCAAAAATGGATGATGTGGCCAGGCATGCTGGCTCACACCTATAATCCCAGCACTTTGGGAGGCTGAGATGGGTGGATCATCTGAGGTCAGGAGTTTGAGACCACCCTGGCCAACATGGTGAAACCCCATATCTACTAAAAATACAAAAATGAGCCAGATGTGGTGGCACCCACCTGTAGTGCCAGCTACTCAGGAGGCTGAGGCAAGAGAATCACTTGAACTCAGGAGGCGGAGGTGGCAGTGAGAAGAGATTATGCCACTGCACTCTAGCCTGGGCAACAAAGCGAGACTCTGTCTCGAAAAAAAAAAAAAAAAAAAGGATGGTGAAGGCCTATATATTAGTCTGTTTTCATGCTGCTGATAAAGACATGCCTGAGACTGGGTCATTTATAAAGAAAAAGGGGTTTAATGGACTCACAGTTCCATGTGGCAGGGGAGGCCTCACAAGCATGGCAGAAGGCAAAAGGCACATCTTACATGGTGGCAGACAAGAAGAGAATGAGAGACCAAGTGAAAGGGATTTCCCCTTATAAAACTATCCGATCTTGTGGGACTTACTACCACAAAAACAGTATGGGGGAAACCACTCCCTGTGATTCAATTATCTCCCATCAGGTCCCTCCCACAACACATGGGAATTATGGGAACTACAACTCAAGATGAGATTTGGGTGGGGACACAGCCCAACCATATCATTCTGCCCCAGCCCCTCCCAAATCTCATGTCCTCACATTTCAAAACCAATCATGCCTTCCCAACAGTCTTAACTCATTTCAGCATAAACTTAAGAGTCCACAGTCCAAAGTCTCATCTGAGACAAGGCAAGTCCCTTCCAACTATGAGGCTGCAAAATCAAAAGCAAGTTAGTTACTTCCTAGATATAGTGGGGGTATAGGCATTGGGTAAATACAGCTATTCCAAATGGGAGAAATTGGCCAAAACAAAGGGGCTACAGTCCCCATGCAAGTCCAAAATCCAGTGGGGCAGTCAAATCTTAAAGCTCCAAAATTATCTCCATTGACTCCATGTCTCACATCCAGGTAACACTGATACAAGAGATGGGTTCCCATGGCCTTGGGCAGCTCTGCCCCTGTGGCTTTACATGGTACAGCCCCTCTTCTGGCTGCTTTCATGGGCTGGTGTTGAGTGTCTGTTGTTTTTCCAGGCACACAGTGCAAGCTGTGGGCGGATCTACCATTCTGGGGTCTGGAGGATGGTGGCCCTCTTCTCACAGCTCCACTAGGCAGTGCCCCAGTGGAGACCCTGCATGGGGGCTTCAACCTCCCATTTTCCTCCCGCAGTGCCCTAGCAGAGGTCCTCCGTGAGAGCTCCACCGCTGCAGCAAACTTCTGCCTGGACATCCAGGTGAAATCTAGTTGGAGGTTCCCAAACCTCAATTCTTGACTTCAGTGCACCCACAGGCTCAACACCATGTGGAAGCTGCCAAGGCTTGGGGCTTGCACCCTCTGAAGCCATGACCCAAGCTGTACCTTGGCCCCTTTTAGCCATGGCTGGGATGCAGGCACCAAGTCTCCAGGCTGCACACAGCAGGGGGGCCCTAGGCCTGGCCCACAAAACCATTTTTTCTCCCTAGTCTCCAGGTCTGTGATGGGAGGGGCTGCTGCAAAGGTCTCTGACACGCCCTGGAGACATTTACCCCATTGTCTTGGTGATTAACATTTGACTCTTCATTACTTATGCAAACTTCTTCAGCTGGCTCGAATTTCTCCTCAGAAAATGATTTTTTTGGCTGGGCGTGGCGGCTCATGCCTGTAATCCCAGCACTTTGGGAGGCTGAGGCAGGTGGATCACTTGAGTTCAGGAGTTCGAGACGAGCCTGGGCAAAACCCCATCTCTACAAAAAATACAAAAATTAGCTGGGCACGGTGGCTCACGCCTGTAATCCCAACACTTTGGGAGGCCACGGCAGGCAGATCACTTGAGGTCAGTAGTTCAAGACCAGCCTGGTCAGCCAACATGATGAAACCCTGTCTCTACTAAAAATACAAAATTAGCTGGACGTGGTGGCATGTGCCTGTAATTCCAGTTACTTGGGAGGCTGAGGCAGGAGAATTGCTTGAACCTGGGAGGCAGAGGTTGCAGTGAGCCAAGATCATGCCACTGCACTACAGCCTGGGTGACAGAGCTAGACTCCATCTCAAAAACAAACAAACAAAAAAGAAATGGGTTTTTATTTTCTATCACATCGTCAGGCTGCAAGTTTTCTGAACTTTTATGCTTTGTTTCAGTTTTAAAACTGAATGCTTTTAACAGCACCTACATCACCTCTTGAATGCTTTGCTGCTTAGAAATTTCTTCTGCCAGATACCCTAAATCATCTCCCTCAAGTTCAATGTTCCACAAATCTCTAGGTCAGGGGCAAAATGCCACCAGTCTTTGTGGTAAAACATAGCAAGAGTCACCTTTACTCCAGTTCCCAACAAGTTCCTCATCTCCATTTGAGACCACCTCAGCCTGTATTTCATTGTCCATATCATTATCAGGATTTTGGTCAAAGCCATTCAACAAGTCTCTAGGAAGTTCCATACTTTCCCACACTTTCCTGTCTTCTGAGCCCTCCAAACTGTTCCAGTTGCTACCTGTTACCCAGTTCCAAAGTTGCTTCCACATTTTTGGGTTACTTTACAGCAGCATCTCACTCCCATTACCAATGTACTGTATTAGTCCCTTTTCATGCTACTGATAAAAACATACCCAAGACTGGGTAATTTATAAAGAAAAAGAAGAGATTTAATGGACTCACAGTTCCACATGGCTGGGGAGGCCTCACAATCACAATTGAAGGCAAAAGCCATGTCTTACATGGTGGCAGACAAGAACAGAATGAGAGACTAAGTGAAAGGGGTTTCCCCTTATAAAACCATCAGATCTCATGAGACTTATTCACTACCATGAAAACAGTATAGGGGAAACCACCCCTGTGATTCAGTTATCTCCCACCAGGTCCCTCCTGCAACACATGGGAATTATAGGAGCTACAATTCAAGATGAGATTTGGCTGGGGACACAGCCAAACCATATCAGTTTATAATCCCAGCACTTTGGGAGGCCAAGACAGGATTATCACTTGAGGCCAGAAGTTGGAGACTTACTTGGGCAACATAGGGAGACTTCCTCTCTAAAAGCAAACAAAAAACCAAGTTATCCAGGCATGGTGGCATGTTCCTGTAGTCCTAGCTGTTCCAGAGGCTGAGTTGGAAAGATCACTTGAGCCCAGGAGTTCAAGGCTGCAGTGAACCGTGATTGTGCCACTGTACTCCAGCCTAGGCAACAGAGCGAGGCCCTCTTTCTCTCTCTCTCTTTTTTTAAACAAGGAAGAAAAAAGAAAAGAAAATAGGGTGGTGAGGAGGCTGGCCAAAGTGGTGATAACCTCGTGCACTAGGTCCTAGCAGCTGGTAGCAGGGGAGCCAGGAGGTGTAGCACTCTGCCTGGTAAAGCAGTCTGTCAGGGTCTGTTTGCCTGAGAGTTGACAGGCTGCAAGCACAAAAATATAAAAGGGGGCCAGGGACTTGCTAATCTTGCCGGAGAGTCGGCGCAGCTCAGTGCAAGGACTTGGGAAGGCAGGGAACTTTGAGAGAAGGTAAAAAGGAGGTGGATTCATGGAGAGGGAAGGGGAAAGTTGAGGGTTGGGGAGGTGTGGTGAGGAGCTGAGATCTTGGAGAGACATTCTTCGTTGGCCTAGGGACACCACATAAACACCTCTGTGCATGGTGGGAGGGACCAGCTCCTCCCCAAACACTGTTTAGATTTTGGCCTTGAAAACCATGACTACTAACGTTCCTTGGGTTTTCTGTGAGTGTGACCAGTCTCCTCAGCTCCCAGCTGGCACATAAAGGAGATGTGTTCTTTTCTTGCCGATGTGAGGCTACAGGATCTCATGAGGAACATCCCATGAACAAACAGTACGGCTGAGCCCTCACCTGCGTCTCATCCTAATCTTGGTCCTCCCCCACCACACTCCCAGCTCTATCGCCTGGAGTTACAGACAAACCCGCAGACCAATGTGAAAAGCCAATTGCCCAGAGAAACCCAGCAGAGTCTTCAGCTACGCCTGACAGTCATCCGGGGTTAAACACCAGCCTGGAATTTTAGCTTCCTGTCCAGGAAAAACCAAATACATAAATCACTTCTCTCTCTCTCTCTTTTTTTTAATGGAGTCTTGCTCTGTCACCCAGGCTAGAGTGCAGTGGTGTGAGCTCAGCTTACTGCAACCTCTGCCTCCCAGGTTCAAGCGATTCTCCTGCCTCAGCTTCCTGAGTAGCTGGGATTACAGGCGCGCATCACCATGCCTGGCTAATTTTTGCATTTTTAGTAGAGACAGGGTTTCACCACGTTGGTCAGGCTGGTCTGGAACTACTGGCCTCGTGATCCACCTGCCTTGGCCTCCCAAAGTGCTGGGATTACAGGTGTGAACCACCACGCCCGGCCTAATAATTCATCTTACTACTAGAATTTCAGGCTTCCTTTTTAATTTGCTTGCTTTCTTGTTGGTCTGTGTCTTGGAACATAGGAACTTTCAATCCCTCCAATATGGGCTCCATCCAAATCTCAAGTTGAACTGTAATTCCCAGTGTTGGAGTGTTGGAGGAGAGGCCTGGTGGGAGGTGATTGGATCATTGGGGCAGATTTCCCCCTTGCTGTTCTCGTGATAGTGAGTGAGTTCCCACGAGATCTGGTTGTTTGAAAGTGTGTAGTAGAGCCGGGCGTGGTGGCTCACGCCTGTAATCCCAGCATGTTGGGAGGCTGAGGTAGGCGGATCACCTGAGGTCGGGAGTTCGAGACCAGCCTGACCAATATGGAGAAACCCCGTCTCTACTAAATACAAATTTAGCCGGCATGGTGGCACATGCCTATAATCCCAGCTACTTGGGAGGCTGAGGCAGGAGAATCACTTGAACCTGAGAGATGGAGGTTGCTGTGAGCCGAGATCACGCCATTGCACTCCAGCCTGGGCAACAAGAGCAAAACTCTGACTCAAAAAACAAACAAACAAACAAAACAAAACAAAAAAACAAAGTGTGTAGTACCTCCCCCTTCACTTTCCCTCTCTCCCACTCCACCGTGTGAAGAAGGTGTTTGCTTCCCCTTGCCCTTCTGCCCAGATTGTAAGTTTCCTGAGGCCTCCCCAAGCATGATTCTTGTACAGCCTGTGGAACTGTGAGCCAATTAAACTTCCTTTCTTCATAAATTACCCAGTCTCAGGTAGTTCTTTATAGCAGTGCTAATACACCCTGTTACAGGACTAATACACCTTCCCTCTGCTAAGTGTCTATTGATCTGAAAACACATGCTATGAAACATTAAAACGCTACCTGAGACCATGTGTTTCTTTTATCAAGTGAGAGATTCCTTTATAATTTGGATAATTTCACTCCGTTTGCAAGTAGGATGCTCTAGAACTGATGTTATAAAGTCAGTTTAATGATTTAAATCCCATTGTGGAGAAAATAGATCTCCGCAGAAAAGTACATCCCTGCCCTTTCCCAGCTCCCCAGTCAAGGGGGGGCTTCCTGCTGAGCCTGGAGAATGCCTCTAAGAAGGTGACTAATGTACCATATCTGGCCCCTAGTGTGGGCAGCAGGCAAGTAGTCAGGTGCCTTCTCAAGTGGAGAAAGTTGAACGCTATTTTCCAGAGACATTGGATGTGAGGGTGATCTGGCTATGACATCTGTCACCTCAGTGATTGCCACTGTTGATTCTGCTGATCTAGCTGGCTAGGTGGTGTCCCCTTCCTCCCTCACCACTCCATGTGCATCCCTCCTGAAGCTGTGTGCTCAGTTGAAGAGGAGGACCATCCCCAATAGAGGAGGACCAGTCTTCGGCTAAGGGTATACGAGTAGCTGCGCTCCCCTGCTAGAATCTCCAAACAAGCTCTCAAGGTCCAGAGACAAGATGTGAACTTCATGTCTCAATTGATGATCACGTGGTTGTGTGGTGGTGCAGATTGTGTTTTTGATGTGCAGCAGGATTCGGGCAGTACAGAGGATGATGTCAGCATATCACCATCATCCTCAGGTGGGGCAGATCATTATGAAGTCCTTGCCTCTGGTTTCCCTGGAGTCTAGGTGAGAGGTGCATGAGATATCCCTTGGGTACCTCCCTCCTCCCCTCAAGGTGAATGTTTCATCAACAAAATCAAGCTAATAGAAGTCTCAGGTTGTCACTTTTGGTGTCTTGAATAGGATATTTGTGTGAGAGCCCCTTTGATTAACCCATTGCCAGCCCCCTCCCACCCTGACCTCTGAACCTTCACAATATCCATCCCTTACCCTCCCCGCTGACCAAGTGGCTCTGGATCCCAGTCAGGCGCTAAAAATCTGCTATTTGTGCTTAGGTTAGCTTTACCCATAGCTGAATGGCTCTGAGGTTCACGGTGGAAGATCTCTAAGGGGGACAGTTTTGCTGCTCCTGGGATGGAATAGGCATGATGGTGATCCATCCACCTGCAAGTTCTGGTTTCCCAGTACGTATATGATTTAGAATTAGAAGCACATAATACATAGCCTTGTTACTGGCACCCCTTCCCCTAATCTTGCTTTCCCTTTGTATTAGGCCATTCTTGCACTGCTATAAAGAAATACTTGAGACTGGGTAATTTGTAAGAAAAGAGGTTTAATTGGCTCACGGTTCTGTAGGCTGTACAGGAAGCATAGCAGCATCTCTTTCTGGGGAGGCCCCAGGAAGCTTTCAATCATGGTGGAAGGTGAAGGGGGAGCAGGGATCTCACATAGCGGGAGCAGGAGTGAGAGAGAGTGATGGTAAAGGTGCTACACCTTTTTAAATGACCATATATCACAGGAACTCACTCACTATGGTGAGTACAGTGCTAAAGGGGATGGTACTAGACCATTTATGAGAAATCTGCCCCCACGATCCAATCACCTCCCACAAGAACCCACCTCCAACATTGGGGATTACATTTCAATATAAGATTTGGGCAGGGACACGGATTCAAACTGTATCACCCTTCATATCATCCTTTATAATACTATGCCAATCTGATCATGGCCAGGTTCAACTTCTTTTTTAAAGGCTTCCCAGAGACTACTGAATCTTATGACCCAAATCTCTTTGCATGGCAGACAACTTGCTGAAGAAAGCCTGTCTGGCTGGGTTCAGTGGCTCACACCTGTAATCACAGCACTTTGGGAGGCCTATTCAGTTTGCGCCTAGGAGTTCAAGACCAGCCAGGGCAACAAAGAGAGACCACTGTTTAAAAAAAAAAAAAAATTAGCCAGGCATTGGGGTACATGCCTATAGTCCCAGCTACTGAGGAGGCTGAGGTGAGGGGATCACTTGAGCCCAGGAGGTTGAGGCTGCAGTGAGCTGAGATCACATCACTGTACTCCAGCCTTAGTGTCAGAGTGATACCCTGTCTTGGAAAAAAAAATAAAAAAGAAAGAAAGCCTGTCTGATTTCACGAAAGGTTTTTGCAGGACACGCTTTTAGTTTCCACAAAACAGCCACCCTCTACTTCCTTACTGGCAAAGCTTTCATGAATATTATTTATTTGCCATTTCAGTGCTGCTTTCTCAGATATAGGCATACCTTGGAGATATTGCGGGTTGCGGGCCCAGTTCCAGTTCATCACAATAAAGGGAATATCTCGGTAAAGTAAGTCACTAAGTTTTTGTTTTCCTAGTGCACATAAAAGTTATGCTTACACTATATTATGGTCTATTACGTGTGCAATAGCATTATGTCTTAAAGAAGTACATACCTTAATTTTAAAATACTTTATTGCTAAAAAATGATAATGATTATCTGAGCCTTCGGAGAGTTATAATCCTTTTGTGGGTGGAAGGTGTGTTGCTGTCTGATCAGAGTGGGGGCTGCTGAAGCTTAAGTGGCTATGACAATTTCTTAAATTAAGACAACAACGAAGTTTGCCACATCGATTCACTCTTCCTTTTGTGAGAGATTTCTCTGTAGCATGTGATGCTGTTTGATACATGTTACCCACAGTAAAACTTCTTTTGAAATTGGAGTCAATTCTCTCAGACCCTGCTGCTTCTTTATTAACTAAGTTTATGTAATATTCTAAGTCCTTTGTTGTCATTTCAACAATGTTCATAGCATCTTCAACAGGAGTAGATTCCGTCTCAAGAAACCACTTTCTTTGCTCATCCACAAGAAGCACTTCCTCATCTATTCAAATTTTATCATGAGATTGCAGCAATTCAGTCACATCTTCAGGCTCCACTTCTAGTTCTCTGGCTTTTTCTACCACATCTGCAGTTACCGAAGTCAGGAACCCCTCAAAAGTCATTCATGAAGGTTTGCACCAAACTTCTTCCAAACTTTTGTAAATGTTGATATTTTGACCTCCTCCCGTGAATCAAAAGTGTTCTTTTTTTTTCTTTCTCTCTCTTTTTTTTTTTTTTTTTGAGACAGAGTCTTACTCTTGTTGCCCAGGCTGGAGTGCAGTGGTGCGATCTCAGCTCACTGCAACCTCTGCCTCCCAGATTCAAGCAATTCTCCTGCCTCAGCCTCCCAAGTAGCTGGGATTACAGGCCTCTGCCACCAGGCCTAGCTAATTTTTGTATTTTTAGTAGAAATGGGGTTTCACCATGTTGGCCAGGCTGGTTTCAAACTCCTGACCTCAGGTGATCCACCTGCCTCGGCCTCCCAAAGTGCTAGGATTATAGGAGTGTGTCACCATGCCTGGCTAATTTTATATTTTTAGTAGAGATGGGGTTTCACCATGTTGGCCAGGCTGGTCTGGAACTCCTAACCTCAGGTGATCCACCCACATCGGCCTCCCAAAGTGCTGGGATTACAGGTGTGAGCTACCGTGCTCAGCTCACAAGTGTTCTTAATGGCATCTAGAATGATGAATGCTTTCCAAAAGATTTTCAATGTATTTTGCCCAGATATGTCAGAAAAATCACTATCCATTGCAGCTATAACCTTACAAAATTTATTCTTAAATAATAAGACTTGAAAGTTGAAATCACTCCTTGATCCATAGGCTGCAGAATGGACACTGTGTTACCAAGCATGAAAACAACATTTATCTCCTTGTATCTCTGCATCAGAGCTCTTGGGTGGCCAACTACATTGTCAATGAGCAGTAATATTTTGAAAGAAATCTTTTTTTTCCTGAGCAGTAGGTCTCTCAACAGTGGGCTTAAAATATTCAACAAACCATGCTGTAAACAGATATGCTGTCATCCAAGCTTTGTTGTTCCATTTATAAAACACAGGCAGAGTAGATTTAGCATAATTCTTAAGAGCCAGAGGGTTTTCAGAGTGGTAAAGGAGGATTAGCTTCAACTTAAAGCCATCAGCTATATTAGCCTCTAACAAGAGAGTCAGACTGTCCTTTGAAGCTTTGAAGCCAGGCAGGCATTGACTTTTCCTCTGTAGCTATGAATGTCCTAGATGGCCTCTTCTTCCAATATAAAGCTATTTTATCTACATGGAAAATCTGTTGTTTAGTGTAGTCACCTTCACCAATTATCTTGGCTAGATCTTCTGGATAACTTGATGCAGCTTCTTCATCATCACTTGCTGCTTCACCTCGCACTTTTATGTTATGGAGCTGGCCTTCTTTGGTTTGGGTGGCAAGGAGAGAAGGTTGGGGTTTGTTTTTGACATACAAATCACTTTTTAAAACTTCAACAATAACAAATTAATACTGTGTTTGTGTGTGTATGTATGTGTGTGTGTATGTGTTTAAGAGAGATAGAAAATAAATGTTTCTTATTGTTTGAAGCCACTTACTTTTGGGGCAATTTATTATGCAGCAATAGATAACAAACACAATGGATTTTCACCAAATTTTAAGGTTTGTTTTTTTTAATTAAAAAATGACTTAAAATATATGCTATGTGGCATACAGCGTATCTAATTTAGTGGTTCTGTGGTATCACCTCAAAGAAATTAGCAGTTTTACACCAGAGCAAATTAAAGTGATGTATAATGTGAGGCTTGGAAAGATAGTCTATGCCTTTTAAGATATTGTGAATATAGAAAACAAACAGAAATTGCAAGTAGGAACCTTATATAGGAAGTTATAACTGTGAGCACTTCAAATTACAATAACTAATTTGCCATCCGGCTGCTTCTTACATGGGCAACTCCATAGAACCATTTTAAGGCTCATTACAAACATACTTATTTATGTCAGTTGGTAACCGGGAACAACATAGGGTTCAGCTAGTCTTTGACACAAAAATATCATTAATTTGTTGTGGGAAGTCAGGGACCCTGAATGGAGGGACCAGCTGGAGCCAAGGCAGAAGAACATAAATTGTGAAGATTTCATGGACATTTAGCAGTTCCCCAAATTAATACTTTTATAATTTCTTACACCTGTCTTTACTGCAATCTCTGAACATAAATTGTGAAGATTTCATGGATATTTATCACTTCCCTAATACTCTTATAATTTCTTATGCCTGTCTTTAATCTCTTAATCCTATTATCTTCATAAACTGAGAATGTACGTCACCTCAGGACCACTATTGTACAAATTGGTTGTAGAACATGTGTGTTTGAACAATATGAAATCTGATTGTAAAACATGTGGGTTTGAACAATATGAAATCAGTGCACTCTGAAAAAGAACAAAGTAACAGCAATTTTGAGGTAACAAGAAAAGATAACCATAAAGTCTGACTGCTTGCAGGGTTGGGCAGAATAGAGCCATATTTTTCTTCTTGCAGAAAGCCTATAAACAGATGTGCGAGGAGAAATATCGCTGAATTCTTTTCCCAGGAAGGAATAACCCTGGGGAAGGAATGCATTCCTCCGGGGAGGTCTATAGATGGCTGCTCTGGGAGTGTCTGTCTTATGTGGTTGAGATAAGGACTGAAATATGCCCTGGTCTCCTGCAGTACCCTCAGGCTTACTAGGATTGGGAAATTCCAGCCTGGTAAATTCTAGTCAGACCGGTTCTTTGGTCTCGAACCCTGTTTCCTGTTAAGATGTTTATCAAAACAATACGTGCACAGCGGGACATAGACCCTCATCAGTAATTCTAATTTTGCCTTCGCTTTGTGATCTTTATTGCCCTTCGAAGCATGTGATCCTTGTGGCTTACTCCCTGTTCGTACACCCCTCCCCTTTTAAAATCCCTAATAAAAACCTGCTGGTTTTGCAGCTCGGGGTTGTCATCACGGTCCTACCAGTATGTGATGTCACCGCTGGAGGCCCAGTTGTAAAATTTCTCTCTTTGTACTGTTTCTCTTTATTTCTCAGACCAGCCGACACTAAGGGAAAATAGAAAAGAACCTACATTGAAATACTGGGGGCTGGCTCCCTCTATAATTTGTCTTCATACTTCATGGGGTTTTATGAAGGTCAAAGTAAATAATGTGAGGTTTTGGCAACACAAAAGAACTATACAGATGTATCACTGTGATTATATATCAATCAAGAAAGGTCAGCCAGGCGTGGTGGCTCACGCCTGTAATCACAGCGCTTTGGGAGGCTGAGGCAGGCAGATCACGAGGTCAGGAGATCGAGACCATCCTGGCTAACACGATGAAACCCTGTCTCTACTAAAAATACAAAAAATTAGCTGGATGTGGTGGCACGTGCCTGTAATCTCAGCTACTTAGCAGGCTGAGGCAGGAGAATTGCTTGAACCTGGGAGGCGGAGGTTGCAGTGAGCCGAGATCATGCCACTGCACTCCAGCCTGGCAACAGAGCGAGACTCTGTCACAAAAAAAAAAAAAAAAAAAGTCAAGTTTTGCCATGGTTAAAAAAATCTTTACTTTTTTTTTTGAGACAGAGTCTCACTCTGTCTCTCAGACTGGAGTGCAGTGGCATGATCTTGGCTCACTGCAACTTCTGCCTCCTGGGTTCAAGCAACTCTCCTGCCTCAGCCTCCTGAGTAGCTGGGATCACAGGCACCTGCCACCACCCCCAGCTAATTTTTGTATTTTTAGTAGAGATGGGTTTTCACTATATTGGCCAGGCTAGTCTTGAACCCCTGACCTCAAGTGATCTACCTGCCTCAGACTTCCAGAGTACTGGGATTACAGGCTTCAGCCACCATGCCTGGCCAAAAATCTTAAGATGTTTACAACATCCAAGATTTATTTTTGCTCATGCTATATGTATTCATTGCAGGTTGGCTATGGCCCTGTCCATGTCATCTCACACCAGGACCCAGATGGCAGAGCTGGAGCAGTGACAGGTGTCATGAGAGGAGAAAGAGTCATGGAGAACCACACACTGGCCTTTGAAGCTATTTCCTGGAAGTGATATATGTTGCTTCTGCTCACATTTGATTGGCCACAGAAGGTCACATAGCCAAACCTGATGCCAAGGAGTGAAATAAGGTAATCTTCCCATATTTTTGCATTTTCTATTGTTCTTTCTTTCTTCCTGATGCTCCAAGATTTCTTCTTTATCCTCTCCTGTTTGTCTCAAGAGTTCCTTTTAGGCTAGGTGTGGTGGCTTACACCTGCAGTCCCAGCACTTTGGGAGGCTGAGACAGGAAGATCACCTGAGGCCAGGAGTTTGAGAGTAGCCTGGGCAGCATGGTGAGATCCTGCTTCTACACGCACACATGCACACACACACACACATACAGAAAAGAAAGAAAGAAAGAGAAAGAAAGAAAGAAAGAAAGCAAGAAAGAAAGAAAGAAAGAATTTCTTTTAGCCATTCTTTTAGGGTAGGTCTGCTGATGACAAATTCTTTTCATTTTCCTTCTCCTAAGAATGTCTTGATTTCCCCTTCATTCATGAAGGGTATTTTTGATGGCTACAGGATACTGGGCTGACAGTTATTTTCCTTTGGCACTTGAAAAAAATGTCATTTCCTTTTGGTTTTCATGGTTTCTGAAAAGCAATCTTCTGTCATTTGGATTGTTTTTCCTCTACAAATACTGTGTCATTTCTGATTGGTTTCAAGATTTTTTAGTTTCCAGAAGTTTAATTATGATGTGCCTCTGCATGGATTTCTTTGGGTTTATTCTGTTTGGGATTTGCTTAGCATCTTGAATCTGTTATGTTTTTTCCCCCTAAATTTAGGAAAATTTTTAGCCATTATTCCTTTCAATTCTTTTTCAGCTCCATCCTGTTTCTCCTTTCCTTCTGGGACCCCAATAACATGAATGCTAGATCTTTTGTTACAGTCACATAGTTATGTTCATTGTGGTCTGAGGTTACGTTCATTTTTTTCCTATCTATTTTCTCCCTGTTGTTCAGATTGGATGAATTCTGTTGTTCTATCTTCAAGTTTACTGAGTCTTTTCTCTGTCCTCTCCATTCTGCTGTTGTGCCCATTTGGTGAATTTTAAATTTTTATTATGGCATTTTTCAGTTCTAAAATTTCCATTTGATTCTTCTTTATATCTTCTATTTCTTTTCTGAGACTTCTCCCTTTTTTATTTGTTTCAATCATATTTACAATGACTTGTTGAAACATTTTTTATGACGGCTGCTTCCTTGTCAGATAATTGCAACATCTGTGTTATCGTGATATTGACATCTGTTGTCTTTTCTTATTCTGGTTGAGATTTTCCTGGTTCTTGGTATGGCAAGTGATTTTCAATTGCATCCTGGACATTTGGATATTATGTTATGAGACTCTGGATCCTATTTATTAATTTATTTTGAGACAAGGTATCACTCTGTCACCCAGTCTGGAGGAGTGTAGTAGTGCAATCTTGGCTCACTGAAATCTCTGCCTCCTAGCTCAGGTGATCCTTCCGCCTCAGCCCCCCAAGTGGCTGGGACTACAGGCATGTGCCACCACACCTGGTTAATTTTTGTATTTTTTGTAGAGACAGGGTTTTACCATGTCGTCCAGGCTGTTCTCAAACTCTTGAGCCCAAGTGATCCACCCAACTTGGCCTCCTAGAGTGTTGGGACTACAGGTGTGAGCCATTGCACCCAGCCTCTGGATCCTATTTAAATCTTCTATTTTATCAAGCCTCCTTGATACCACACTAACAGAAGGGTGTGTGTGTGTGTGTGTGTGTGTGTGTGTGTGTTAGGGGGTGTTGTCTGGTTCCTGCTGAGTGAGAGGTGAAGGCTTAGGTTCCTCACTTGGCTTCCATTGGTGGGGGTAGGAAACCTCAGTCCTGCTGGGTGCAGATGAGTTTTTGGGCTACTCTCTAGGCCTCTGCTGATATCATTCTGGCTAGGAGCGGGAGGGGTACCACTAGCCATGTGGTTGCCACTGATAACCTGGGGGTAAGGTGGAGGGACAGAGGCTTTATCACCACTGGATGATGGTACAAGTTCCAGCTTTCCTCTTGGCTTCCTCTACTCAGAAGGAGTGAGAGGAACACCTCACTACCACTGAGGGTGAAGAGGAAATCCAGGACCCCATGTTGCCTCCACTGACACTGTGGGGTATGCTTTTCACCGTTAGTGTGAATAAATGTCTGGGCTTTTGAGATATCTTTTCAGATTTTTTTCTATGTCTGACGACTTATGGCTCCAACTGGATCCTCCAACTGCTCCTGTGGCCCCACCCAGAAGTGACTCAGCATGTATGAGGACCATTTCCCACACCCCTATGATTGCAACCAATCAGCAGCAAGCACCCATTGCCTAGCTACTCCCCTTCTTCCCCCAAACTATCCTTGGAAAACTCTAGTCTCAGAATTTTTTCTAAGAGGCTGATTTGAGCATAATAAGACTCCAGTCTTCTCCTTCGCCAGCTCTACATGTGAAAAACTCTTTCTCTACTGCAATTCCCCTGCCTTTATAAATTGGCTCTATCTGGGCAGCAGGCAAGAAGAACCCATTGGACACTTACAGTCCCAACAGTTTTAAGTTCCACTTCTCCCAACAGTAAGTAATCTGCTCATTAACACACGCTTTATTGGCTCTTCTCCCTTCCCTGTCTCACTCTTCCCAGCCCTTCACTCAGTGCCCCTCCTAAATAAACTACTTATATCCAAGTACTTGTCCCAGGATGTGCTTTTGGAGAAACCTAAAATAAAACAGTAATTTTTGTGGCTATTCATACCTATTAATGGACATTTAACTACTTACCTTTCCTTTTCTTATTTATTTATTTCTGTATTTATTTACTCATTTTTGAGACACAGTCTCACTCTGTGGTCCAGCCTGGAGTACAGTGGTATGGCTCACTGCAACCTCCATCTCTCAGGCTCAAATGATCCTCTCACCTCAGATGCCTGAGTAGCTGCGATCACAGATGTGCACCACTACACCTGGCTAATTTTCGTATTTTTTTGCAGAGACGGGGCTTCACCATGTTGCTCAGGCTGTTCTCAAACTCCTGGCCTCAAGTGATTTGCCTACCTTGGCCTCCCAAAATGCTAGGATTGTCAGAGGCGTGTGAACCACAGCAATCCCATCTTAAATAAGAGCTGGGTAAAATAAGGCTGAAACCTACTGGGCTGCATTCCCACATGGTTAAGGTATTCTAAGTCACAGGATGAGACAGCAGGCCAGCACAAAATATAGGTCATAAAGACATTGCTGATAAAGCAGTTTTCAATAAAGGAGCCAGCCAAAACCCACCAAAACCAAAATGGCGATGAGAGTGACCTCTGGTCATCCTCACTGCTACACTCCCACCAGCGCCATGACAGTTTACAAATGCCATGGCAATGTCAGCAAGTTACCCTATATGGTCTAAAAAGGGGGGCTGGGTGCCCTGGCTCACATCTGTAATCCCAGCACTTTGGGAGGCCGAGGTAGGCAAATCACTTGAGGCCAGGAGTTCGAGACCAGCCTGGCCAACATGGTGAAACCTTGTCTCTACTAAAAAAAATACAAAAATTAGCCAGGCCTGGTGGTGCACGCCTGTAATTCCAGCTACTCAGGGGGCTGAGGCAGAAGAATCACTTGAACCTGGGAGGTGGAGGTGGCAGTAAGCTGAGATCTCACCACTGCACTCCAGCCTGGGCAGCAAGAGTGAAACTCCATCTCAAAAATAAATAAATAAATAAAATAAAAAATAAAAAGGGGAGGCATGAATAATCCAGCCCTTGTTTAGCATATCATCAAGAAATAACCACAAAAACGGGCAACCAGCCGCCCTCAGGGCTGCTCTATGGAGCAGCCGTTCTTGTAATCCTTTACTTTCTTAATAAACTTGCTTTTACTTTGCACTGAGGACTCACCCAGAATTCTTTCTTGTGCGAAATCCAACAACCCTCTCTTGGGGTCTGGATTGAGACCCCTTTCCTGTAACAGGATTACAGCCGTGCGCCACCTCACCTGGCCTTTTTTTTTTTTTTTGAGATGGAGTCTTGCTCTGTCGCCCAGGCTGGAGTGCAGTGGTGCGGTCTTGGCTCACTGCAAGCTCCGCCTCCCCGGTTCACGCCATCCTGCCGCTTCAGCCTCCTGAGTAGCTGGGACTACAGGGGCCCGCCACCACGCCCGGCTCGTTTTTTTGTATTTTTAGTAGAGACGAGGTTTCACCGTGTTAGCCAGGATGGTCTCGATCTCCTGACCCCGTGATCCGCCCACCTCGCCCTCCCAGAGTGCTGGGATTACAGGTGTGAGCCAGGGCGCCTGGCCTCACCTGGCCAATTCTTGATTCTATCCTGTAAACTGTCCTTGGAGTTTTCCCCAGGTGACTGCCCTCTGACTTCTTCACTTTGTGAATCAGTCCTTCACATCTTCCTCTCTTAGTAGCCCAGAAACCCCAGGTTCTAACTTCCTTGTGACACAGGAGTTAAGAAGAAATTACTTAGGTAGACAGTGAGGTTACCGAAGTTCTTGGTAAGGTTTCTCTTTTAATGGAAAGCAGGCCCAAATCATTTTTCCTTCTAACAAAGAGCAGCCTGTAAAATCGGGCTGCAGACATAGATGACGGCAGTTGTGCCAATCGTGTTCAAAATGGCGGCCCCATCATCCCTTCTCTGTCAGCCACAGGTGCAGTAAGGAGCCGACAAAATGGCACCCTCCGAGAGAGTTCATTTGCATAATAAGCTTAGGGTGGGGCGGCCAGCCTTCCCAGCTATGTAAACAAACACCTGATCAAACCAATCTGTGAGTCCTAAGTAAATCAGACGCCGCCTCCTCAAGCTGGACTATAAATTCGGCTCATCTGCCTCCAGCTGCCCCTTTTCTCTCGGAAGTCCCCTCTCTCACTAGAGAGAGAGCTGTTTTCCTTTCTCTTTCTTTTGCCTATTAAACCTTCCCTCTTAAACTCCTCGCGACTCCTCGCGTGTGTCCGTGTCCTACATTTTCCTGGCATGGGATGGCAAACCCCGGGTATTTACCCCAGACAACTGGCTGCTTCACTTGCACTGGATCTTGAGGGTCGGGGAGATTTTTGACCTTTAACAGGGACTCCATCATTGCAAGTTTTCCTTGGAGACTCTTGATGGCCCAGGTTTAGTTTATACCTACTGTGAGAGCAAGAACTTGAGTAATGTATGGATGGACCTTTTTGGAAGGAAAACAATTTTCATGGACTTAAATTATTTTTATAATTTAAATGTGTGGAAACACAACTAACTATGAATTCCTTATGCTTCAGTAGTTAAGCAGTTATAAAACCAAAGCAAAGTAGCCATAGGTACAAACAAAAGTATAAAGACAAGTTTAACATTAATGTAATAAATAGTGTTTTTCTGAAATGAAGTTGCTGCTGGCAACAGACCATGTACTGCCTGATGAAGGTTCTTCCGCACTTGGCACAATATTCCACTGTGTGCCTGGCGATGACTCAATTCTTCCCCTTCTCATGTCTGTTCAAATTACTAAGAAATCTTTGTTAGAACTTGTCTCCTGGCCTTCACTTGGTACAAATGCGACCAAGACAATTAAAGCTATAAATAGGTAAATGCAAATGCAGGTACTCACAAGCAGGGCCAGGATCAGTTACAAATGACCCAAAACATGCTTATAACACTTTTCAAATGCTACTAAGGAAAGTTAGACATGGAACTTAATAGTTTTCACAGGTATTCACAAGTCCTCAGGAGTCCAGAGACCTCAGTTTGAGAACACTATCCTAGCACTGACCCTGACTTCCAGGGTGACCTTGAGGTAAGCATTTACCATTTTTGGATCTCTGTACATTTTTTGTACACAAGAATAATTTGGGCCACCAGTGTTCTTGGGAGATAAAAGAAGTTAGAGGAGTTAATGACAATGTTCCAAGATGTTCAAGGACTAGAGAGAAAGGATAAGAATGTATTATAGACCTCTAGAGTTGGAAAAAGAATGGTGGCTGAGATCCTCCAGCCTAGCTTTGGCTCTGTAATCAAAAAGACTCAGATTTGGGCCAAGCATTGTGGCACACGCCTGTAATCTCATTACACTGGGAGGCTGTGGCAGAAGGATCGCTTGAGGCCAGGAGTTTGAGACTAGCCTACGTAACATGGTGAGACCCTATCTCTACCAATCTCTACATACAAACAAAAAATGGCTGGGCGTGGTGGCTCATGCCTGTAATCCCAGCACTTTGGGAGGCGGAGGCGGGCGGATCACGAGGTCAGGAGTTCAAGATCAGCCTGGCCAACATGGTGAAATCCTGTCTCTACTAAAAATACAAAAATTAGCTGGGTGTGGTGGCGGGCACGTATAATCCCAGCTACTCTCAAGGCTGAGGCAGGAGAATCGTTTGAACCCGGGAGGCAGAGGTTGCAGTGAGCCGAGAGCGTGCCATTGCACTCCAGCCTGGGCAACAGGGCGAGACTCTGTCTCAAAAAAATAAAAATAAAAAATAACAGGACATGATGGTGCCTGAGCCCCAGCTATTTGGGAGGCTGAGGTGGGAGGATGGCTTGAGAGGTTGCATTGAGTTATAATTGTACCCCTGCACTCCAGCCTGGGTGACAGAGAGCTTGTCTCTATAAAACAAATAAACAAACAACTGAGATCTGAATTCCAGATCTGCCATTTACTGTGTGTGTATGGGGGATGGGGATGGAGAGCAACTTTTCTAACTCTCAGTTTCTACCCTAAGTGGGCATGTTTCAAAATGCCACATCACAGAACTGCTGTGTGGGCCAAATGAGATGGCTCTGGAAAGCGCTGAGAGCAGAGCCTGGCTCACAGCAAGGCTCAGGGATCCTAAGACGCTGCTGAGAATTCCACAGGCTTTTTAGCAAAGGACAATAGAAAAGAGAAAGTGAAGATTCTAACATTCTGCCTATAAATGACAACATCTCCTATATGTGCAAATTAGGTCATTGTACCCTAAATAGCCCCGCAGCTGCCCTGGGCTTCCAGTCAGCCTTTCTGACCTCTCTCTTGGGTCTGCTGCTTTGCGGTGCTTCCTGCCATTCCCTGCCCAAGCCTGAATCTCTTTCCTGGCCGCTTTCACTTTCCTTCCATTTTCCAGTAATTGGAGTTGGTCACCTGTGCAGCAAGCGCCCCCAAGTGGCCTTCCTGTTCACTGTCCGGACCATAAGGCCTAAAGAATACTCCGATAAGTTTATCAAGGCCGGGCTTCCGCAGAGGCAGGACTCACCAGGCTTAGCGGTCGGTCCAGGGTCGGTCCAGTCTGGAGGCCCAGGGAGCCATTCTACATCCCCCTTTCCATTTTGGAAGACTGAGATGGAGGAATCCAGGGGAAGTTCTGGGTAGGAAGCAGCCACTTGCCATTAAGTGGCAATTAAATTGCTATTGCAATTTAAGGTAAATCGCAGCCCCTCTGGGCCTAGTTTTCTTTTTTCTCACTCTTTTTTTGGCGATAGAGTCTTGCTCCGTCACCCAGGCTGGAGTGTAGTGGTGTGATCATAGTTACTGTTACCTCGAACTCTGGGGCTCAAGCCATCCTCCTGCCTCAGCTTCTGGGTAGCTGGGATTACAAGGTTTTCTTTTTATGAGAGCCCTGCCCCACTCATGTCAGAGGGCCCTGAGGAGGCAAACACAGGATGGTTGAAAATGCTAGTAAAACACCTAGGATGTGCACTGCTGTCCTGGCTGGAGGCTTAGGGGGAGCACCATGGGACGTACACAGGATAAAGTGGGATTAACTCCTCCCTCCCCTCAGCCATTACTCTGAACTCTGCATCCCACATGCTGCTGCCAAAAACCACTTTTAAAAGAACACAAATCTAAACATGTCATTTCCCAGCTCAAAACCCCAAGGTTCTTTCTCCTCACCTTCAGAATAAGCCAAACTACTCAATGATAGGTTCCAAATCTGCCTTTCTGGTTTCACTCATGGGATGGACCCTTCTTCCAGGTGAGGCTGCATTTGGACATAGCCATATTCACGCCTCCCTGCCTTGGCTCCTCCGCTTCTCTGGCCAGGAATGGCCTTGCCTCATCTCTGCAAATCTTAGCATGACTTAAGGCCCAGTTCAAGCTCCAGCTCCTCCCTGAGGTCTTCCTGAGTCTTGTCTCCTGTCCCACTCAGGAGGACCTGGCCTCCTCCTTCCCTGGGTTCCCATGACCCTTTCCAGCTCTGCCTGTAGCACGGTGTTCTGTCTTCTGTGACTACATATATACGCCTAACACTCTCTAGATTGTAAAGGCCTGGAAGGTGGGGAGTGGGTTCCATTACTGAATGCATCTTTCATAGCTCTCTCTGTCAGAGCCCTGCCCTATGCAAACTCTTTTATTTTTATTTATTTATTTATTTATTTATTTTGAGAGGGACTTTCACTCTTGTATCCCAGGCTGGAGTGCAATGGCGCATTCTCAGCTCACTGCAACCTCCACCTCTCGGGTTCAAGCGATTCTCCTGCCTCAGCCTCCCAAGTAGCTGGGATTACAGGTAACCGCCACCATGCCTGGCTGATTTTTTTGCATTTTTAGTAGAGACAGGGTTTCACCACGTTGGTCGGGCTGGTCTCGAACTCCTGACTTCAGGTGATCTGCCTGACTCGGGCCTCCCAAAGTGCTGGGATGATAGGCATGAGCCACTGCACCTGGTGCCCTATGCAAACTCTTATTTTATTATTATTATTTTTTGAGACAGAGTCTCCCTCTGTCACCCAGGCTGGAGTGCAGTGGTGTGATCTTGGCTCACTGCAACCTCCACCTCTCAGGTGCAAACAATTCTCCTGCTTCAGCCTCCCAAGTAGCTGGGGTTACAGACGCGCACCACCACACCCAGCTAATTTTTTTCTATTTTTAGTAGAGATGGGGTTTCACCATGTTGGCTAGGCTGATCTCAAACTCCTGACCTCAGGTGATCCACCCACCTCGGCCTCTCAAAGCAAACTCTTAATAACAACTGTTGTGGAATGACTTGGGAGGTGGCACTCAGAGATCCCAAGTGACACATGAGAAGTCCACAGAGAGAGATCATGTTTAGTGGAGTTTGGATGGTTGCTTTTATCAGTGGGCCTGTACCTTACAGATGCTATCTCATTATCTTCTAAACAGACTCTGGGCCAGTGACCATTATCTCCCTCTTACTGATGTAGACTCAGCCAAGAGAAGCCAGATGTTGAGTCGCAACCTTAACTCTCCCTCTCAGACGCAGAGCCCTGCTTTCTCCCCTCCCATTTGATACTCTGCTTCCTCTTGCATGCTGTGAGAGGCGGCCTCATTACTCCTCTTCCCTCCTCCAGTCCCTCCAAGCCTAATTCATCACCTTTGGCTTTGGGATCATAGTTTCCAAACCAAGGATTGTCTGAACATTGTCTGACAATGCCCTTTTTTTTTTTTTTTTAGGCAGGGTCTTGCTCTGTTGCCCAGGCTGGAGTGCAGTGGTGCAATCATGGCACACTGCAGCCTTGACCTCCCGGGCTCAGGTGATCCTCCCACCCAGCCTCCTGGTGCGCATCACCACATCCAGCTAATTTTGGTATTTTTTGTAGAGATGGGGTTGTGCCATGTTGCCCAAGCTGGTCTCGAACTTCTGGGCTCAAGCGATCAGCCCTCCTTGGCCTCCCAAAGTGCTGGGATTATAGGCATGAGCCACCGCAACTGGCACCATTGCCATTGGTATTTAAGAGGTGATGGTTTAGGCTTTGAAATTGGGGTTGTTTGTGAAAACTGAGAGCACCTTTTGTTTTCAGATATTTCCTATGGCCATTGGTGTAATTGGAGGGAAGCTCTCGCCATATATAATATTTTTGAGACAGCCAACTAAGAAACTGGGATTCTGGTTCTCTCCAGGGTGCAAAATCCTGGGAGAAGGAAGTGAATTCTCAGGGGCCCAGAAGGAGTCTCTAAAGGACCTCTGCCAGTCAATTCTAATCTCTCTTCTCCCCTGCAAATCAGCCCCTGCTTCTGCCTCTTTCTCCGCCTCTCCTAGATTCTCCCCCTCTGGAGGGCCTGAGCTCCCGGCCACCACCCCCAATGCCGCTTTCTGTTTCCTCTGCCTCCCTTCATCTCCTTTTGTCTGGGGTTTCTTTGTCTGGGGTCTCCCTTTGGTTCTGTTTCACAGTTCTCAGCCTCCCCTCCCTTTCTCCACAGCCAGGCTGCTCAGTCCCTCTCTGCGGGGGCCTAGAGGCTCGGTGAGGGGAGCGGGACTTGGTTGCCATGGTCACATTGAAGCCAGCCGCAGCTGGCCCGGGCAGCTGCTCCTCCTGGGCCCGGGGCCCCGGACGCTCGGACAAAGCCAGGCAGCGTTGGCAGCCCCAGACCCGACCCCAAAGGCCTGAGACTGGGGTGACTGGGACCTAAGAGAATCCTGAGCTGGAGGTGAGAGGGGGGAAGCCAGAGATGAACTGGGAGGGCAGGAGTGGGCACTGGAGCTGGGCCCTCCCCTTGTGGGCAGGGACCAGGCGGTCCCCGGCTGGAGGCTGGAGGTGTGTTGGGAGGAGGGGAGCGGCCCAGAGCCTGGCAGGGAGGAGGGGAAAGAGAGGGAATAGAGTTGGGTGCCATGGTGTGGTGAATGGGCTGAGGGACTAGGGTGTCCCCAAAGGGGGACCGTTGTCCAGAAACAGGTTAGATTCTCTCTTTGGTCCTCATGTCCCCATCTGTCCCGCAGGTGCCTCTTCCTTTCTCAGCCTTTTATACTTCTCATCTCCCCGTGTCCCTTAGCTTCACACTCTGCGCCCCAGTCTCCCTCCTCTTTCCCTCCACTCTCTGTTTCACTCCAGCCCCTTCTTCCCTTGTCCTTGCTTCTTGTCCCCTTGATCTGTCTGCCCAGCTCTCAAGCCTCCTCAGTTCCCTGCCTTCCTCTCTTAGGAGTTTGTTTCCAACACTGTTTCCTTCCCGAGTCCACTTCAGTTCCTTCATCCAGTTCAGCCCTTTTCTTCCCAAACTTCAGTCTCCTCCTCTGAGCCCCTGGGGCTTCCCACCTTTTGCTGTGTGTGCCCTGTCTTCATCCTCCTTTTCCTCTCTCAGACCTGTCTCCTTGGCCTTGACCTCAGTCCATCTCCGTCTCTCTGGGAATTCTCTCACCATTGTCCCCATCTGACCATCAGCCTCCTCTCCCTCTTCTGGTCCCTTGCCCTTTTCTTCCCCAACCACAGCTGAGCTGTTTCATCTCTCTCCCAGAGCTACGTCATCTCAATCTCCTCCTTCGCTCCCTGGCCTCAGTTTCCAGTTTATTCAGTGGCATCAGGTCTGACTCACACCCAAAGCCTTGTACACTCCTTCACCCTGCCCCCCACCCGTCGCTTCTTACTCTCCCCAGCTGCTGACCCAGCCTGCTCCTCCAGAGGCAGCTGCAGCTCCCGGAAGGGGACTGCAGCTAGTGTATGTGTGGGGGCCCATCTGGTCCGTCCTCTCGCTCGCTGGTCGTGCTGGGCTTCCCTCCTGTGGCCAGGTGGTCTGCAGGCCTGAAGCTGCCTTCTCCCCTCTCCTACGTGCCTCTCCTCACATTTTTTCAGCTGTTTCCCATCCTCTCCTTCCTGGGCAGCAGGCTGCCACTGGCTTGAAGGGGAGGGAAGCCCAGGATGGGAGGGGATGGTAGAGGGTCATTTGGGGGTTCTCAGGGACACAGGGGGCCTCTGGGGTTCGGAGTGATGCAGGAGATGTGGAATGGGCTCTGGGGACCACGGATGGGTAATCAGGCCCTCTTGGTCTTTGGTGCTGCTCTCTGGGCCCCAGGATGGCTGGGATTTCCCTCTCAGGCCCCTGGGAATCTCGGCTCCGAGTCCCGCATTCCAGCTGGCTCCAGCTCCCTTTCCGTTGTCACTTGACTCCACTGGGCCCCAGCCTTGCATCCCTCCCACTCCTCCAGCCTGGAGCTGGGGCGAGGTGGGCATCACCACTAGGAATTTCTCCTGAGGCAGTGAGAAGAGGGGACAAAGGTTTCAGGACTCTCTAGCTCCTTCTGCTCTCCCCAGTGGACCCCTCTGTCTGGCACTGCCATGCCACTTAGCTGGGGTCAGCGTGGGCCTGGGGTGTGGAATGTCCCACCAGGGTATGACGGGCTGTAGCTTGCCTGGCAGGCCTGTTGGGGCTTTCCCAGAGCACAGCTCCTGGAAGGAGGGGCTGTGGGCTGCCAGGTGAGGTGACTTGGGAAGCCTTGGCCCCACCCCCAGGCTGGCCCCACCCCCAGTCCAGCGTCTCCTGGGCCTAGATTCCCCAGCTGCTGTTCTCTGGAGGGGTAGGTGTTCTGGGGGAATGAATCCCTGGGGGCTTGGTGGGACAGGAAGGCGGGAAGAAGCTGCTCTTCGAGTGACCCTGGGGCTGTCTGTTAGCAGGTCCCTCAGCCGTTGGAACGTCCTTGGGCTTCTGAACTAGTGCCCATGTGTGCCTCGGCCTTTCCCAAGGGCCAGCTTCTTCCTGGTAGTGCTTTTGTGTACTTGTCTGGTTGGGACTTCGTGTTTCTTTCTTGGGATTGTTGTCTGGGACTGCAAGCAGGGTATGTTTTTATCTACTGTGAGGTTCCTGGGGCGGAGATGTGCAGTGGAGCGAGAACTTCCTGTGACCGTGACATTGTCTAGGTGGTGAGCAGGTGTGGGGGTGTGGAGAGAGGTGAGGGGCTGAGGTAGTGCTGAGTGGGGAAAAAGCACCTCCCACCACAAGCTGTTCTGTCCCGCTCCATCCTCTGCCCAGTAGCTCTCTCAGTTGCTTTGCCTACTCAGTCTCACTGTTTCATCTTCCCTGGGTCTCTTGGTCCCCTTCCTTTTGACTGTGTGTGATTTTCAGTGTGCCTCCATCCTTCTCCTGCTCCTCTTCTTCCTCCTCCCGACCACTCAACTTTGTCCTGGCCTCATTTTTGGCCTCTTCTGGCCAGTGATCAGACCCTCTGGCCCACTACGGCCAGAGCTGGCTGGGCCTGAGGGAGGCTTGCCCTGAGGACTCCTGAGTCCCCCTCCCACTCCACTCCGTTGGGAGCCCAGGGGAATCAGGGCCTGGGCGTCTGGACCCCCGGGTCCCTTAGAACGCCCTTCAGAGAGAGGAACTGAGAGGAGAAGGAGAAGAGAGTGGGCCCGCCTTCAGGGTCTGGGGCCTTCCAGGTTGGGTCGTAGGGGCGGGAGCGCACAGGCTGCGAGAGAGGAGCAAAGGTTGGTGGAGGGAGAAGAGCAGTCTGGGGCCTGGCTGGACAGGTGAGCCCTGAGACCTGAGCTCTGCTCCCTTCTCTGGGCTAACTCCCGCAGCTGGGCTGGGCCGAGCCTGTGGGAACCTGCTTCTTCCTCTGTGCCCTGGGGCTGCTCCCCTTTGCCTCTCCCACCAGGAACCGATCCCAGAAGTAGGAGGGGCGTCTTCCCCTCGTGGGCCCTGAGCGGGACTGCAGCCAGCCCCCTGGGGCGCCAGCTTTGGAGGTTCTCGTTTGGGGAAGCGGGGGTGGGCTGCGAGTGGGTGGAGGGGGCTGGGCGCGGAGCCGGCCGGAGGCAGCGGCGCGGGCGGCTGGGCGGCCTGGGAGCGCCCAGGCGGGCTTGGCGGGCGGGTTACCTGGGGGAGGCCGGGCCGGGCGCTAGCGCGCGGGGTGGGCGTGGCGGGCGCGGGGCCTGGAGCTCGGCGCCGGGCGTGGGAGCCACTGGGACTACTGGGTCCGGGAGGGGGAAGGGAGGGCTGCGAGCCCGAACGCGCGGCGAGAAGGCCGAGGGGAGGGAGGGGAGCGAGGAGCGGGAGGAGGAAGGGAGGGAGCCGAGGCGAGGGGGAGGCGGCGCCTGGGCCCGAGCCGCCCCAGCCCTGGCTCCTCTCCCCGGAACAGGCCCCCGACAGCTGCTCTCGGGAGCCGCCTCCCGACACCCGAGCCCCGCCGGCGCCTCCCGCTCCCGGCTCCCGGCTCCTGGCTCCCTCCGCCTCCCCCGCCCCTCGCCCCGCCGCCGAAGAGGCCCCGCTCCCGGGTCGGACGCCTGGGTCTGCCGGGAAGAGCGATGAGAGGTAGGGAGAGCGGCGGCGGAACCCGCGGGCGGAGGCCTGGGGCTCTTGGGGTGGGGGCGCGCGGCGGCGCCTGCAGGGCGAGGGGCGGGGGAGGCAGGACGTCCCGAGCCATGCTTGGTCGTCCAGCTCTTCTAAGCCTCCCTGCCCGCCTCCCCGATGCTCTGGCATACCGTCTGAAAACCGGGGGCGGGGACTGGGTGGAGGTGAAGCCCGTGACCTCCCAGAAAGAGTTTTGAGCCTCCAGCCTTGAGGCAAGTCCCCTCTCACTCAGTGCGGAGGAACTGAGCCCCGGGAGGAGGTGCTCCTGTGCAGCCCCACTGAGTCAGCTCATCTATCGCCTGCCCTCCACCTGGCCAGTCCCTGCGGGCATCTAACTGCTAAGCCTCCGCTCAGCCAACACCCAGTTGGTCAGTCTGGTCACAGTCCAGCAAAAAGAGGGACTGCCACTCTAACCCACCAGTGACACCACTCTTCCCGGCTGGATGGTCAATTAGCTCTGGCATGAGAGAATGTCACTGCCGGTGAGCGCCAGCTTCAGGGTCCCACCCCCCCATGCCTGGCTCTTGGCTGAACATTTCTTCCCAGCGCTTCCAGCAGCCAGAGGCAGGCGCCCAAGCTCGCTGGCTGTTGCTGAGGGCCTGTAGGTGTGTCCAGGACTGAGTGGTGTGGTGGAGACAGGTGAAAGGGGAGTGAGTGGAAAGGCAGGGAAAGGCTGTTGTCCTTATTGCCACTCTTCCCACCCAGCGCCCACCTGTTCCCTGCCCCCTCGACGTCCCTCTGGCTTGGTCACCCATGTGTGTTAGAGGCTGGGCCCCAGTTCTCTGGGGATCCTGTGCCCAAGGGCCCGGGTGTGTGTGTCTCATGCTGTCTTTTGGTCACAGGAGCATGTGGTGTCTGTCATTTCATGTTCACAGGTGTCTGAAGGTGGCTATTCACTGAGCGATGGGGTTGGACTTGAAGGAATGCCAAGGTGTGGACGGGTTGATGTATGCATGAGCTTCTGTGTTTGCTCTGTCTCAGAAACTCTGTGAGGGTTGTCAGGGACACTGAGAGGTGGGTGTGTGCATGCCACATTTAGCCTCGCTGTTTACAGCCAGTTCAGTAAGTTTGTGTGTTTCACCGTGTGTGTGTGTACAGAGCTGTGTGGGTGTTGTCTGAGTGGGACTTGGGGGTTGGGAGAGGAGCGTGAAGGGCTTGAGGCAGGGTGGCCTGGCCCCTGGTTTGTCTTTGGTTGTAATGGAGTGGAAGGGGGTGGGATTGGGGAAGGTCTTCTGGGCTTGTCCTCTCTTGCCCTCTGGGTCTCTGACTATGGACTGAAGACCCAGTGGAGAGAGATGAGGTGACTGGGGGTGTTGGAGAACAGACAGCCCAGACGTCTCTGTGCTTCTCCGTGTTCCTCTGCTTGGCTCTGTGCCCCGTGTTTCTGAGCCTGCTCTATTTACCTCTTGCATTGTGGCTCTCGCTCTGTCTCCGCCTGCCTCGTATCCTCTGCCTGCCTTTGTATCTCTGCCCCGGGCTCCTCTCGGCTCTGTGTGGCTCTGATGACTCATCTGGGATAGGCATGAAGGTTACTTAGGGGAACAAGAGCCCCGCTGTTCCCGAGAGAGGTGGGGTTGGAGAGCGGCACCCAGGAATTCCAAGCCAGTCTCCTGGGACTCTGGCAGCCTGCTCCCCGGCGCTGGACCCTAAGGGACCAGGCGTGATGCCTTCTGGTTCTAGCCTCTGAGTGCCCCCCACAACTCAGTCGTCCCCCTCAGCTGCTGCTTCAGAGCTCTGGGGTCTCAGCTGCCTCTTACATTCCTGCCCTAGTGCATTGTGGGAGCAGCTGGAGGAGGACAAAGGGATGGGGGAGTATCCCCCACTCCTCCTACCTCCTGGGGTGACCTGCCTTCCTTGTCTTTAGACCCGCCCTCGTCTCCAAGGCAACTCAGCCTTTCCTCAGTCCCTCAGAGGCAGCCACCTTCTGGAAGTGGGAACTGGGGGGACTGGATGTCTGGGTCTCAGGAAGGCAGAGCAGGGATAACTGGGCCCAAGATGCCCTGAACCTGATAAGAGGTGGCAGTCGAGTCCCTCAGGACTCCAGGGCCTGGAGACTTCAGTACAGGGCTCTGAGACCAGTACAGGTTAGGATAGCTTTTCCTGCAGCAGGGGAGGGGAGAGTAGTTACTTGGGTTTGTAAGGAGATGCCATTTAGAATAGTTTTATGTGGGGTAAGCTTCCTGGGCCTGAGGAACAGAGTAGGGATTTTCAAACTTTAATGGGCACAGGTCACCTGGGAATTGTGTTAAAAGGCAGATTTTGATTGAGCAGGTCAAGGGTGAGCCTGAGATTCTGATTTCTTCCATGCTTCCAGGTATTGCTGATGGTCCAGGGACCACCCTGGGCCTAGAGGGCTATAGGGGACAGTAAGACTAGAAGGTGCTGGGGTCCCCTCTGCCCTTCTCTTAGAATTCTGGACTCCTATGTGGGAGGGCAGCAGGGTGAGCTGGTCCAGGCTTATCTGATGTTTAATTCTATCATATCCTCAACAAGGAATTGCCCAACCTTTCCTGGGACATATTTATTTTTTAAAAGTCAAAATGATTTTCATATTCTTTTACATATCTTATGATTTTACATAAATGCATTTATGTTACAAGATTTAGAAAAATAGTACAATCAACCTGTCTTTTTAAATTTGCTTTTCTTTTGCCCCGTTCATGTTAACTCTTGTTATATTGTATTCTATTGTTATATTCTATTATATATTCTCTCCTTCTAGACGTACACACAGGTATATATACAAACATGGGTGCTTGTTTATTCTATTTTCAAAAGGTGGGATATTTTTTATACTTCTGTTGCTTGCTTTTCATATTCAACAGATATACATGGAAATCACACAAAGTTAGGAATATATTGCCTCTTTGTTACTTTTCATAGCTGCATAGTAGTCAATAAACCTTATTTTTTTTAATTCCAGCCTGTCCCCTGTGGGCATTCACATATCTTACAGATTTATGTCTTACAAAAGGTACCATAATAAACATCTTTGAAATCTTCTTTTTTATTTTTATTTTTCACTTTTTTTAAAGAGATGGGGTCTCACTATGTTCACCAGGCTGGTCTCTAACTCCTGGCCTCAAGTGATCCTCCCATCTCGGCCTCCCAAAGTGCTGGGGTTACAGGCATGAGCCACCAGACCCAGACCTGCACATATGTTCTTACTTCCTGGTGCTTCTCTCTCGAGGGAATGCTGGGTCGAAGAGGATGTGCATTTTTAATTATAATAGACATTGCTAGATTGCTTTCCAAATAGAAGATAACACTCATTTCTGCCATTGAGCATGGTGCCTCCCTTTTCATCACTTTCTACCACTTTTATATGTTACAGCCTTAAAAAAATATCTTGTCAGTCTGCTTGGTATTTCCCTGAGGCTGGTGAATTTGACCATTAAAAAAAATGTTTGTTGGCAATTTGGCTTTGCTTTTCTGTGAAATGACTATTCACATTCTTTGGCTGTTTCTTTATTGGGTTACTTATATATTTTTTCTTGTCAGTTCCTAAGGGGCCTTAGTTTATTGTAGTTATTAAACCTTTTCCTGTTGTATGTGTTATAAACATTTTTTGCACACTTGTTGTTTGTTCTAAGCCGTTGTTTATGGGGATATTTTGCCCATTCCTGATTGGAGAAATGGGGCTTTAGGAAGTTATTTAACTGATCTCTGCCCTAGTTTCTTCATGTGTTAAATATGGATAGTAATAGTATCTACCTTATGAAGTGACTGTGAAGATAAAATTATGGATTCTGTTTAAGGGTTTAGGCCAGTGTCTGGCACAGGGGAAGCATTCTAAAAATATAGCTGATGCTGTTAAACAATGACTGTTGTTGTTGTTTTACTGTTATTATCCCCAAAGCGGCCCATTCTGTCTGTTGCTGTCAGCTATGACTCAGTCCCCTGATTAACTTACGCACCACCCATTTTATCCCCTGCAGAGATGCTGCCCCCACCCCCTTAGGCCCGAGGGATCAGGAGCTATGGGACCAGAGGCCCTGTCATCTTTACTGCTGCTGCTCTTGGTGGCAAGTGGAGATGCTGACATGAAGGGACATTTTGATCCTGGTGAGGAGACTGAATCATGGGTCCCTGAGGGCCAGGGCTTGGGAGGTAGAGAGTTGGGGGCCTTGACCTGTTACATGCCTGCTTTTTACTCAGCCAAGTGCCGCTATGCCCTGGGCATGCAGGACCGGACCATCCCAGACAGTGACATCTCTGCTTCCAGCTCCTGGTCAGATTCCACTGCCGCCCGCCACAGCAGGTACTTGGCACACCTGGCACACTTGTAGCTGCCCCGAGAGGAGCTCCTGGGACCTCTACTTCCCCTCCAACCCCTCTGCCCATGCCAGTGAAACCCCTGCAGGCTGAGGGGGCAAATGAAGTGGGGTTTAAATACTGGAGATGGAGGCAGACCTGGGGCCAGATGTTCTCTGTGCCCCTCTTCACCCTCAGGTTGGAGAGCAGTGACGGGGATGGGGCCTGGTGCCCCGCAGGGTCGGTGTTTCCCAAGGAGGAGGAGTACTTGCAGGTGGATCTACAACGACTGCACCTGGTGGCTCTGGTGGGCACCCAGGGACGGCATGCCGGGGGCCTGGGCAAGGAGTTCTCCCGGAGCTACCGGCTGCGTTACTCCCGGGATGGTCGCCGCTGGATGGGCTGGAAGGACCGCTGGGGTCAGGAGGTGAGACTGGCAGGGGCAGCACCCAGAGGAGGTTGGCTCTCCTCACTTCCAGCTGTACTTTAAACACCACCTATACGCTGACGACTCTCCAGTTTATATCATCTCCAGACTAAGCCTCTCAGCTGAGCTCCAAACAATATTGTAAACCTGGCCACCTTTTGGATTTCTCCACTTAGATGTCTTTTTTTTTTTTTCTAATAGATGGGGTCTTGCTGTGTTGCCCAGGCTGGTCTTGAACTCCTGGGCTCAGTGATCCTCCCACCTTAGCCTCCCAAAGTGCTGGGATTACAAGCACTGTAGCCAGCCACCTAGATGTCTAATAGGCATCTCAAACGTACGTTTAACTTCCCAAGCTGAATTTGATTCCCATTCCCAGCCTAAACCTGCTCCTCCCCTGGCATTCTCCAGCTCAGGAAGTGGTATCACCATTGCCTGGTTGCCTAGGCTATAAGTTAAGATGATATCCTTGATTCCTTTTTTTCTCTCACCTCCTTCCAAAGCATCAGCAGCCCCGTCTGTTCTACCTCCATAGTGTTCCTGAGTCCAGTCACTCCTCACCACTCCACCTCTACTGCCCTAGGCCACCTGCCCGCCATCTCCAGCTTAGATGAGTGCAGTAGATGCCAAACGCGTCTCCCTGCTTCTGCCCTTTTCTGCCTGGAGTCAAATCTCCACCTGGGGGGGCGGCATCCAGTGGACCTTAGAGCATGTAAATCAGATACGTCACACCTAGCTGACACCCCCATGCTGGCTTTCCACTCTGCCAGAACAAAAGCTGAGTCCCTAGCTGGTGCAGGATGCTCAGCCTGACCTGGCTCCTGCCTGCATCACTTGTTTCTTGGCGCCTCCTTGGCCACGCTGCCTTTCTTCTTGTTGCTGGAACAAGCCAGGGCTCGTTCCCACAGCTTCTGGACATTTTCTCTGTGCCTGCAAAGCTCCTCCCCTAAATAACCACAGGCTCTCCCTCACTCCATTCAGTTCTCTGCCAGGTGTCACCTCCTTAGAGAGCCTTTTCTGGCCACCCACCTCACTGCTCTGTCCATACTTCCTGCCTCTTGTTCTTCGCAGCTGTTTTCCCTGCTGGGATCTCAGTCCTACAAGGGTGGGGAGTGACGTTCACCACTGAGAACGCGCCTGGCACAGAGCGGGCACTCAGCCAACTTCTGCTGAATGAACAGAGGGAATGGGCTGAAATGAAGGGGAAGCTGAGGCAGGGGTGCAGGGCTGTGAGGATTGGGGAGAATCTGGGCACAATGGGATGATAGGCTTGGAGACAAATGGATGGAGCCAGGCAAGGAGAAGAGGGCAGCTGAGCCTGAAGTCTGAGGATGGAACATCAGAGCTGCGACAGAGCCAGAGGTCTCAGCTGCAGATCTTCATTTCACCCATGCCTGGCTGCGCCCCACAGTGCTGTGTGCTCGGTGCCACCCCTCATGGGTCTCTAAGTGGCCACTGTGGGCTGGGCCAGGGAGCAGCTGGTGGGTGGGAAGTAAGATCTGACCTGGACTCCATCCCACCCACCCCCTGTTTCCTGGCCCACAGGTGATCTCAGGCAATGAGGACCCTGAGGGAGTGGTGCTGAAGGACCTTGGGCCCCCCATGGTTGCCCGACTGGTTCGCTTCTACCCCCGGGCTGACCGGGTCATGAGCGTCTGTCTGCGGGTAGAGCTCTATGGCTGCCTCTGGAGGGGTGAGTGGCTCAGCTTCCTGGGAATCTGTTTCCTGAGCAGGGGACTGGAGGGTGGGGAGTGTGGAGAATGGGCATCCAGGATCCCTTCTCCTGCTGGGAAGCTGTCACTCTGAGGAGGGGGCTAGCCAGCATTGTCTCCTCCATGCCAATGAGCCAGTGGAGAGATACAAGAAGGGACCTGAAACCTGCCCAGGCCTGATGCAGGGATGGGGGATGGAGCCTTAGTGCCTCTGACCCCCATCCTCTCACCCTGCCCCAGATGGACTCCTGTCTTACACCGCCCCTGTGGGGCAGACAATGTATTTATCTGAGGCCGTGTACCTCAACGACTCCACCTATGACGGACATACCGTGGGCGGGTAAGAAAGGCCCCTGCAGGATATGGAGTTTGGGGTGGGAGGGAGGACTGTGTGTGTGTGTGTGTGTGTGTGTGTGTGTGTGAGTGTGTGTGTGTAGGGGGGCTGGTAAGTAGGGTGGGGAGTGAGATGGAAGAGCTGAGAAGAGGGATGGGTTAGGTGGGGCCTCAAAGGGTAGCACTAGGGTGACCACTAGCCCGTATGACACTGTATGAAAAAGGCACCCCTTTGCTAACACACATTGTTGGAAATTGCTGCAATAAATATACACATCATAGATTGAAATGGTGCCCCTTAGAGGTGGTGCCTTTGTGCTGGATGTGACCTGCAAGGTACCTGTAGTGCTGGGGTGGGGTGGAGAGAGGAGAAGGGCCAGCTGCATGAGTGTGAGGTGGGATGGGAATGGGACTAGTGGATGGGAGCCAGGCTGGCCATGCCACTGTGCCGGAGGGTGGCGGAGCAGAATGCCTGGATGTCAAGACCCTCTTCCCTTCCAACCTCCTCTTCCTTGGTCCCCTCTTCTCCAGACTGCAGTATGGGGGTCTGGGCCAGCTGGCAGATGGTGTGGTGGGGCTGGATGACTTTAGGAAGAGTCAGGAGCTGCGGGTCTGGCCAGGCTATGACTATGTGGGATGGAGCAACCACAGCTTCTCCAGTGGCTATGTGGAGATGGAGTTTGAGTTTGACCGGCTGAGGGCCTTCCAGGCTATGCAGGTGAGTGAGTCCGGCTCTCGAGGAGGGCTCTGAAGCCATGCAGGGTGCCGTTGGGGTGCCCCCACCACTCCTAGCCTTGACCCTGTGCCCTCTTCCCTTCCCCCCAGGTCCACTGTAACAACATGCACACGCTGGGAGCCCGTCTGCCTGGCGGGGTGGAATGTCGCTTCCGGCGTGGCCCTGCCATGGCCTGGGAGGGGGAGCCCATGCGCCACAACCTAGGGGGCAACCTGGGGGACCCCAGAGCCCGGGCTGTCTCAGTGCCCCTTGGCGGCCGTGTGGCTCGCTTTCTGCAGTGCCGCTTCCTCTTTGCGGGGCCCTGGTTACTCTTCAGCGAAATCTCCTTCATCTCTGGTAAGCCCTGGAGTAGCCCAGTCTCCAGTCCCTGAAATTGACAACTGATTTCATTCCTAACCCTGCAGTGTCCCTAAAATACTCATTCCTTGCATTATATCTACCCATCACCCACCGAAACTTCTCAATTAGGGGTGCCCCAAATAACTTGAGCCCCTTTCTGCCTCTTGTTCTCTGCGTATCCATCTTTCCTTTGTAAGCCCCTTGCCCGTGACTATTATTGAGCCAGTATGACAGTACTGGTTGTTAAAATATTGAAATACTTCTGTATTAGTTGAGAAATAGCCTCTTCTCTAAGCCTCCAGATACCTGTCCTCCACCTCCCCACAATCCAGCAACTATAGGGTTAACACCCACCACAGCTGGGTGTTCCAGGACCCTGCTCCCCCAGCCCCCACTGGTCAGTGGTTGCCTATTGAGAATCACCCATGCTTCTGCTCCTTTGCACAACAGTCCACTGCCTCTGCCTCCCTTGGGTCTCCTCCTCATTTACCTCCCTCCTTTCTTTTTGTTCCTTCTCCCCAGATGTGGTGAACAATTCCTCTCCGGCACTGGGAGGCACCTTCCCGCCAGCCCCCTGGTGGCCGCCTGGCCCACCTCCCACCAACTTCAGCAGCTTGGGTGAGCAATCTTGGGTGGGCGTGTGGACCCTCTGCACCCTTCTCCCTGGGCCTCCCCCTTGGCTAGGGTGGGACCCTCCTGTGGTGCTGACCCTGCTGCCTCCACCAGAGCTGGAGCCCAGAGGCCAGCAGCCCGTGGCCAAGGCCGAGGGGAGCCCGACCGCCATCCTCATCGGCTGCCTGGTGGCCATCATCCTGCTCCTGCTGCTCATCATTGCCCTCATGCTCTGGCGGCTGCACTGGCGCAGGCTCCTCAGCAAGGTGGGCACAGCCGTGGCATGTGGAGTGGCGGGGGGAGGCCAGGCCCCAGCACGAGCCAGCGTCCAGTGGGACCTGCAGGGCACAGCCCACTAGCATCCCAAGAGGAGGGCTTAGTAAAGAGACCACTTACACCATGTCAAAGAGGGTATGGGGCTCACAGGGAGGGCTGCTCCCCAGCTCTGGGTCTGCTCAGCGGAGAGGAGCAAATACCACGACCCAGAGGAGAGAGCCTGTGGAGAGGGCACCTTGACAGGGGCAGTAGACTTTGGTCCTGGGATGCAGCTGGCCCGTATCTACCCCTCAGGGAGGGCCTGGGAGAATAGATGCCCTGACCTCACTTTCTGCCCCAAACTCCTGCTGGGCTCCTCTCTGGCTAACCCAAACCAGGCCTGTTGGTGCAGTGTACACTGGTCAGCCTTGGGGCAGAAGCAGGGTAGAGACAGGCAGAGAGTGGGGTTGGAGGGGCAAAGGGAAGACGTCTGGCACACCCCAAGCCACGTCTTCCGGCTGGAGTCCAGTGGCAGTAATATACATTAAGGTTGATGACTGGACACGGTGGCTCATGCCTGTAATCCTAGCACTTTGGGAGGCCGAGGCGGGAGGATCACCTGAGGTCAAGAGTTCGAGACCAGCCTGACCAACATGGTGAAATCCCATCTCTACTAAGAATACAAAATTAGCCAGGCATGGTGGCTGATGCCTGTAATCCCAGCTACTCAGGAGGCTGAGGCATGAATCTCTTGAACCTGGGAGGCGAAGGTTGCAGTGAGCTGAGATCATGCCATTTCACTTCAGCCTGGGCGACAAGAGCAAAATTCCATCTCAAAAAAACAAACAAACAAAAAAAAAACGGTTGATAGTTATGGACTGGGCAGATGAGGGTTAGAATCTCATTGTGGGACAGGGAAGTTACCTCCATGCTCTTGAGCTTCACTTTCTCTGCCTGTAAGATGGTGCTGATAGTATCCACAGCTGTAGGGCTCTTGTGAGGGCTGAGGGAGGGAACGCAGGGATGGACACAGCAGAGGGCCAGGCCGTGTGTGCTGAGCAACACGGGTGATGCCTCCCATCCCTATGACAAGGCTGAACGGAGGGTGTTGGAAGAGGAGCTGACGGTTCACCTCTCTGTCCCTGGGGACACTATCCTCATCAACAACCGCCCAGGTCCTAGAGAGCCACCCCCGTACCAGGAGCCCCGGCCTCGTGGGAATCCGCCCCACTCCGCTCCCTGTGTCCCCAATGGCTCTGGTAAGACCTGCCTTGTTCCAGTCGCACCTCTGTCCTCTCTGCTGTTTTCTTATTGTATCCCTTTCCCATTCTCTTTTTTTCCTGTCTTCCCCAGTTTCCACTTGTTTTCTTCTTTCTGTGCCCCTGGTTACTGTCTATATCACTCTTTGTCCCTACCATGTAGTCTCTCTCAAGAGTTCCCCATGTATTACCCATAGTCCCCCGTGGTGCTATCTTGTCTGTGTCCCACAGACATCTCTCTATCTTTGTTGTACCCTCTCATTGTGTCTCCCTGGCCCCTTTGCTTTGTATTAGACTCACCATGTTTGTTCCTTCATCTATCCTCCATCACCCATCCTTCCATCCATAGTCATACATCCTTGCATCCATCCATCAATCTTCCATCATCTGTCTTTCTATCTATATTCATAAATCTATTCATCCATCCATCCACCCACCCATATCCATCATCCATCTATCCATCTATATTCACACATCCATCTTTCCATCTGTTATCCATCCATCCAACAAAACATCTGTTTACCATCCATCCATCTATTCATACGTCCCATCTGTCCATGCATTCATTATCCAGCCAGCCGTCCGTCACTCTGCAGATCCTTGTTTTATCCTGTCTGTCTCTTAATGCAATCATCCCATCAGCCCTGGTCTTGCCCTATTCAAGGTCTCCCTGTCTGTCTAGCCTTGAGTCTCATCCCTTCCCCGTGTTTCCCCTCCTCCTTCTCCCGACAGCGTTGCTGCTCTCCAATCCAGCCTACCGCCTCCTTCTGGCCACTTACGCCCGTCCCCCTCGAGGCCCGGGCCCCCCCACACCCGCCTGGGCCAAACCCACCAACACCCAGGGTAAGCCCCTCTGCCCCTGGGCTCCGCCAGGCTCCCCATACCTCTACTGGGGCAGGGAAAAGCCCTCACACCTTGCACTTCCTCCTCTCCCCACTGTGGCCTATTCTGCTCTCCTGAGCTCCCAAGGAGGAAGCTCTTGTGCCCTTAGCTCATCTCTGCTGCTGCTTGCTCTTTTTTAAGGTCCCCCCCTTGAGCTGAGGAGTAGAAAGCTTACTGGTCCCCAGCTCTTCTCCCTCCTCCTCTTCCACGCCATCTCTTCAGCTCTCCAGAGCTAGACAGGAGGTTGCTGTGGTGGCCCCAGACTATAGTAACTCCTCCTTTATTCTCCACTCTCTCTAGAGCTGCGAGGAGGAGGGCTCTCACCCCGGGCGCTTGCCCTTTCCCTCACATGTGTCCTCTCTCTGCAGTCCCAGAGGTGAAGGCTCATGCCCCAACCCTTTCCATCTGCCCCTCTTCTCCTCAGTGTTGCCTTCTCATTGTGGCCCCTTCCCCAGGGCTAAGAGGGGACAGCTCTGCTTCCTCTCCTGTCTGTAGACAACTTGTGTTGGGGCTGTGAGCAGCTGTTACCCTCCCTCCTCTCTGTGTGCCTCTGTCTCTGCTTGTTGTTGAGCTTGGTGTGTTGGGTTGAAAGGGTTGGGAGGGCTTGGCCCCAGGGGGAGCCAGGCTGAAAGCCACGGGAGAGCAGCTAAGTGAAGGGGAGGGAGCTGTGGTGAACGGGACAAGGGTTTGGAAGGTGGAGGGTGCCTGGATGCTGGGACCATCCTGAGGCGGGAGAATTCCTGGGGAGGAATTCTTCTTCCAGCCAAGATTTATCTCACAGTCTCTTGAGAGACCCTAGGGAGGCCCTAAAAGAGTAAGACTTTATGACAGTTTTGCTCAACCATATTCATTGCCTTGAAAAGCTCTGGAATAGCTAACTCTCGTCCCATGCCAGTGTCTTCCTGGTTTGAGGTTGGCGCATGGAATACTGGGAAGATACAGCATAGACCCAGTCTCTCACTCAACCGGGAGACACAGGGCCCTCCGGGAGGCTGAGGTGTGGGGAACTATAGCTCTTGGGCTGTTCCTGATGCCTCGTCCTGTCTTCTTTCCCCTCACCCCTGCAGCCTACAGTGGGGACTATATGGAGCCTGAGAAGCCAGGCGCCCCGCTTCTGCCCCCACCTCCCCAGAACAGCGTCCCCCATTATGCCGAGGCTGACATTGTTACCCTGCAGGGCGTCACCGGGGGCAACACCTATGCTGTGCCTGCACTGCCCCCAGGGGCAGTCGGGGATGGGCCCCCCAGAGTGGATTTCCCTCGATCTCGACTCCGCTTCAAGGAGAAGCTTGGCGAGGGCCAGTTTGGGGAGGTAAGGAGGGTGCCTACCCAGTGTCTGGCCCTATTGTGTGCTCTGATGCCATGCCTGTGCATCCCCCTAGCCAGGAACCTTAGTCATTTGTAACCGTGTTAATCCGTTTGACCCTGTGACCGCCTAGCAAACGAACTTCTTTCTCCAGGTGCACCTGTGTGAGGTCGACAGCCCTCAAGATCTGGTTAGTCTTGATTTCCCCCTTAATGTGCGTAAGGGACACCCTTTGCTGGTAGCTGTCAAGATCTTACGGCCAGATGCCACCAAGAATGCCAGGTGAGGACCAGGGATGGCATCTGGAAGAAGGGAGGGGAGGCCGTGAAGAGTGGGGAGCCATCTAGAGAGAACAATGGCAGAGCCCAACAGAGGGGTGGCATCTCTGGGAGGGGATTTACATGTACGCTGGGGGTGGGGACGCCTGGTCTGCCTGAGGTGGGGCAGGGGGGTGGGGGCGCGGGGGAAGGTGCAGGCCGCCCACTCGGCATTCCTCTTCAGCTTCTCCTTGTTCTCCAGGAATGATTTCCTGAAAGAGGTGAAGATCATGTCGAGGCTCAAGGACCCAAACATCATTCGGCTGCTGGGCGTGTGTGTGCAGGACGACCCCCTCTGCATGATTACTGACTACATGGAGAACGGCGACCTCAACCAGTTCCTCAGTGCCCACCAGCTGGAGGACAAGGCAGCCGAGGGGGCCCCTGGGGACGGGCAGGCTGCGCAGGGGCCCACCATCAGGTACCTGCTTACCCAGGCTGGGCCTTGCTCAGAATTCCCCCAGGGGATCTCCTCCTCTCCCCTCGCTTCAGCCTGGAGGAAAAGAGGGGAGCGTGGGGGTGGGAAGGGAGAGAGGTTCCAGGAGGGCCTGGGATAAGGAATGTGTGACAAGTTAACCCAGGAACATGGACAGAAAGGCTGGAGGTGACTATGCAAGAGTGGTGAAGGGACTTGGGCCCTGCCATGACGTCCCTTCTGCTTTCTCTCACCCTCACTCCCCTCTGAGTCCAGATTGGGGAGCACAATAAAAGAAGAGCCCCCTAGTGTTGGCCAGGCCTGGGAGATTGAGAGGGAAGTGACCCTTGGCCTCACGTGGGCATTCCACCTCCACATGGGGAGCCAGAGTGACCGGGCCCGGGGAGTGGGCTCTCTCTCCTCTCCTGGATGGGAATCTGCGAAGCTGCCCCCAGTGACCTTCTGTCGGTTCCCTTCTCAGCTACCCAATGCTGCTGCATGTGGCAGCCCAGATCGCCTCCGGCATGCGCTATCTGGCCACACTCAACTTTGTACATCGGGACCTGGCCACGCGGAACTGCCTAGTTGGGGAAAATTTCACCATCAAAATCGCAGACTTTGGCATGAGCCGGAACCTCTATGCTGGGGACTATTACCGTGTGCAGGGCCGGGCAGTGCTGCCCATCCGCTGGATGGCCTGGGAGTGCATCCTCATGGTGAGCAGCCCGAGGACAGCCAGGTTGGAGCAGGGCAGGTGGGAGAACACTGGCCGCCACTCACAGCCCTGGTCTCCATCAGTCACACACTTTCTCTGGGTTGCATTTTACAGAATCTCATCTATAATATGAGGTTCTCCTAGCCCAAGGGACTGGGGAAAGCAGGAGCTGCAGTGTGATGGGCAAGAATCCAGGAGCCAAGAGTGGGTACTGGGGATGGAGACAGGGTGGCAGAGAGCTCAAGAGATGAGGTTGGGCGAGGAAGCTGGAGATAGAAGGGGTTGGGTAGGGAGACCGAAGGTCAGGACCAGAAAGTGGGGGTGGATGGAGAGGAAGGAGGAGCAGAAGGAAGAGGTGGGCCAGGGCCCTGGAGAGAGGACCAGAGCATGGAGAGGAAAGGCAGAGCCCAAGGGAGAGGAGTTGGAAAAGGTGGCCAGCGGAGGAGAGTGGAGAGCCTGGCGTCAGGAGGGATCAGGCCTGAGTGGAGCCCAGAGTGGATCTGGGGCTTCCAATAGGAAGGGAGGAGGGTCTACGTTGCCTGATGTCCCTGTCTGTTTTTGCTGCCTTCTCTGCATCCCAGGGGAAGTTCACGACTGCGAGTGACGTGTGGGCCTTTGGTGTGACCCTGTGGGAGGTGCTGATGCTCTGTAGGGCCCAGCCCTTTGGGCAGCTCACCGACGAGCAGGTCATCGAGAACGCGGGGGAGTTCTTCCGGGACCAGGGCCGGCAGGTCAGAGTGGAGGAGAGGGAAGATGGGTCCGAGGCGGGGGACAGAAGGGGCAGAGTTGTCATCTTGGAGACTAAAGAATATTTGTTCCCTGACTCTCATCCACACTGCCACAATGCAGGTGTACCTGTCCCGGCCGCCTGCCTGCCCGCAGGGCCTATATGAGCTGATGCTTCGGTGCTGGAGCCGGGAGTCTGAGCAGCGACCACCCTTTTCCCAGCTGCATCGGTTCCTGGCAGAGGATGCACTCAACACGGTGTGAATCACACATCCAGCTGCCCCTCCCTCAGGGAGCGATCCAGGGGAAGCCAGTGACACTAAAACAAGAGGACACAATGGCACCTCTGCCCTTCCCCTCCCGACAGCCCATCACCTCTAATAGAGGCAGTGAGACTGCAGGTGGGCTGGGCCCACCCAGGGAGCTGATGCCCCTTCTCCCCTTCCTGGACACACTCTCATGTCCCCTTCCTGTTCTTCCTTCCTAGAAGCCCCTGTCGCCCACCCAGCTGGTCCTGTGGATGGGATCCTCTCCACCCTCCTCTAGCCATCCCTTGGGGAAGGGTGGGGAGAAATATAGGATAGACACTGGACATGGCCCATTGGAGCACCTGGGCCCCACTGGACAACACTGATTCCTGGAGAGGTGGCTGCGCCCCCAGCTTCTCTCTCCCTGTCACACACTGGACCCCACTGGCTGAGAATCTGGGGGTGAGGAGGACAAGAAGGAGAGGAAAATGTTTCCTTGTGCCTGCTCCTGTACTTGTCCTCAGCTTGGGCTTCTTCCTCCTCCATCACCTGAAACACTGGACCTGGGGGTAGCCCCGCCCCAGCCCTCAGTCACCCCCACTTCCCACTTGCAGTCTTGTAGCTAGAACTTCTCTAAGCCTATACGTTTCTGTGGAGTAAATATTGGGATTGGGGGGAAAGAGGGAGCAACGGCCCATAGCCTTGGGGTTGGACATCTCTAGTGTAGCTGCCACATTGATTTTTCTATAATCACTTGGGGTTTGTACATTTTTGGGGGGAGAGACACAGATTTTTACACTAATATATGGACCTAGCTTGAGGCAATTTTAATCCCCTGCACTAGGCAGGTAATAATAAAGGTTGAGTTTTCCACAACTGTGTGAGTGGGTTCCTTGGGAATTTGGTAACTCTGCCTCCTGCACCTCCCTCTGAACCCACTTCCCAACCCACTTCCCATCTTCCTTTTTTCCTGCCTCCTCATTCCATTTCCCATCACCTGTTTTGCCCAGCATTGTGTTCTGTTTCTGGATAATCCAGGCCTTTGCCTGTGGGACCTCAGGAGATGCATGAATGTCTGAGTGCATGAACCTTCTCAACTCAGAGGGGTGCTCTGGTGGAGGCCTGGAAGGAATGCAGTCAGGCCAGGGGTGCTGAACCTTTTTTGTGCCATAAACGCCTTTGGCAGTCTGTAGAGGTCTACTGAGTCCTCCTCAGAATTAGGTTTTAAAACCTATAAAATGGACCAGGCATAGTGGCTCACCCCTGTAATCCCAGCACTTTGGGAGGCTGAGGTGGGTAGATCACTTGAGGCCAGGAGTTCGAGACCAACCTGGCCAACATAGCAAAACCCCATCTCTACTAAAGATACAAAAATTAGCAGGGTGTGGTGGCATGCGCCTGTAATCTCAGCTATTCAGGAGGCTGAGGCAGGAGAATTGCTTAGAACCCGGGAGGTGGGGGTTGCAGTGAGCTGAGATCACACAACTGTGCTCCAGCCTGGGCAACAGAGTGAGACTGTCTCAAAAACAGAACAACAACAACAACAAAACCCATAAAATGTATAGGATTATAAGGGAAACCAATGGAAACAGTTTACCAAAATGCTAAAAAATTATGAAACTAATGTGCTTCTTTTTCATGTATTTAATAACAAGATCTAAAAACAGGTGTAATAAACTGACATTTTCCAAATACTAATGAGCATAAGCCATATTTGAGATTTCTACAACAGTCACAGTGAGACATAAAAGTAGCTGTGGTGTCAATTAGTGACAAGTCACAGGTACTGCTAATACTACTGGTGGTTTTACCCATATTCATAATTGGAGGAAATGCTAAACTTCTATTAGAGGTTAGTAAAAGGTGTAATTTCTTTTTCTTGCCCAAATTCTAGAACCCATCTGGCTCCCCAGGGTCTGGAAATCCCAGGGGAGAATCCCTGGGTTATGCTGATCAAGTGTGCAAATGCCCCACTGGGGGTAGGGGATAGGTTGTTGGAATGGAAACCAGAACCAGAAACCAGAATCAAGAGCCTCAGTTATCTCAGAGGCTTGGAAGGATGAGCTGCAACCACCAAGAGAACAATTAAAGGGTTCAAATTTGGTTGGAAAGAAAAAATCGGCCAGTGGGGTGGCTCATGCCCTGTAATCTCAACACTATGGAAAGCTGAGGTAGGAGGATTTCTTGAGCCTAGGAGTTTGGAACCAGCCTAGGCAACATAGCACACTCTGGCCCCCATTTATACATATATATATAAAACTAGCTGGGCTTAGTGGTGTGCACCAGCAACTCAGGAGGCCAAGGTGGGAGGATAACTTGAGCCCAGGAGGTTGAGGCTGCAGTGAGCCATGATTGCATCACTTCACTCCAGCCTGGGTGACAGAGCAAGACCCTGTCTCAAAAAGAAAATTAAAAGTCAGTTGCAGGGATGGGACAAGGCAGACCCATCTTGATGGCCATTCATGTGAAATAAAAACCCTGGGGTTTTGGTTGATGATATTCACAAAATGAGCCAATTGGATAATGAGGATCACAGTAAAGATAAATCAATGTGAAGTTGAATTAATAGGCCCTTGGGGCCTAGGTCCCGAATCTAATAGTCCTGCTAAAACTTACACAGGTCAAACCACTGTGCACTATGATTTAAGTTGTGTACCGATAGGTTAGAGTTTAGAGGCCAGATCCCAGAATAATGAGCGATGGAAGCCACGGCAGTGAGCCTGATAACCCAAATCTCTGAGCTGTCTTTCAAGCAGAAACACCTGGAGTTAATTTTTTTTTTTTTTTTTTTTTGAGACCTGGTCTCGCTCTGTCACCCAGGCTGGAGTGCCGTGGCGCAATCTCAGCTCACTGCAACCTCCGCCTCCTGGGTTCAAGCGATTCTTCTGCCTCAGCCTCCCACATAGCTGGGATTACAGGTGTGCACCACCATGCCCAGCTAATTTTTTTGTATTTTTAGTAGAGACGGGGTCTCACCATATTGGCCAGGCTGGTCTCAAACTCCTGACCTCGTGATCCGCCCACCTTGGCCTCCCAAGGTGCTGGGATTACAGGCGTGAGCCACCGTGCCCAGCCCCACCTGCAGTTAATTTAAAAGTCAGGCCCTGCTTGTCCAAACCTGCTTCTCCTCCACAGTCTACTGACTCAGTGAATGGCAGCATCATCCACTTAGCTGCACAAGCCGCACAAGGTGGCATCCCCGAGCTCCTTCTCCCTTACCTTCCACCTCTCAAGTCCAGTCCAGCACAAAACGCTGTTGATTTTGCCTCCCAAATCTCCCTGGAACTTGTCATCTCTGTCTCCATCGCCCTCCTGGCACATGCTGCCTCCATCTTGCCTGGACTCCTGCAGTGGTCTCCCAGCTGTCACCCAGATCTGCCTCTGCTCCTCTCTGGGTTGTTTTCCACCCTGCAACCACAGTTATCTTTAAAACACACAAATCTGACCCTAATCCTTCATTTCAAATCCAGCAGTGACTTTTCATTAATCTTAAAATGAAGAACAAAATCCTTCTGGCCAAGGTTGGCCCCCACATACCTCTCCAGCGTCCTCCCCCACCCGCTTGCTTTCCTCTGTGGGCCACTGGCCTTCTTTCAGATTCACCCAATGGGCCACAGTACTTCCTGCCACGTGGCCTTCGTGGCATGCTGTTCCCTCACCTGGAACAATGTTCCCTGCAGTCTGTGCCTTATTAACTCCTGCTTGTCCTTCAGCAGTCTTTCCTGACTTCCCCAACCAGGTCAAATTCCCTACTGATAATCTCAGAGGACATGAATCTCTTCTTTGTGGCACTTACTACGTGTGTAATTTTACATATCTTTTTATACCTGCCCCTCCCACCAAACTATAAGTTGCACAAGGGCAAAATCTTGGAACACAGGGCTCAATATTGGTTGAAAGAAAGAATTGTAGCAAATATCTGATAGACTAACATAGATTCTATGTAGTTACAGAACTAGAACTAGGATTAATAAGTGAAAGTTACAATAATGATGATAATATATTACTGAGCACCCACTATATACCAGGTATTGAAATTACGACATATTATATCTTACTTAATACAACAATATATGAAGTAGTTAAAATTACTTTGCACAGAGAAGAAAATTCTGTTAGGTTAAGCAGCTTGCCCAAAGTAGCAGTCAGTCAACAGTAAAGCCTGTGGGAAGTGGGTCTGTGGGCTCCTGGCTCTCTGTTCCTTTTTTTTTTTTTTTTTTTTTTTGAGACAAAGTCTTGCTCTGTCACCCAGGCTGGAGTTCAGTGGCACTATCTCCGCTCACTGCAACCTCCGCCTTCTGGGTTGAAGCGATTCTCCTGCCTCAGCCTCCTGAGTAGCTGGGATTACAGGCACCTGCCACCATGCCCGGCTAATTTTTGTATTTTTAGTAGAGACTGGGTTTCACCATGTTGGCCAGGCTGGTCTTGAACTCCTGATGTCTTGATCCACCCTCCTCGGTCTCCCAAAGTGCTGGGATTACAGGTGTGAGCCACCACGCCTGGCCCTGGCTCTCTGTTCTTTCTCTCCAGGATGCTGCCTGAGAGGAGGAGGTCATGAGCTCCCTATCACAGGAATTTTCTTTTTTGAACTACCATGCCCACTAACATGCTGGCCAACACGGTGAAACCCTGTCTGTACTAAAAATACAAAAAAAAATTAGCCAGGCATGGTGGTTCACGCCTGTAATCCCAACTACTCGGAAGGCTGAGGCACAAGAATCGCTTGAATCTGGGAGACAGAGATTGCAGTGAGCCAAGATTGTGCCACTGCATTTGACCTGGGTGACACTGTAAGACTCTGTCCCCTCACCCCCTCCAAAAGAGGTGTGCCTATTTCAATTTTTTTTTTTTTTTTTTTTTTTTTTTTTTTTTTTTAATTTGAGACAGACTCTCATTTTGTTGCCCAGTCTGGAGTGCAATGGTGTGATCTCAGCTCACTGCAACCTCCACCTCCAGGGCTCAAACAACCCTCCTGCCTCAGCCTCTCAAGTAGCTGGGCCTACAGGCATGCACCCTCATGCCCAGCTAATTTTTTTATTTTTTGTAGAGACAGGGTTTCACCATGTTGCCCAGGCTGGTCTCAAACTTCGGGGCTCAAGTGATCTGCCTGGCTTGGCCTCCCTTCAAAGTGCTGAGATTACAGGCGTGAGCTACTGGACCCGGCCTCAATTTTCAGCAAAAGTGTATGAGTATGCTCCTATACCCTGGTCAACATTGAGGTTGTCAATCCTTAATTTCTTTTTTGCTGAACTTTTATATTTTAATTTTATTTATGTATTTATTTTGAGATAGAGTCTTGCTCTGTTGCCCAGGCTGGAGTGCAGTGGTGTGATCTCGGCTTACTGCAACCTCAGCCTACTGGGTTCAAGTGATTCTCCTGCCTCAGCCTCCCAAGTAGCTGGGATTACAGGCGCCCGCCACCATGTCTGGCTAATTTTTGTATTTTCAGTAGAGACGGGGTTTCACCCGCTCAGGCTAGTCTCGAACTTCTGACCTCAAGTGATCCACCCGCCTCAGCCTCCCAAAGTGTTGAGATTATAGGTGTGAGCCACTGCCTCCGGCCGATTTATTTATTTTTATTTTTATTTATTTATTTATTTTGAGATGGAGTTTCACTCTTGCCCAGGCTGGAGTGCAATGGTGTGGTCTCAGCTCACTGCAACCTCTGCCTCCCGGGTTCAAGTGATTCTCCTGCCTCAGCCTCCCAAGTAGCTGGGATTACAGGCGCCCGTCACCATGCCAGCTAATTTTTGTGTTTTTAGTAGAGACAAGGTTTCTACTAAAATGTTGACCAGGCTAGTCTGGAACTCCTGACCTCAGGTGATCCACCCACCTTGACCTCCCAAAGTGCTGGCATTACAGGTGTGAGCCATGGCGCCTGGCCTATATATTTATTTTTAAGAGACAGTCTAATTCTGCGGCCAGGCTGGAGTGCAGTGGTGTAACTGTAGCTCACTACAGCCTTGAACTGCTGGACTCAACCAATCTTCCTACCTCAGCCTCCTGAGTAGCTAGGACTTCAGGTGTGTGCATACCGAGCTAATTTCTTTTTCTCTTTTCTTTTCTTTTCTTTTCTTTTTTTTTTTTTTTTGAGACAGGGTCTCACTGTATAGCTCAGGCTGGAGTGCAGTGGCATGATCACAGCTCAGTGTAGCCTTGACCTCCTGGGTCCAAACAATCCTCCTGCCTCAGCCTCCTGAGTAGCTGGGACCACAGAACCAGGCCTGGCTAATTTTTTGAATTTTTTTTTTTTTTTTTGAGACAAAGTCTCGCTCTTGTCCCCCAGGCTGGAGTGCAATGGTACGATCTCAGCTCACTACAAACTCCACCTCCCGGGTTCAAGCGATTCTCCTGCCTCAGCCTCCCGAGTAGCTGGGCTTATAGGCGCCTGCCACCACGCCCGGCTAATTTTTGTATTTTTAGGAGAGACGGGTTTCACCATGTTGGCCAGGCTGGTCTCGAACTCCTGATCTCGGGTGATCCACCCACCTCGGCCTCCCAAAGTGTCGGGATTACAGGCGTGAGCCACCGTGCCCAGCCAATTTTTTGATTTTTGAAACATTTCTGATATTCTGTTTAACTTTCTTTTTGCTTTGGCCAATCTTTCTTTCTCTTTCCTTCTTTCCCCCTCCCTAACCCTCCCTTCCTCTCCCCTCCCCAATTCTCCCCTCTCCAGTTCTCCCCTGTCCTCTCCTCTCTTCCCCTCTCCTTTTGGGACAGGGTCTCACACTGTTGCTCAGGCTGGAGTGCAGTGGTGCTATCATTGCTCACTGCAGCCTCAATCTCCTGGGCCCAAGTGATCCTTCTACCTCAGCCTCTTGAGCAGCTGGGACCGCAGGAGAGCACACCACTACACCTAGCTAATTTTTGTTTTGTTTTGTTTTTGTAGCGATAGAGTTTCTGTATAATGCCCAGGCTGGTCTGGAACTCCTGAGCTAAAATGATCCACCTTCTTTGGCCTCCCAAAGTGTTGGGATTACAGGCCTGAGCCACCCCGCCAGGCCTCTTTCTTTTCTTTTTCTTTTCTTCTTCTTTTTTTTTTTTTAAGCTGCTCCTTGCTGAGCAGGGCTAACTAGTAAGCAGTGGTCTGTCCCAATCTTTCTATTATGTTTCTTTTTCTTATTGCTTTGTAACAGCTTTTTGTATTTTGTTTATTTCATCAACCATTTCTTCCTAGATTGTAAATTGTCTTTCAACCTTACCTAAAGTTTGCCATAAAGAAGCTCTGTCAATTTTTAGCTGTTCTTTGAAGATTTTAAAACATTAATTGCTAAAAAGACAGGGACAACAGAAAACATGGGTGGGCTACAAAGTATAAAAAGTCTTGCATAGTCATTACCATTTTGATCCCTGGTTGCTTGCAAATGTGCTTCAAATCCCAGCTTGGGCACTTCCTGTCTGATTGTAGGGATTTTTTTTTTAATTTTTTTTTTTTTAGAGATGGGCATCTCAGGTTGGGCTCAGTGGCTCATGCCTGTAATCCCAACACTTTGGGAAGCTGAGGCAGGTGGGTCACCTGAGGTCAGGAGTTTGAGACTAGCCTGGCCAACATGTTGAAACCCTATCTCTACTAAAAATACCAGAATTAGCCGGGCGTGGTGGCACACACCTGTAGTCCCAGCTACTTGGGAGGCTGAGGTAAGAGAATCGCTTGAACCCGGGAGGCTGAGGTTGCCGTGAGCTGAGATCATGCAACTGCACTCCAGCCTGGGTGACAGAGTGAGAGACTCCGTTTCAAAAAAAAAAAAAAAAAGAGAGAGAGAGAGAAATGGGGGTCTCCCTCTGTCACCCAGGCTGGTGCGATCATAGCTCACTGTAGCCTCAAACTCCTAGTCTCAAGCGATCCTCCTGCCTCAGCCTCCCAAGTAGCTGGGGGTCACAGCTCTGAGCCACCTCGCCAGGCTGCAGGCAAATTTCTTAATCTTGCCGGGCTCCAGTCTTCCAGTCTATAAGGTGGGAATAACAAAATTTGCATATAGGAATTTGGGGAAACGTGTAGTTCTGGGTTTGGGTGAAGACCTCCACTTTTGTAGTAGGTTCATAAATCAAATCAGAGCAAATAGTTGGTGTCTTAAAAACTGTATTTATCTGGGTCTTCTAAGTAAACGGTTTGAGGAGTGGTGGAGGCAGAAATTAAGATTTACTGAGTACTTAGGGTCAAGTAAGGTGCACTGGATCGTGTTAATCGTTAACTCGTGGAAACCGCCCAGAGTGTGTACGCTTTCTTTCTTTTCTTTCCTTTTCTTTTTTTTTGAGACGGAGTTTCACTCTTGTCGCCCAGGCTGGCGTGTAATGGCATGGTCCTGGCTCACTGCAACTCCGCCTCCAGGGTTCAAGCGATTCACCTGCCTCAGCCTCCAGAGTAGCTGGGATTACAGGTGCCCACCACCACGCCCGGCTAATTTTTGTATTTTTAGTAAAGACGGGGGTTTCACCATGTTGGCCAGGATGGTCTCGAACTCCTGACCTCGGGTGATTCGCCGCCTCGGCCTCCCAAAGTGCTAGGATTACAGGCGTGAGTCACCGCGCCCGGCCTGGAGTGTGTATTATCCCAATTTTATGGGGAGTAATTGTGCTCACTCGGCTCACCACCAAGTCGCCAGAGCGCGCCTCCGCAAGGAAGCCCTCCAGGCACTTCTACTTTCCCGGACCCGCCTCCCGCTCCAGCCGGTTACACGCGCCGTTAGCAGCGTGGGCGGAGTTGGTTCTGCCTTCGCGGAACCAACTGGTCCAGCTTCTGGTGTCTCCCCTCGCTCAATTAAAAGCCAGCTCCTCTCCTTTCGGCTTCCCCACGGTGCCTTTCGGGATTTGTAGTCAGACGCGCTTCAGCCGGCTCTGAGGAGAGCAAAGGCAAGACTCCAATTCCCAGCATCCCCCGCGCCCGGAGAGTGCAGCGTCTATTCTCATCCTCTTCACTTTTCCACTCCTCCCCTTACCTCCCTTCTCTTCTGAATTCTCCATTCTGGGCTCTTGCCTGTGAAATCTTTCTTTGCTTTCCCCATCTTTTCCTCGCATTTTTTCACCATCTTTCCCTCAATCTCCAGGAGCCAATGCGAGACTTTGGCTCCGATTAAGCGACGGCCCGAGACTCGGGGTGCGCGAGGAGGATCGACAGAGTGGTGAGGGGACCTAGGAGGGCGGGAGTGGCAGAGGTATGAGAGAGAGAGAGGTGAGTGGGAGGCGAAGAGTGAGAGGAAGGCAGGGAGAAGCTAGGAGATCGGAAGGCGTGGGTCAGGGTGAATGACGTGAAGTAGACTTGGGAAGGGAAAAGAGGTGGCTTTAGATTTGGGAAGCATGGAGGGGAGAGGTTACCGCCGTACTTAGCAGAAGTGGGCTAAGAGATAGAAGATAGGAAGGACGGGCAGATTTGGAGCTTGTAGACTGGTCTGACCAGGATGGGATGGAAGAGAGAGGTGTGGGCTCAATTTTCTTTGTCCCTGTTTAGCCAAAGATGAGACAAGTCATTGAAATACAAAATGATCTTGCAAACACTGGACAGTTAACAATTCTGTCACTTGGTAATTGAGGGAAGACTGGAGTTGAAGGGCAGAAATAGGGTGAGGAGGCAAGAAAGGGAGGGAGATTGGTCAGGTTTGGGAGAAACCAGAGGAGATGAGTGACATGGGAAAGGAGACCACAGAAAAGGTGGGGTTATTGTGGGGACTGATGGATCTGGAATCAGTTAGAAAGGTCAGGGGTGACACTGGCATGGATGGTGAGGTTGCACTTCTGACGTTTGCATTCCTCAGGTGATGGAGAGCACCCCTTCAAGGGGACTGAACCGAGTACACCTACAATGCAGGAATCTGCAGGAATTCTTAGGGGGCCTGAGCCCTGGGGTATTGGACCGATTGTATGGGCACCCTGCCACATGTCTGGCTGTCTTCAGGTGAGAAGCCCCTTCATGGCAGGGAAATGTAATGGGGTCTGCGGAGTGGAATAAAATATCATAGGTAAAAGTGTAGCAGCCTGGAGTCGGGGTGGGGACTGGGGGCAAGGGTTGGAAATTGCTCTAAAGTGTGGAGGCCAAAACAGCAGGACTGGTAAAGTTGTGCTGGAGTGAGATGAGATGTTTGAGAGGTAATTGAGGGCAGAGATGCAGATACAATGCAGCTTCTGATACTAACCTTTGACCTCTGTTCCTGTACAGGGAGCTCCCATCCTTGGCTAAGAACTGGGTGATGCGGATGCTCTTTCTGGAGCAGCCTTTGCCACAGGCTGCTGTAGCTCTGTGGGTAAAGAAGGAATTCAGCAAGTAAGTCTCAGCCAGATACAAATTTCTCAACAGCTACATTTCCCAAACTGCTGTTCCTTGGAGCACTTCCAGGAAGTGTTAATAGATATATCACAAAACTTAAAAATAAATACATTTGGGAAACTCTGCATATTGCCTTTTCCCTTTTATTTATTTCCCAGCTGAGATCTTGCTTTCAAATGTATCTTCCCTCTTAAAGAGTTATGTGTGATATCTGTAATGAGGCTCTGATAAGTAATGCAGTAAAGAATTTGTCTTAGGAAGATACTAATTTCACTCTGTGGAACAGTGTTCCAAGGGTCAGCAAGTTCAGAACAGGCAGAGATGGTGGCTTTTATGGGCCTCCTTTTTGTTTTCCAAATACCCTACTCACCTCTCTGCTTCTGTTCCAGGGCTCAGGAGGAAAGTACAGGGCTGCTGAGCGGCCTCCGGATCTGGCACACACAGCTGCTCCCAGGCGGGCTCCAGGGCCTCATCCTCAACCCCATTTTCCGCCAGAACCTCCGCATTGCCCTTCTGGGTGGGTATGTCACTTCTCTCTCTTCCTAAGCTAGGGCAGGGGAACTGCTGCTTATTAAACCACTAATTAAACTTTGGGAGGGGGAGCTCCTGGGGGCCTCCCCAGAACCTTGTGGTCTCCACGTTGGGAACTCCTTTAGGAGTAAGTTGGACCAGATGTAGTGTGTGGTGTAGGAAATGTCCCCCACTCATGGCCCCTGAGGATAAGGGTGGAAAGATGGCAGAGGGCAGCAAGGAACACAGACAGGGTTCCTTACTCTTTTTTTGTTGTTCTGTTTTGTTTGTTTTTGAGACAGAGTCTCACTCTGTCACCAAGGCCAGAGTGCAGTGGTGTAATCTTGACTCACGGCAGCCTCTACCTCCTGGGTTCAAGTGATTCTCCTGCCTCAGCCTCCTGAGTAGCTGGGATTACAGGCACCCACCACGACGCCAGGCTAATTTTTTGTATTTTTAGTAGAGATGGGGTTTCGCCATGTTGGCCAGGCTGGTCTTGAACTCCTGACCTCAAGTGATCCGCCCATCTCGGCCTCCCAAAGTACAGGGATTACAGGTGTGAGCCACTGCGCCTGGCCAGGGTTCCTTACTCTTGGCCCATCCTGGCCGTAGGGGGAAGGCCTGGTCTGATGACACAAGTCAGCTGGGACCAGACAAGCATGCCCGGGACGTTCCCTCCCTTGACAAGTACGCCGAGGAGCGATGGGAGGTAAGCACTTGGGAGTGTGTGTGTCTCTGCTTGTGCTTCTACTTCCCATGGCCCTTGGGGCATGGTCTCCCTGTTCTCTTCTGTTCTTCAGGTGGTCTTGCACTTCATGGTGGGCTCCCCCAGTGCAGCTGTCAGCCAGGACTTGGCTCAGCTCCTCAGCCAGGCTGGGCTCATGAAGAGGTGAGGAAGCCGGAGGTACAGCAGCTCTCTGCTGTGCCATCTCCTTGGGTCCCTAAGAAATGGTATCTGGGGCTAGTCAAGATCAGAGGACATTAGCTGGAAAAGGCAAGCTGAGTAGAATATAGCCAGAGATACCAAGAAAAAACGTGAGTGGACAAGTGGGGATAGTAGTCTTTCTCTGCATATCACCATCATTGTCCTGGTCTTTGTCTCTAGTACTGAACCTGGAGAGCCGCCCTGCATTACTTCCGCTGGCTTCCAGTTCCTGTTGCTGGACACCCCGGCTCAGCTCTGGTACTTTATGTTGCAGTATTTGCAGACAGCCCAGGTGAGGAGGCAGGGCCACTTAACCAGCATGCTCTGCTCCTCTCAGGTCTCACTGAGAGACTCCTGCCTACAGACTGTTCCCTGATTTTCTCTTCTCTGTCCCTTTCTTCCCATTGTCTCCCTCCCATCCCTCCTCCTTTGTCTCTGCCTCTTTCTCCCTAGAGCCGGGGCATGGACCTGGTAGAGATTCTCTCCTTCCTCTTCCAGCTCAGCTTCTCTACTCTGGGCAAGGTAAGCAGGGGGCTGAAAGGTATAGAGATGGGAAGGGGAAAGCAAGTTGTGGGGCAGTAGAGTAGACTGAGAAGATAAGAATGAAAACAGAACGAACAGAGATGGAGAAAGAAAGAATGAATGTATGGGGTTGGGGGTGGGTGGGTTGTGTTTTGGACCCCAGCTGGAAACCTCTGTTCCTCAGGATTACTCTGTGGAAGGTATGAGTGATTCTCTGTTGAACTTCCTGCAACATCTGCGTGAGTTTGGGCTTGTTTTCCAGAGGAAGGTATGAGCGCCTAGATAAGTGGCTTCCAGGGAAGAAACAGGGTGGTGTGTTGCCTTTGCCTTTAAAAAGGAGTGGGGTCTTGGGGCAGTAGCAGGAAGCAGTTGCCAGAACTGAATACTTGGGTCTCTCGGGGGAGAGAAGTTGGGGGTTGAGGTTCTGCATCTTGGGAGGGATCTGATATTTCAGGCAGGAAGATGTAAGGCAGTGACTTCTGAGACAAGGCATCTGCCTTTCTATTCTTTTCAGAGGAAATCTCGGCGTTACTACCCCACACGCCTGGCCATCAATCTCTCATCAGGTGTCTCTGGAGCTGGGGGCACTGTGCATCAGCCAGGTTTCATTGTCGTGGAAACCAATTACCGACTGTATGCCTACACGGGTGAGGCGGGACAGAGGGCCCCTGGAAGAGGAGGTTGGGGGTGAGGGAATGCCAGTTTATGTTCGTGTTTACCTGGCAGTCTACAGAGCTCTCTGACATTTCTCATGACACTTGAAAGAAGGGCTTGAGGGAGTCTGGGTGTGGGGGTGGCCTCCTCATCCTCTTTCTATCCCTGGCTCAGAGTCGGAGCTGCAGATTGCCCTCATTGCCCTCTTCTCTGAGATGCTCTATCGGTTCCCCAACATGGTGGTGGCGCAGGTGACCCGGGAGAGTGTGCAGCAGGCAATCGCCAGTGGCATCACAGCCCAGCAGGTATTCCCACTTGGGAGAGGTGGAGCAGGAAGACAGGCTGCACTTGGGCTGCGGGGGACAGGGGTCACATTATGGAAGGCTAGCTCTGAGTCTGTTATAATAGGTGGTGGTGAGTTGTCTGTGTTTGAAGAGAAATGAAGGCTTTGGGTGTGAGAATAGGTAGACCCTTGAGGGGAAAAAAACATGGAGGGAGGAGGTATAGATCTGGATTTGTGCCTCGGCACTGCCACATCCTAACTGCGTAAACTAGACATAGTTGTTTTGCCTCTGTGAGCCTCAGTTTCCTCATCTAGTAAATGACAGTTCTTACCTCAGGGTTGCCGGGATAATTCATTGGAAGAATAGGGGCAAAGCATTGAGCTCAGCACCTGTCATGCAATAAATGCTAAAAAAAGAAAATAGTAGCTGCTGCTATTTTAAAGAAAGAAAAACAAAACATTACTGGAAAGGGCGAATGTGCCAGAAAAGGAATATCCCACGTTGCTGGGAGCAGCAACGTGGGATAACAGCTGAACTGGGATAGGTGGAGTTGATGACAGGAGTTATGAGTTTTTAGAATAAGCTGATGTTCCAGTGACATTAGGTGACAGCTCAGATGGCTTTCCTGCCTTCTTGCTGGAGCCCTCATGCCATTCTTGTCTGTTTTCCTAGATAATCCATTTCCTAAGGACAAGAGCCCACCCAGTGATGCTCAAACAGGTATAGACAGGCTCCAAGATGTCAGAGGCTGGCAGCTGGTGATGACATGATGGAAAAGAAAAAGGGGCATCCAAATCTGGGGAAGAAACAGAGGGCCGGGTTGTCTGGGGCAGTATTCTGAGTCCCTACAGTCAACCCTTGCTCCTTGCAGACACCTGTGCTGCCCCCCACCATCACCGACCAGATCCGGCTCTGGGAGCTGGAAAGGGACAGACTCCGGTTCACTGAGGGTGAGTAGCTTCTGGTGGCCAAGTCTTGGTCATTGGCCAGAGAAAGGGCAGACAGTTCAGTCTGCATTTTATTTTTTACTTCATGGACTAGGAGAGAAAAGCTGGCAAGACAGTTTTTTGTTGTTTTGGGGTGAGTCGGTAGTAAACAAATCGTCCCAAATCAATGCACTTTGGATTTGGCTAGGTGAGGGAATAATTCACAGTAATTTGTATTAGGCCTTTCTGAATATGGCTGGATCACACTGGTGTTAAGATGAACCCCTGAGCAGACAAGCATAGAGAATTAGTTTGTAAAATTGCGGTGGGGGCAAGCCCAGACCGCGTCCAGGGCTGCCACCAAGGAGCTGGGGGGATTCCCAATAGGAGCTCCGAGCTTCACTTTCTCGTCTTCTCCCCGCGCCCCTCCCGTCCTGCCGACCCCAGGTGTCCTGTATAACCAGTTCCTGTCGCAAGTGGACTTTGAGCTGCTGCTGGCCCACGCGCGGGAGCTGGGCGTGCTCGTGTTCGAGAACTCGGCCAAGCGGCTCATGGTGGTGACCCCGGCCGGGCACAGCGACGTCAAGCGCTTTTGGAAGCGGCAGAAACATAGCTCCTGAGAGCGCGGGACTTGGACACGGACCTCGGCGGGCGGGACTGGGCGGGGCGGGGCATCAGAACTCAGGTGTTTTTTATTTACGCGTCAGGGCTTTTCTTGTTTAATAAAGTTATGATAGCTAGCAGTGCGGTCCCGGGCGCCTCCCCGTGGGGTTTGCCTTCGCGGCGGACTCGCTCCTCTGGTCTACAGCCTTTGGACCGGTAGGGAGAGGGTGGGGCCAAAGCCAGCTGCTGCGCATGCGCCGGCCGGGGCCCCGCCCCCATGCGCCGCGCGGCTCCAGGGCCACGTTCCAGGGTCGGGTTTGGTGGATTCCTCAGTCCCTGCCGCCGCGGGGCGCCCTGGGATAGCGGCGGGGCCTCCTGGTGAGCGCGCGCCGGGGCGGCCTCCGGGAAGTGGGAGACGCTGCGGGTCCTGGGCCCAGGCCTTGGGATGGGCGGGAAGGCCTGGCCGCGCCGGGCTGTGGGCACTGCAGGAGGCCCCTGTGCAGGTGGAGATCGCCGCGGCCCTGGCGGGACTCTTTGCTGGCTCTTGGGCGCGCTGATGCCCATCATCTCCCTGAGTTTCTGAGCCCTATCTCTCATGTGTCAGTGGTCACCGCCGAATCCAGACACTCCGGCCCTGTTCCGGAAGAGCCCTGATATCCGTGGCTCCATGGCGCTGTCTGTCGATACCATGCACTCTAGCTCTCAAGGAGGAAAGGTTTTGTGGAAGGGAATAGAGACTTGGAATAACAGACCTGTGCTAATTAGAGACGGGAAAGATGGAACAAGGGGAGTGACCCTTCTCCACCCCCATATCCTAATGTGCTCTCTCTCTATCCAGAACAGATCTCGGCCCCTTTCCAAACACTCCTGATGCCTCATTTGCCTCTCGCTTCTTTTCGACCACCATTTTGGGGGCTGAGGCACTCACGGGGCCTCCCCAGGTTTCACTCCGTTTCTACACAGTCGGAGCCCCATGGATCTCCCATCTCCCGGAGGAACCGTGAAGCCAAACAGAAGCGCCTGCGAGAGAAGCAGGCTACTCTGGAGGCTGAGATAGCAGGGGAGAGCAAGGTTAGGGGTCAGACAGCTTGTCCTTGGGTTTCTGAGACTTGGGAGGGGCTGGAGGAGACCGGCTGAAATGCAGTCTGGGGTATACTGGATCCCAGCCTCTTCTGCTTTCTCTTCTCAGTCACCTGCAGAATCCATTAAGGCCTGGAGGCCTAAGGAGTTAGTATTGTATGAAATCCCTACGAAACCCGGTGAAAAGAAAGGTAAGTAGAATAAGTAAGAAGGCCTTTTCTTTCACATATGTGTTGCCCATTTGGCCTGCCGAAATGCAGCCTGGGAACAAGTTCAGTGGTTAGTGGAGCTCTCCTCTGCCTTCACAGATGTCTCTGGGCCCCTGCCTCCTGCATACAGCCCCCGATATGTTGAGGCTGCCTGGTACCCGTGGTGGGTACGAGAGGGCTTCTTCAAACCAGAATATCAGGTTAGTATCTGGCAGGGAGGGGTCCTAAATTGTCTCCAGGACAGAGTGGCCCTTGAATACAACTGGACCTCAGAGTTGAGCTCACATTGTAGACCTTGTCTTCTTTCTGGCTCTGGTGTCTCCAAAGATTTCTCTTGGCAGGTTCCCCCTGGCCAATTCCCTCCTCTCCACTCTCCTCTTATTTGCAGGACAGTTCTTCCTTGAAGTTCTTTCTGTTCTGGAGACAGTAGAGGGTGCTCTTTCCCCAATCCAATTCTCTCTTGCCCCTTTGACTTTTTTTCTTCCTCTAGGCCCGGCTGCCCCAAGCTACAGGGGAGACCTTTTCCATGTGTATCCCACCTCCCAATGTCACTGGCTCCCTGCACATTGGCCACGCACTCACGGTGGCCATACAGGATGCCCTCGTGCGCTGGTGAGAGGGGAGTGGGGGCTGCTTGAGTTCTTGGAAGGGAAATAGGAAGGGCAGGAATGAGTGAGGATAAACATTTAAGCTCAGGGGCTCACAGGAGGGCATTTTTGTTGCAGGCACCGGATGCGTGGGGATCAAGTGCTGTGGGTCCCTGGTTCAGATCATGCAGGAATTGCTACACAAGTATGTCTTTTGTTACCTGTTCCTTTTCTTGGGCAAAAGCAATTTCTTCCCCCAAAGCAACCTGACTCTGTTCATTTGCCCTGAATCTAACTGCAGGCTGTGGTGGAGAAACAACTGTGGAAGGAACGGGGAGTGAGGAGACATGAGCTGAGCCGGGAGGCCTTCCTTAGGGAGGTGTGGCAGTGGAAGGAGGCGTGAGTATGATGGGCAGGACTCGGGGGGCCCAGATGGCAGATTTGGTTTCTTGCCTCCCACCACTATCACTCCTGACTTGTAATCCTTGGCTCTTCCCGACACAGCTCTGACTTCCTCAGAGATGGAAGCTCTGGAGCCTGTTAACATTTGGTGGAGTTTCTAAGCCTTATGTGTGTGGATATTATATATGCATTAGAATATTCGTGTGTGTGTGTGTGTGTGTGTATATTTTTATATATATATATATATTTTCTTTCTCTTTACTTACCCCAATTTCTCTTGTCTAAATCTCACCTTCTTCCACTCCCCATTCCCACCTTTCAATTCCCATGGAATTACCCTCATTCTTCTGGGTCTGTTATCTCATGCCATCTCTGTGAAGCATCCTTGGATTTCCCACAATATGGCTGTCCCTCCTCTCTTCCTATAGAATCTTTTGCCTCTTTTAATATCTTAGAAAACCCCATACTGGGTTTGTAAGTCCATTTCTATTAGCCTCTAGAGGCTAGATCAATGCCATCCTCACTTGATTTTCCTCCAACACCTGGCATTGCTGGGGGCATCGCTGGGCCTGGTACATAGGAAGTGCTTGGGAAGTGTTTGCTGACAAGGATCTCTCTGGGCACAGGAAAGGTGGAGAGATCTGTGAGCAGCTGCGAGCTCTGGGTGCCTCCCTGGACTGGGATCGAGAGTGTTTTACCATGGATGTTGTGAGTGTTCTGTGCCTTGGTCCCTGTGAGTGATGGGCGATGTTTAGGGATCTGTGTGGGGCAGGGAGGCAGCAATGCCTGGGTCCCTGAGCAGGGTGATGGGCTGAGAAGTGGCTCTTAGAGGTGGACACTCAGGTCATTCCAGGGCTCCTCAGTGGCTGTGACTGAAGCTTTTGTGCGGCTCTACAAGGCGGGGTTGCTGTACCGGAACCATCAGCTTGTCAACTGGTCATGTGCTTTAAGATCAGCCATCTCGGACATTGAGGTGAGGCGGAGAGAGGGAAGCAGGTTTGTGAGAGCTCTGAGGCAGAGTGGTCAATGATTAAGAGCTCAGACTCTGGAGCCAGGGTGCCTGGATTCAAATCTGATGCCTGCCTGTTACAGCTGTGTGGCTTTTGGCAGGCCGTTTAGTCTCTTTAAGCCTCAGCTTCCTCAGTCTGTAAATTAGAGATGATGGAATGCTTGCATCGTGGGGGTGTTGTAAAAATTAAATGAGAATTCACATAGGTGCTTGGCAAGATACCTGGCCATGGCTTAAGTGCTCAGTGAATATTTATTAGAAGTGTGACTGCACGAGCATTGGGTGAGGGCAGAGGGAGGTAGCTCCCGAATCCTCCAAATGGCTTTTAGATGGATTGCAGGGAGGCTGGGCAGATGGATGAGTGGCAGAGTGAAGCCTGGGCATGAGCCTTGCAGAAAGGCTGCCCTCTGACCCAGCTTTCTCGGTGCCTCCAGGTGGAGAACCGGCCCCTGCCTGGCCACACACAGCTTCGACTGCCTGGCTGCCCCACCCCCGTGTCTTTTGGCCTCCTATTTTCTGTTGCCTTCCCCGTGGATGGAGAGCCTGGTGAGCATAGTACTCTGCAGGGTCACCCGTTTACCTCCATTTTTCCTGTTTTCTGGAGCCCATGTTGGGCTGCTAGGAACCCATCAGTCCATCTCTCACATGAACCTTGGTAGTGTTCACCTCAGCGTGGGCACTTACCCAGGGTCTTCTGGGGGATGTACAAAAAGTGCATGTGGTCACTGCCCTTTGAGAGTGTGGTGTGATTCTTCAGGAGTGCGCTACCCAGGAAAGAGATCAATTCTAAGGTATGTTTTGTTTTGTTTGTTTGTTTGTTTTGAGACAGAGTCTCACTCTGTCACCCAGGCTGCAGTGCAATGGCACGATCTCGGCTCCTGCAACCTCTGCTTCCCAGGTTCAAGCGATTCTCCTGTCTCAGCCTCCTGAGTAGCTGGGATTACAGGCGCGTGCCACCAGGCCTGGCTAATTTGTGTATTTTTAGTAGAGACGGGGTTTCACCATGTTGGTCAGGTTGGTCTCGAACTCCTGACCTCATGATCTGCCCGCCTTGGCCTCCCAAAGTGCTGGGATTACGGGCGTGAGCCACTGCACCTGGCCTCTAAGGTGTGGTTTTTACGGTAAATGTTCTGAAGAGCTCAGAGAAAGGGAAGACAGATGAGCTGGAATTGTCAGTGGAAGCTTCTTGTAGGAGCTGGTGCTCCCCCTGAGGAATGTACAGCATTTGTGATTAGGACACTGAGAATCCCCAGTGTCCTCTGGGCACCCAGCAAGAATTCTATTATAGTTGCTTTAATTAATGCTGCCGCCATTTCTTCCATGCAAATTATCAGGGAATTCTTTAGCACCAGAGACCCTCTCAGACCTCTGGTCATCAGCTTATGGGAAACCCTGGGTTCCTATAAACACTGCTCCTACTTTTTTCTAGTCACTCCTGGGGGCCTCTTCCACCTTGACTACTCCCTGCCCCTTCCCCTTTCCAGTTCTACTGCCTTTAGCTATGTTGGCAGTGAGAGGTGAGGATGATGACCAGCTGTAAGTGTTTAAATGTTTATCTTCAGATGCAGAGGTTGTGGTAGGAACCACAAGGCCAGAGACGCTGCCTGGAGATGTGGCTGTGGCCGTTCATCCAGACGACTCGCGATACACAGTAATACCCAGTGCGCTCCTGCACTCTGGCCCGCCCCGCCAATGGCCTTCTCTTCTCTTGGGTTTTAAATGGTGGCTCTTTCTCTCTTGCTTCTACTTCCTTTTCCTGAGACTTCTCTCAGTGGTTCTGATTGGACTCCCTCCTCCTCTTATAGTTTTTCTGTAGCTCAGGGGTTGACAAACTGGCCCATGGTCCTAATCCAGCTTGCGGCCTTTTTTTTTGAGACAGAGTCTCGCTCTGTCACCAAGGCTGGAGGGCAGTGGTGTGATCTTGGCTCACTGCAACCTCCACCTCCTGGGTTCAAGCAATTCTCCTGCCTCAGCCTCCTGAGTAGCTGGGAGCGTGGCACCATGCCCGGCACGTGCCACCACACCCAGCTAATTTTTTGTATTTTTACAAAAATTAGTAATTAATTTTTTTTAAGTAATGTAATTTTTAAGTAATGTTATTTAGTAGAGACGGAGTGTCACTGTGTTAGCCAGGATAGTCTCGATCTCCTGACCTCGTGATCTGCTCACCTCGGCCTCCCAAAGTGCTGGGATTACAGGCGTGAGCCGCCGCGCCTGGCTGCTTGCAGCCTTTATATTATCTATGGCTGCTATTATATACCCTCTCCAGTTCTGCTGCAGTGGCATAATAGAGTAATTGTGCCGAGAATGAATTTGTCTCTAGGCCCAAAAGCCTAAAATATCTACATTCTGGCCCCTTAAGAGTTTGCTGACCTTGCTCTAGCTTGCTACCTTCCACTTTCTACCTTCTTATTCCTGGGGTTCTCACGCCCCAGCCCAGACCCTTCCAACCCTCACAGGTGCCTGTCCTTGATCCCTCTCCCTTCCCTTCAGCATCTACACGGGCGACAGCTTCGTCACCCCTTGATGGGGCAGCCTCTTCCCCTCATCACAGACTATGCTGTTCAGCCACATGTGGGCACGGGTGAGTGGAAGTCAGGGGAGGGAGAGAAAGTTGGGGGTCCTGGAGGAGAGGGGAGGGAACCAGGAGGAAGAGGAAGGTGGGAGTGGGAGATCCTCATATAGGGTGGTCTGAGTGGGGAATGGGAGGGAGGCACAGACAGAGAAAGTCGCAGGGGCTGGGGCGGTGCAGGTGATGGGGCGGTGCAGGTGATGATGATACATCTGGAAAAGCAAAAGCCAAGGTCAGGTTCAGTACTCACCATGGCTGTGCTCCCCAAGGGGCAGTGAAGGTGACTCCAGCTCACAGTCCTGCCGATGCTGAGATGGGGGCCCGACATGGCTTGAGCCCCTTGAATGTCATTGCGGAGGATGGGACCATGACCTCCCTCTGCGGGGACTGGTTGCAGGTGGTACCACCCTATGTTACCCCATCCTTTGGGGGCTCTCTGTCCCCCTAATCCTCCTCCTAGTTTCTTATTTCTCTAGAGGCCTTCAGTCTTTACTCTTGCCGCTTTTTCTCCAGGGTCTTCACCGGTTTGTGGCCCGGGAAAAGATAATGTCTGTGCTGAGTGAACGGGGCCTATTCCGGGGCCTCCAGAACCACCCCATGGTACTGCCCATCTGCAGGTAACCTCATTTTAACTCCTTTACTAAGGGCTACCCCAAAAGGGAATGTATGGAGCTTAAGGGTGACAATAGGATGGGCTCTGCACCCCTCCGTTAGAATACGAGCTCCGTGTCGGTTTTATTCGCTATTGTATCCTCAGTACCAAGGGCCTGGCATGGCATGGGGTCTTGTGCCCCTGGGAGAAGTCACAGGGCCGGAAGAGCAGTGGACTCACCCTGTCTCTCTTTCAGCCGTTCTGGGGATGTGATAGAATACCTGCTGAAGAACCAGTGGTTTGTCCGCTGCCAGGAAATGGGGGCCCGAGCTGCCAAGGTGAGGCTGCAGTGTAGGAAGGACTGGGGCCAGGGGTTGGGGGAGCTCCCTGAGAATTGGAATGAAGAAATGGGAAGCAGGAGACCTCCTGCCCTGAAGACCTCTCCAGCTGTGGTAACTGAGAGGATGTGTGGGATGGAGGCTGGGCGGCCCAGCAAGGGCTGGCTCATATCCTTACTCAAGCCCAGAATCTTGGCAAGAGGCTTGGGAGGTCCTTTCTGAGTTTTAAAATGACCTCAGAGGCCACTCGTCCTATCTGTGGAGGTGCGGCCGTGCAGGAAGGGCAACATTGTCTAAAGTCCCCTTTCTCTCCAGGCTGTGGAGTCGGGGGCCCTGGAGCTCAGTCCCTCCTTCCACCAGAAGAACTGGCAGCACTGGTTTTCCCATATTGGGTAAGGGTAGGGTAAGGGGAGCTCTTGTGGAGATGGGGAGGGGGGACTGACTGGTTATTCTAAGACTTCACGAATGTCCTCCCGGCAGGGACTGGTGTGTCTCCCGGCAGCTGTGGTGGGGCCATCAGATTCCAGCCTACCTGGTTGTAGAGGACCATGCGCAGGTGGGTAGGAAGAAGCACCCGGAGGGCCGAGTGTGGCGCAGAGCACCTAGCCCAGGAGTCAGAGCTCCGCAGGGCCAAGTCCCGCTCCTGCCTGGTCATGTGCTTCATGCTCATAGTCATGTAACCTTCTGCGCGATCAAGGCTCCCTGAAGTGGCATTTCTTTATCTCACCCCTGGAGGAACCTGGCCACTCTAAGACCACATGAGGACGTGAAAACCAAGTGACATTTACACCTGTCAGCTGTTCTTCCTCACTCTCCCCAACCCCTTCCTACTTTTGCAGGGAGAAGAGGACTGTTGGGTGGTTGGGCGGTCAGAGGCTGAGGCCAGAGAGGTAGCAGCGGAACTGACAGGGAGGCCAGGGGCAGAGCTGACCCTGGAGAGGGGTGAGTGCCTGAGCTGGGGAGGGATGTACAGGGGAGCGGGGGCCTGGGCATCTGGGCCTTTGAGGGGAACAGATCCCAAGATACAGAAGGTAGGGTCAGGAAAGTTGGGAATGGAGCCAAAGGGGACAGCCCTGGTCTCTGGGGGTGGGGGTTGGCCTAGAATGGTGGCAGCAGTGGTCTGAGGTCCTAGAAGCCAAGGTTCCAACTGTCCCCATTCTTTTTCTGTTTCCCAGATCCTGATGTCCTAGACACATGGTTTTCTTCTGCCCTGTTCCCCTTTTCTGCCCTGGGCTGGCCCCAAGAGGTGAGGTGGGTTGAGAGGGCGAAAGTGAAGGGGAAACGATAAGGAAGGGATGGCTGGGCCCCCACAGAGGCTTGAGGGGGGCCTGGGGCCTGGGCCTCTTACTGCTCCTCTTCCCCCTAGACCCCAGACCTTGCTCGTTTCTACCCCCTGTCACTTTTGGAAACGGGCAGCGACCTTCTGCTGTTCTGGGTGGGCCGCATGGTCATGTTGGGGACCCAGCTCACAGGGCAGCTGCCCTTCAGCAAGGTAAGAGCCCTTCAGTGCCCTGCCGCTTTCTGTGACCCCAGTGTTCCCCAAACCTTGTCCTCCCTTCTAACCCCTAATGTGGTCCTTTCCACGTTGCTGATTCCTTTTTCCTAATTCACTTCCTACCCTACCCCCAAAAGTATGGAGGCCAGAGATCCCAAGGCACCTCCAAGGAAACCCCCCTCTGCTGACCCCTCCCTGCCCCCAGGTGCTTCTTCATCCCATGGTTCGGGACAGGCAGGGCCGGAAGATGAGCAAGTCCCTGGGGAATGTGCTGGACCCAAGAGACATCATCAGTGGGGTGGAGATGCAGGTGAGGACGAAGCACCCACTAGAGGGACAAGGTTTGCAGGGTTTGCAGGAGAGAGGAAGGCAGGCTGAGGGAGGAGTGAGGCCAGCAGGTGTGACCCTTGTAGAGGCAGGGCCTTCGACCTGGGTCGTGAATTGCCCCCTTCCATCCCCAGTTGCTGCAGGAAAAGCTGAGAAGCGGAAATTTGGACCCTGCAGAGCTGGCCATTGTGGCTGCAGCACAGGTGAGTCATCGCTGCCTTCCCCCCACCAGCTCTAGCTCACCACCTCTGGCTTCCTCTGCAACCCAGGTCCTGGCCCTGCAGCCACAAAGGCATCTGCCACCCTTCTTCTTCCTCTGGTTGCAGAAAAAGGACTTTCCTCACGGGATCCCTGAGTGTGGGACAGATGCCCTGAGATTCACACTCTGCTCCCATGGAGTTCAGGGTAAGCCTGGGCGAGGGGTGTCGGGGTGAGCAGAGGGCAGCGGGCACCTGTGCAGGGGCAGGGCAGGGGCAGGACTTCTGGTGCTGCTGCCACCTACATGCAGACTACCTCGATTCTCCCCTTCCAGCGGGCGACTTGCACCTGTCAGTCTCTGAGGTCCAGAGCTGCCGACATTTCTGCAACAAGATCTGGAATGCTCTTCGCTTTATCCTCAATGCTTTAGGGGAGAAATTTGTGCCACAGCCTGCTGAGGAGGTAAGAGAAAACAGAGGTGCTTGGGAGTAGGGTAGTCAGGTGTCAGAGGGCCAAGGTGGCATCTGGAAGGAAAGGAGGCAGGGGAGGGGGAGTCAGGCCATCCTGCCCCCTCTGCCTGCAGCTGTCTCCCTCCTCCCCGATGGATGCCTGGATCCTGAGCCGCCTTGCCCTGGCTGCCCAGGAGTGTGAGCGGGGCTTCCTCACCCGAGAGCTCTCGCTCGTCACTCATGCCCTGCACCACTTCTGGCTTCACAACCTCTGTGACGTCTACCTGGTGAGTGAGGCTGGGGGAGGCTTGGTATTCCCATGCCTGCTTCTAATTCCTCTGGAAATTTCCAAGGCAGAGAGCTCTGGAGTTAATAAGTTCCCAATTGTCCCCTCAGTTAGGAGAGGAGAGGAGACGAGGGAGTCTCAGTTCCCCTCTTCCTGGGACTGGTTTTGGCAGTGCAGCCCAGGCACTGTTGCCTGCCTGTCACCTGGGGAGAGGAGGAGGAGGGAGACTTCTAGAAATGTCTGACAAGTCGGTGTCAGAAGGCAGAGGGGAATTTTTTCAGTCCCTGTAGTTGCTGAGTTTGGCCCATGGGCAGGCTGCGTGCTGAGAGAGGCCTGGGAGGGACTAGCAGCGGTCTTTAGACCAGGGGTTCTCACGCTGTCCTACGTCCAAAGCACCTGGAGGGCTTGTTGACTGTGGATCCCCGCCCCGCTCCACTGCCACCCCAGAGTGGCTCCTTTAGCAGGTTGGGGTGGGGGTGGGTGGTGTAATGAATATTCATTTCTTGTCCCAAGTGGTGCTGCTGCTGCTGCTGGCTGTGGACCACTGCCCTAGCTCAGCCTTTTAAAAACCTCTGTCCCCTGTTGATAAGCAAAAAACTCAATGATTTTTTTCCCTAAACTACATGTTTCCCTGGAAATCCTGTCCCTGTGTACTGCAGAGAATTGCTGTCCTGGAGTCCCCTTCTTTGTGCTGAGTGTGTCCTGGGACTGTGGATCATATCAGAAGTGCTAAGTGCTTCTGCCTGTCCCTCTCTCCCAGGACCCATGGCCTGCCCCGCTGGCGGGTAGCAGTGGCTGTAGGGAGGAGGGCTGTGGCCCTGGACCTGTCCTCTGACCATTGGCTTCCTCTCCAGGAGGCTGTGAAGCCCGTGCTGTGGCACTCGCCCCGCCCCCTGGGGCCCCCTCAGGTCCTGTTCTCCTGCGCTGACCTCGGCCTCCGCCTCCTGGCCCCACTGATGCCCTTCCTGGCTGAAGAGCTCTGGCAGAGGCTGCCCCCCAGGCCTGGTTGCCCCCCTGCCCCCAGCATCTCGGTTGCCCCCTACCCTAGCGCCTGCAGCTTGGTGAGTCCCAAGCACCTTGGAGTGGGTCTGTGGGTGAATCGGGGGGAGCACCTTCTGAAGGGGTTTGCTGCAGGGGGCTCATCTGCAGGAATGGTTCGTACTTTACTGTGGAGCCCTGGGGAAGATGGATTGTTCCTGCAGGGTTGCTGCGATGACCCTAGGGTCTTGAGGGACAGTATTAGCATAGTGCTCAAGAGCAGGACTCTGTTGCTAGACTGCTATTTTTGAGCTGTGTGATCGAGCCTCAGTTTCCCCCATGTTTAAACTAGGAACAGTAATAGTATATGTTATGGTTGTGATGAGGGTTGGATAAGTTAGTAATAGGGTGTCCCCAAAATCTCAGTGCAGCTTTAATAACTTCAGAAGGATAAATGCTATGAACTCACCCAAAAATTATTTTAAAATTTAACTATTTAAATTTATACTTATTTGGTTTTGAGTTTTGACTAATTCATTTTAAATTCTAATTTATTTTTGGTTGGCCATTTCAATCACAGCAACTAAACAGGCATCAAACACTGATCATCTAAAACCTCTTAAATGACGCCTCACTTTTTGTCATGTTCCTTGAGATAGTGGATTTTCTGTGGTGCTGAGGACAGATCTCATTGCCCTAAGGAGATGGGGTGGATGGGTCGAGAAGAGAGCCAGCAGGGTTGGTACTGAGTCTCCCAGGAGCCCCTTTGCCAATTCTGGGTCCCCCCCATTGCCAGGAGCACTGGCGCCAGCCAGAGCTGGAGCGGCGCTTCTCCCGGGTCCAAGAGGTCGTGCAGGTGCTAAGGGCTCTCCGAGCCACGTACCAGCTCACCAAAGCCCGGCCCCGAGGTGAGGCAAGGCGGGTCCTGGGCTCGGATCCCTGCAGGAAAAGGGGGCTGGTGGGGAAAAGAGGAGAGCCTGAAGGGCCAACCCCCCCATTAGGAGGTGCAGGGTAGGAAGGGAGGCAGGAGCTGAGGCCTTGCCCCTGACAGTTTCTTTCTTTCCAGTGCTGCTGCAGAGCTCAGAGCCTGGGGACCAGGGCCTCTTCGAGGCCTTCTTGGAGCCCCTGGGCACCCTGGGCTACTGTGGGGCTGTGGGCCTGTTACCCCCAGGCACAGCAGCTCCCTCCGGCTGGGCCCAGGCTCCACTCAGTGACACGGCTCAAGTCTACATGGAGCTGCAGGTGACCAGAGGGGATGGGGAGGGTTAGGGCAGGCTTGGGAAGCATGCTGGGAGGAAGGGAGGGGCTGGGCTCTATAAAGTAGGGGAAGGGACCTTCTAATGGAGGATGGAGGCCTGGCAGCAGGCGGATGTCTGAGCCTTTTCTCCCTGTTCTTCCCCAGGGCCTGGTGGACCCGCAGATCCAGCTACCTCTGTTAGCCGCCCGAAGGTACAAGTTGCAGAAGCAGCTTGATAGCCTCACAGCCAGGACCCCATCAGAAGGGGAGGCAGGGACTCAGAGGCAACAAAAGGTAAGGCTGAGGGAGGCCCCCAGAAGGCTCCACCCCTGAGGGAATATGGGCCAGGAGGGGCCTCATTCCTGGATCCTCACCTCCTTTTCTCCTCGTCCAGCTTTCTTCCCTCCAGCTGGAATTGTCAAAACTGGACAAGGCAGCCTCTCACCTCCGGCAGCTGATGGATGAGCCTCCAGCCCCAGGGAGCCCGGAGCTCTAACTCATCATCCCCATCAGTTTTCCTCCCTCTCAGACCTGTCTTTGAGGACAAACAGATTTGTCAGCTGTCAGGGTGCAGTGGGACGTCAGAGACTATGTGGTCCATCGCCTTCATTGTGTAAATGAGGACACAGACTGGCTTGGTCGCAGTGACTGTGGTGTCCTTGAGATGCTCACATTACTGCCCGGCCTGCCTCCCACCTGGAAGTCTGGGAATGAGGAGATTGAGATAAACTTTTGAAATCCCAAACATGTCTGTTTATGGCTCTTTGGTCCCCTTTGCTCCCAGTGGTGACTTTTGTGCTTCTGAGTTGTCCCCTGAGAGCTTGGTCTGGGAAAAGAGGAGGAGGGGTCCTCACTGGAGGAAGAGGAACTTTCTAGTCATGGGTAGGGTATGGGCACAGTGGTTCCGGTTCTACCTCCTTTCTGGACTGACAGTGCCCTGGCTTTTGCAGGCTCTTTCTCCTCCACTTCTCACTAAATGGAAGCTTCCCCGCTCCTTGGCTGTATCCCTAGAGGTGCTGAGAGAAGTAGGACTTCCTCCAGACCTGATGGGCTGCAGGCTGTGCTGCAGATGGTGTGTCCCCACCTTCTGTGCTCTGACACCTGAGTGCCCAGCCTCTGAGTTACACATTCACAGCACAGCCAGCCACCTTACCCACGCCAAACACCATCTCATCTCCATGGAATTCAAGGGCCTGGCCCTTCCACGCCCAGAGTACATTCTGTCCAGCAGCTCTGAGTAGCCTGTCCTGGGCTGGGTCCTCTATGGTGCTAGATGTACAATGCCATTTAATCCTACTGAAAACCTCATGAGGCGGGTGTTAGCTCCATTTTGGAGATTTTTATTTTTACTTTATTTTTGGGACAGGGTCTCGCTCTGTTGCTCAGGCTGGAGTGCAGTGGCATAATCATGGCTCACTGTAGCCTCAACCTCCAGGGCTCTAGTGATCCTCCTGCCTCAGACTTCTGAGTAGCTGGGACCACAGGTGTGCACCACTGTGCCCTGCTACTTTTTTTTTTTTTTTTTTTTTTGGAAACGGAGTCTTGCTTTGTCACCTAGGCTGGAGTGCACTGGTGAGATCTTGGCTCACTGCAACCTCTACCTCTCTGGTACAAGTGATTCTCCTGCCTTAGCCTCTTGAGTAGCTGGGATTACAGTTGTCTGTCACCACGCCCAGCTAAATTTTTTTTGTATTTTTAGTAGAGACAAGGTTTCACCATGTTGGCCAGGCTGGTTTTGAACTCCTGACCTCAAGTGATCTGCCTGCCTTGGCCTCCCAAAATGCTTGGATTACAGGCGTGAGCCACCATGCCCAGCCCTGCCCTGCTAATTTTTAAAATTGTTCTGTAGAGATAGGGTTTTGCCATGTTGGCCAGGGTGGTCTTGAACTTCTGGGCTCAAATAATCCACCTGCCTTGGCCTCCCAAGGTGTTGGGATTACAAGCATAAGCCACTGCGCCCAGCCCCCATTTTGGAGATGAAGACGTGTGCTCAGAGAAAAGTCTCCACTGGGACCTAACCCAATAAATTAGGTGCAGGCTCTTTCTGGCTGCTGTAACTAAACTTCAAATATAATGGTGGCTTAGATGAGGTGGATATTTCTTCTGCTGGGCATAAGTAGTGCAGAGATCTGCAATAATGGGAGCCCACACCTCCTTCAATCTTATTTTCCTGCCATTCTGATGCATTGTCAAACTTCATGTCCAAGGTCTGCACCAGCTCCCATCACCATGTCTGCATTTCCACCCAGAGGGAGGAGGGAAAGAAGGGGATGGGCAGTTTTCTTTTTCTTTTTACTCTGTTTCAGCAAGGTGTTTTTTTTTTTGAGCACCTGCTATGGATGGGCTGGGCCTTATTCTGGACACTTAGATTCATCAGTGAGTGAAACAAAATTCTGTGCCCTTGTAGTACTTTCCTTCTAGCAGGACAGTCAGAAATAACATACAAATGAGTGAACGATATACTATGTTTGAATGTCATGAATGCAGGGGAGGGAAAAAGGATAGAACAAGGTAAGGGGACTCTAATGTGTTTGTGTGGCGGGGGGCAGGTTGTACTTTTAAATAGTGGGTCAGGGCAGAACTCACTGTAAAGGTGAGGTTTAAGCAAAGGCTTGTAGGAGGTATAGGAAGAGCGTTCCAGACAAAGGGAAGGGCCAGAGGAAAACAGATAGAGGCACGGTCAGACAGCTCGAGGAGTAGCCTGGAGACCAGTGTGGTGGGGCAGAGTGAGAAGGGGAGGATGGTGGGAGGTGGAGAAACAGAGGTGAGGGTGGGGAATTGGTGGGGGGTAGGGAAGACTCAAGGCGGACAATCTGGGGCTTGTGTCCAAAATGGTAGCCAGTTGGCTACCTAAAGCATTAAATAAAATAAAAACGTTCAGTTTCTCAGTCGTACTTGCCATATTTCAAGTGTTTTGGTAGTTGCATGTGGCCAGTGGCTACTATGTTCGTCAGCACGGTTATAAAACATTTCCATCATCACAGAAAGTTCTATTGGAAAGCACTGATCTAAGACCTTATAGGCTGTTTCAAGAACTTTGCTTTTCCTCCTCTGAAATGGAAGCTCCTTTCTTTTCAAGGATACTACCAGAAAGTTGCCCACCTCCTTTCTACTTGCATCCTATTGGACAGAACGTGATCACATGGCCACAGCTAGCTGCAAGGGAGGCTGGGAAATGTAATGATCCACATGCTGAGTTGAAATCTACATGACTATCCAAAAGGAGGAGGATGGCTGTTAGGGGGGCCAGTTAGCAGTCTCTGCCACCCCCAGGTCTGGTGAACCCCAAAGCACTCTTCACTGCACTGCTCTGTTTTGAGCCTTGGGAGACAATTCTTTGAGAAAAATAATCTGGAAATCACATCCTGGTGATCTCAGGCCCTGAAGTCTAGGAACCAGGTTGAGGTGCATTTAGCTGTCTGCTCTACCAACCTCTTGGACATTCAGATATCCAGTCCCCCAACTTGTTTGGGGATCCTCACAGCTGCCCCATGGGCGTCACCTGCCCACTACTGCAGGCTAGGGGCAAGTCATAAAATACTAGTCTCCTTTGGAGCCCCCTGCTACCTCTCCTTGGGGGCTAATTGTCCCAGGACAGTTGTGAAGGAAGGTAGACCAATTTTTTAAGTGTTTTTTTTCCACCCTGCCATTTTCTATGCTCCCCTCATCTTCAGTGATGCTCCATACTGAACTCTTGTTGTCTTCTGTCTCCAAAGGAGTCAGTCTCCAATTTCATATGGAGATAATGGAGGGTTGTGTAGGTGTGGGGGGCAGAGTGGGTACCACAGAGGACAGAGAGCAATCCTATCAGTACCCCCCACTGCTCAAGTCTGAGCTGCAAGTTTGTGTTTTGAGAGCTGGTGAGAAGTCAATTTTTTTTTTTTTTTTTTTTTGAGACAGAGTCTTGCTCTGTAGTCCAGGCTGGAGTGCATGGTCTTGGCTCACTACAGCCTCTGCTTCCCAGGTTCAAGCAATTCTGCCTCAGCTCCCCGAAGTAGCTGGGACTACAGGCACATGCCACCATGTCCAGCTAATTTTTGTGTTTTTAGTAGAGATGGCGTTTCACCATGTTGGCCAGGCTGGTCTTGAACTCCTGACCTCAGGTGATCCACCTGACTTGGCCTCCCAAAGTGCTGGGATTACAGGCGTGAGTGAGCCACTGCGCCTGGCCAAGATAATCTTGAGAAGGTGGTCAGGAGTGCCTGCCTCAGAAATCAGCATAAGGAGGACCCTGAACCCCAGGGGACTAGGAGTTATGTGTTGGGACCAGGTTTCCATCCTAACAGCAATCCCTACCATCCTGCCGACGACCTATAAGACAGGCTGTGATATGTCCCTAAGTAGCTTCCCTGTGTGATCCTCACAACAACCTGATGGTGCAGGAATAATGAGAAAAACTCAGAATTGTGTAAAAACAAAACAAAACAACAACAACAAAAACCTTCCCCCAAACTGGGAGGGAGCTGAGAGGCCAAAAAGTGACTCAGACAAGTCCAGCTTGGTGAGTAGATGAGTTTTTTAGGACTTACATACAAGGCACTCCTGGATGGCAGCAGGACAGCTTTAGAGATCCGTGCTGCCTCCCATGCTAAAGCTGCTTTCAAGCTAATTTTCTGACTCTGCCGACTGTGTGTGTGCGAATGGACTGTTTTCCTTGGTGGGTTCCCAGATACTCTCCGGGATGTTTGGGTTCTCAGGGACACCTGCTCCTCGGCCAGGCACCGTGACCTTGGCTCGCCACCTGGCCTTCAGGATTCAGGCAGTGGCATACACCGTTAGGTAACCTGGTAGGGGACCTGTCACACTACAGCAGGTACCATCATTGTTCCCATTTTGCGAGTGAAGAAATGGAGGCTCCAAGAGGATAAGAAACATGCCCAGGAATTCACATGTGGGCTGGTGTCACCTCATACTCACGTGGTTAGTCAGGACAGGCTCAGCTTGCACCTGGCCTCTCCTCCCCAGCACTTGCGCCTGGCTGGGCATCCTCTCACAAGCTGAACCCGTCATCTCTCACCTGAGTGCCCACCCACCTCCCACCCCAATTACCTGTGTGGATCCATGGGCCAGGGGAACCATGTCCTGGGGGTGTTCTGCCTATGTCTCTTTCTTTGGTTTTTGAGCCCCTGGCCCCAATGCTTAAGCAAAGGGAAATGAAATAAAAATCTTGTTTAAACCAAGACCTCTGTCTAGTGCCTGACTTCTCCACTGCTATTAGATCTCAGGTGAGTGACTTGCCCTCTCTGAGCTTCAATTTCCTTATCTGTAAAATAGGATAATGATACCTAGTATGCCACATTCAAGACTGCTGCAAGCATCGAAATAGGGATGCAGGAGAAAAGCAGGACTTCAATAAATGTTGCTTCTCTTTATTCCCAGGTGTTCCAAAGATCTCAATTTGGTGTGTGTTCCTATGCATGCGTATATGTGTGTGGTGTGTGTGTCCCCAAACAACTCCCCAGATGCCTTGTAGGCCTGTGACACTGGTGTTGAGGGAGACATTGTCCATCCCTGGAACCCTCTGCTCAACAGGGGGACAGTCAGAGACTTGAGCATCCAACCCCCACTTCCTGCCAGCTCTGTGCTCAGGGACCCACAGAGTCAAGCAAGTTATTGAATTCAGCATACCGAATTTTATTTATTGCCACTCAGGAGGGTGGGGGCCTGCTGAAAGACAGGGTCGGGGCCTGCCTCCTGCATCCCCGGCCCAAAAGCCCGGGCCAAGAAGGACACAGGCTTCAATGGCTGTCATGTGTTGCAGACAACATGGTGTTGAGATCTTGCATGGTGGAGGGTGACGCTGGTCCCTGAAGGGAGATGGAGGAGGAGGCAGAGCTGGGAACAAAGGGTTAAAGGGCGCGATGTAAGAGAGCTCTCCATTCCCACCACGGAGACATCCAGACCCCAGCAGAGGCCCAAACTGACTCACAAACACACAGCCCCATCTTTCCCCTTCCAAAGAACTACCTTTTCAAGCAATTCCAGGAAGCTGGACTCATAGGAGGAATTTGTCAGAAAAGACTCCTTCAGCTTCAGTTGCAAAGTCATACCCGGCCCTGCGGATCCAGAAGTACAGCTTAGGACCCAGCAGTCAGGGCTGATTCCTCCGGAGACACAGAACCTTCCTGCTCACGCTCCCCGGCACAGTTCCTCTTCCCCAGCAATGCCCCTCCAGAGCCTCTTGGAAGCTCAGGACTGGGGTGTCTCTGTCACTCTCAGGGACCATGAAGTCCCACCCCTTTTCTCTGGCCTCTTCTTGCCACAGGGACCCAGGAGTCCTGCCCTCTAGCCCTCACCTGTTCCATGTGAGCTGCCAAGGAGGGTCAAGAGGAGGACAAGGGGCAGCCCAGACCCCATAGTGGCCACTGCGCTCCTGGGATGGAGGAGACACTGAAGTCCCGGTGGCCTCTCCTTAACAGGCCTGTTTCTACACCCCACTCAAGCCTTAGCATAAGTGTTTGAGGGGAAATGGGAGGAGGAATCTGGTCAACTGGATTTTCCAGTTCTCCCAGTAAGAGAGGACCCAGGAGAGGACCATTCACTGTGCTTTTGGGGAAAATAGAAGGAAGTCCCCTCTCTTCCACTCTGTGTCCCACCCCTCCCTTGTGTCTCCAGGTTTGAGGGAGTGAGTGCGGGTCCTACAGACAGGGAAATGGAGAGGGAAGCGGGGACCAGGGAGGCGTCCCTCCTGCAGGTGTCTGGGCCCCCACCCATGCCCGGGCCTCCCAAGGATCTTTAGAGATTAATTATTAACTGCAGCTAATTTTCATCATTCTTGACACCGAAGGGCTCAGGAATGTGGGCCCAAAAGGGAGGGGTGGATTAAGCCAAGTTTCTTCCAGAACCCAGGTGTCCTGCTCCCTCAGGTTTTTTTTTTTTTAAACACTAGTCAAGTGCAGTAGTGAAAAGAGGAGAAGGAGTAGAACAAGGAGTTGGGTCTATAATGGACTGTGAACACTGCTTCCCCAGCCTTGGTGGCTTTCTAGATGAGAAATCTGGTCATGGGAACTTCCATTGCTGAACATTCTGTTTTACTTGCTCTAACGCATCCTGGATTGTCAGGGGGAGACACGAGTTTCCTCAGACATCCTCTCACTCCTGCCTTGTGCACCCATGAAAAGGGGACACCCACCTACTCCCGGCCGAGACGCCTACAGGCAAGCGCTGGGACAGGCAAGCACAGGACAGATGTGCAGAGGGAGTTACTGACCCTCTTTAGAAACTAGGAAAGTAAGGCACAGAGAGGGTAAGTGACCTGCTAAGGTCACCCAGCCAACAAGTAGCAGAGAGATTAGAACCCATCCCTCTAGCCAGACAAAGAGACACACCAGCCATGGAAACTTGCTTGAACACACAAGGGCACAGGCCAGCATCTTCCTATCTGCCACTTCCCTATGCAGCCTCTCCACCTTCCCCAAAGCCAGCGGGACTGAGCACAGAGAGACAGAGGCAGAGAGAGCACTGGGCAGAGGTGGGGAGAGCAAAAGCAAGATGGGGAAACAGAGATAGAGGCCTGGTCTGCACTGTAAGTGTAAAGTGAGGCAACCAATGACTCCCAGACTTGCACAGGACAACAGGAAGACCACAGTGGGAAGAAAGCATGGAGGAGAAGAGCAGCAGGCACAGGAGGGACGAGCAGGAGGTAGAATTGGGAACACAGAGAGATCTTCCTCGGAGAAGAGTAAGGGCCCTCCCTCCCTCCCTCCCTCCCTTCCTCCCTCCCTTCCTCCCTCCCTCCCTCCCTCCTTTCCTTCCTTTTTTTTTTTTTTTTTTTTGACAGCGTCTCATCCCTGTCGCCCAGGCTGGGGTGCAGTGGTGCAATCTTCTCCTGGCTCAGCCTCCCGAGTAGCTGGGATTACAGGCACCCGCCACCACAGCAGGCTAATTTTTGTATTTTTAGTAGAGACAAGGTTTCACCATGTTGGCCAGGCTGGTCTCCAACTCCTCACCTCAGGTGATCCACCCCCTCGGCCTCCCTGAGTGATGGAATCACAGGCGTGAGCCACCGCACCTGGCCTCCCCCACACTTTCTACAGCCATGTGCTAGGCTCATCACTAAGTATTCCTTTATAGCGCATAAGCGCCTGTGAAGTAGGTACTAGATTACCCCGATTTTAGAGGTGAAATTAAGACTTAGGCCTTGTGACTTGCCAGAGAATGCACAGCTCAGCAGTGGTGGATTCCAGTGCAGTGGACTCAGCCCTGGTACTGAGCTTCTGAGGATTCAGGGCTGTCTGGCTCCAGAGCTGGGGTCTGACCTTCCATATCACACTGTCCCCAAACATGACACGTGTCTTCCTTGGTGCCCCTTATCTCCCCTTTCCCCTTCCCTGTCAAAGGAATGGAAAGCTCTGTCAGCTGCAGCCATCTAGGTGAGACACGGCTCAGGTATTGACCTTCCCAGCCCACTCTTAGGTTTCCAGAAGGTCAGATGCAGTCCTAGACCCTCATGGTTCCCCTACAACCCCAGCTTCCAAATCCTGCTTCCCTGAGGGACTCATACGTCCTGACTTCCAACGGTTGTACTTCTAGGAACAAGAGGATGACCTTGGGATAGGTCATTTGGGTCTCCCCTTTTAAAGGAGGGTCTGGGCTGTGAATTGACTCAGACCTGGGGGACAGGTCCCTAGTCCAGGAAGAGCCCAAGGGCCAGGTGGGGGAGCCCGCAGGCTCTTACTCACTCTCCCCCTCACCCTGTGCTTCCTGGGATCAGGCTGGGACAGGTTAATCCCCTGGGACAACTTGGCGACCTCTCTCTGGGGATGGAGATTCTGGTGTTGGTGGAGGCCCCGGCACAACTGGCTCTCCCGGGACTCATAATAGGCCCCAGAGCCTTTAAAGAGCCTGGGAGATGGGCCTGGCCAACACACTTCAACTGGTGCCATGGACACTGTGCTGGTGCTGCTCCTGGGCCTGCAGGCCTTGGCCGGACCCAGTGAGCACTTGGGCCCAGACAGGGGGTCTTGAGGAAGGACATGAATTTGGGACCCAGTGGGATGGCCAACTCTTCTAACCCCGTTCTATGGTTTATCTTCTTTTTTCAACAGTTCAGCTGACCCTACTGGGGACTTCTGACACAGTATCCCCAGGTCTCCCCTGTCTCTGGAAGTCTCCCCACTGTCTCTGGAAGTCTCTCCTCTGTCTCTGGAGCTCTCCCCGGTTTCTGGAAGTCTCCCACTGTTTCTGGAAGTCTTCCCACTATCTCTGGAGGTTTCCCCACTGTTTCTGCAACTGTCCCCACTATTTCCAAAAGTTTCCCTACTGTCTCTGAAATCTTCCCTCTGTCTCTGGAGGTCTCCCCACTATCTCTGCAACTGTCCCCACTATCTCTAGAAGTCTCCCTACTGCCTCTGGGAGTGTCTCAACAGTTTCTTCAAACTCTGGGAGTTTTCCCAGCAGTCCTCAGTCTTTAGCTCCAGCCGTTTCTGGGAGCACTTCAGGAACAGTCTCCACATCATCAGGTGATATTTCTGTTGCTCAACCCATCTCGGGAGAACCCTTCAGCTCGGTCTGTAGCTCTGGGGTGGGGCTTCCTGCAAGCCTGGCAGTTTTCCAGAACCTCAGTGGAAGCAGCTCCCTTGCCTTTGTGGCTATACAAGGGCCTCTCTTTCTGTTTTCCAATTCATCACCTTTTTCTGTCATGATTAGTTCCTGTTGTATCCTAAGACTTTTTTGGCTACTTCAAGGTCATGAAAATATTCTCCTCTGCATTCTTCCAGAAACGTTATTATTTTAGCTTTCAAATTTAAGTCTATTATCCATCTCAAGTTAATTTCTGTGTATGGAGCGAGGTGGAAGTCAAGATTCATTTTTTCTTCTTATGAATATCCAGAACCATTATTTCCAAGGACCCTCCCCTGTCCCTGCCATTGAACGGTGAGCACCTATCCTGAAAGTCAAGTGACTATTTGTGTGGGTTTTTCGGTAAGTTTTTTTTTTTTTTTGAGGTGGAGTTTCACTCTTGTTGCCTAGGCTGGAGTGCAATGGCGCGATCTCGGCTCACTGCAACCTCCGCCTCCCGGGTTCAAGCAATTCTCCTGCCTCAGCCTCCGGAGTAGCTGGGATTACAGGCGCCTGCCACCACACCCAGCTAATTTTTTTGTATTTTTAGTAGAGACGGGATTTTACCATGTTGGCCAGGCTGGTGTCGAACTCCTGACGTCAGGTGATCTGCCTGTCTCAGCCTCCCAAAGTGCTGGGATTACAGGTGTGAGCCACTGCACCCGGCCTATCAGTCAGTTCTTACTCCAGGGCCACAGTGCTTAAGGACTACAGATTTGTAGCAAGTCTTGAGATCTCATAGTGTAAGTTCTCCCTTTTTTTTTTTAAGAGAGTGTCTTGGTTATTCTCAGTCTTGATTTTCATAACATTATTTCATCAGTTTATTCCAAAAACTTGCTGGAGTCTTGCCTGTGGGTGCATTTGATGTGACCTCTGCTTTGCTCTTGCTTGAATCTCTTCTGTTTTTTCCCTCTGCCCTCTTAGGACCTGCCTCATCCAGTGCTCCCGGAACAGCTCCAACTGTGCCTGGGACTTTAGCACTGAGTGTTGCTGTCTTAGGAGTTCCACTGCCACCATGGCTGGGTGGCCACCACGTCCTCTGGGCTCAGCATCCTGGCCAGTTAAGTCACTCTTCTAGGCACTGGGTCACTTACAGTAAAATGTTGGTGGGCCTATTCTCTCTCATTTCCCTGCAGCCACCCCTGGCTCCTTGGGAGGAGTTCAGGGAGAGTCATTAGCTCCTGCTTTCAACTGTGTTTTAAACCTGTCTGAGGATGTGTCTGTAGCTCAAAGGGGTTTTGGTGGCCTCTGGTCAGACCAACTGCCAGATGCCTGTTACCTGGCTGCTTTCTCGAAAGGTTTTCATCTTTCTTCCTCATGATCTAATCTCTCTGTTCAGGGCGAGAGGCATTCCTTCCAGAGATCACCCCTCCTTCTTCCATCATCCTCCTCCCCTCCCTTTCATTCCTAGAAGGGGAGCATAGGGAATACCACGCGGGAAGTCTGACGGCAGGAAACGAATGGAAGGAAGACAGGAGATCAGGCTCTGGTTCCCCTTAAGGACAAGAATCAGGGTGGAGTGGTGGGGAGAACTGGGGCTTGGAGGAAGGAGAGTGCCTACTGAGGACCCTCCCAGTGCAGAAGCATCACAGACCCAGGGATGCAGAAAATAGGGCCCGAGAAAGACAGTGAGGTGCGGACCTCAGTGATGAGTCTGGGACTGACAGACGTGTCCACAGGGAAGAGGCAATTGAGACTTGGATTGAAGCCCTTTAAACCCCCACCCCCACCCCTGCTGAGATTCTGCTCCCAAGGTGATAGGAGAAAACACCAGAGAGATGAGGTCTCAGAGTCAGAGACATCAGTCACAGAAAGAAAGATGGAAAGTCAGAGGGCAGTGGGGGTCTGGGGGGCTGGAGGCACCACTTACCTCAGTCACTGGCCCTGTCTTTGTGCCCCAGGTCCGAAGCCCCAGAAGGACTCTGTCTCAGACTGGGCCATTGTGTTGATCACTCTCACTTTGGTGGCAGCAATTGTCAGCCTAATGTACGGTATCAAGAAGGTGAGCAATGCCATGGTCCAATGTGTGGGATCCCTGTGCCAGTGGGGCTGGGACCTGGTGCCCCAGGATTCAGAGGAGAACAGGGCTTTGGGGAGGGGAATGACAGCTTGCAGGGCTTGTTGCAGGGAGGGCAAAGAGAGCCCTTGTCTCAGTGGCCGAGAAAAACACCGGTCTGGCAGGGATAGGGGGTTGGGGCCACTGAAAGAGGCGGGGGAGTGCTGGAGGCTGACTGGCACGTGGAAGCACTCAACTCAGCTCTAGGCAATGAAGGACCAGTTCTGTGGAGCCACATTCACCTGGGCTTGAATCCTTGTGCAAGTTACTTAATCTGTCTGTGCTCCGGATTCTTCATTAATAATAATACTTAAATAATAATAATATTACATCGCACTGATTATGTGCTAGGTGTGCTAGGTGCTGTACATATTTTAGTTCACAGCAAGCCAGTGATATAGGAAATATTACTCCTCATTTTACAGATGAGGTAATTGAGTCCTGGATGAAATGAGAATGATGGCATCCATCTCAAAGGGTGGTTGGGAGGATCAAATAAGCTTATGCAAAGAGAGCACTAATGGTGCTTGGCATGTATTATAGTAAGTGCTCAATATACAGCCTTATTCATTATTATTGCTGTTTTTGCTCAAAGAGGAATGCTGAGTGCCTGGGTTGCCAAGAGGAAGCAGCAGTTCATGGGAAGAGCTGGGCTGAGCAGCAGGTTCCCGGGTCCCTAGATTAACCCATCGTACCCTCCCCTCATCTCACAGGCCTGCCAGTTCCGGAGGGAGATGAGTCTGGGGTGTGGCTGTGGCTCTGTGACCCCTTACAGCAGCCACCATGAGGGGGAGGCTGCCAGCCAGCGCTACTCTTGTCAAATGAAAGGTGGGGCTGGGGCAGCTGAGCGCCTACCCTTTGGCCTTCCTTCTTCCTCTCCCAGATAGTCTCATTCCCAGACTCCCCTATCCCATTCACCTTAGCTGGGACCATTTCCTGCAGGTAGATTCCTGGGGTCACTGGCCCCCCCAGGTCTCTTCCACCCACAGCGTAAGGAGGAGTCTACTGTCAGTCACAAGATTCTGCTCTCTGTCCTGCCGCCAGCCATGCAGACTGCGGGAAGGTGCCCAGCTTCTCCGAGGGCAGTTTTCTCATCTGTAGAAGGAAGGACCAGGGCTAAGTGGTCTGCAGGCACCTTCCAGCCCTCACGGAGCCCAGGTCTGGACAGCTGGAACCCCTGCCCCTCACCCTCTCTTCCTAGTCCCACCCTCCTCCCTGACGACCAGAGAAGCTCTTTAGCTGAGGACAGTCTGCTCACGGCTTCCCTTCTCACTTCCCTCCACAGGGAGCCCCCTCAGGCTGGCTCTTGAGCCCCCAAGGCCCTCTGATTCTCTCCCCTCAGGGCAGGTGCAGGACCCTCCTCTGTGGTGCCCCCTCGGTCTGCTATGGGAGGGTGGTGAACAAGTTATTGCTAAATAAAATGGCACTTCCTCCACTTGTCTCCCAGATGCTGTGGGTTTGCCCAAGTGCATGGGCTTTTGTGTCATGTGGGCCCGGAAGGGCCAAGTCTGGTCTCTGCCAGTTACCAGGGCAAGTCATTCCCTGATCCGAGGCTCATTTATCCTCATCTGTAAAGTGAGGGTGACAGGTGATAACTCATAGGTGAGGTGCTTAGTACATTCTTCAGTACATAGAAATGCCCAAACAATGGTAGTTGGCAGAGTTGTTTCGTGACTGGCCTCTCAGCCTCCAGCTCAGATGAAGCAACATAGACTGACTGTAAGAGACTGTTTTGGGCCTCCACCTACCTCCAGGTTTCTCCATCCCAGACATCAGCGTCCTTGGGGTGGAGTTGTAGCTCAGAGAGAAGGGAAGGGGGTGTTCATTCACAAACACTGGTTAGTGCTTATTCTAAAGCAGAGATCCTCCACTTCAGCACAATTGGTGTCCTGGGCTGGATAATTCTTTGCTGTGGAGACTGCTCTGGGCATTATAGGATGTCCCACAGCATCTCTGGCCTCTACCCCCTAGATGCCAGTAGCATCCCACTCCAAATTGTGACAAAAATGTCTCCAGAAATTTCCAAATGTTCCCTGATGTGGGCAAAATTACTCCTCCCTGTACAGAACCACCGTCCTAGAGGCTTGGGTCCCTGGGGAAAGGGGGGGGGGGGAAGGGGACCAGTGAAAAGGGGGACTGTCAGTCACCCGAGTCTACATGGAGTTGCAGAGGACAGCCTGTGTCTGCCTTAGTTTCTCCATCCTGCAGGATATATTGCCTGGGAGGCAGGCTGCCCAGTTCTGAGTAGTCAGTCTTTGGCCTGACTCCACGGAGCCTCATTAATCTCCCATTAATCACATTAATAAGCAGTTGGCCTCCTCTCCTCTTCCCACCTATTCCAGCCCTGCCCAGGGCTTAGGGACAAGTCACACCAAGTAAGGAGAGGAACCCACATGTCCAGTTCTCTAGTCCTCTCATGAGCCCAAATGCCCTGAGGGCCTGGCCTCCTGCCCTCAGGTCCTGGACCTCTCTATGGCCTTTGCCTGCCCCCACTTCCCTCAGAAAGGCATCCTCCGGCCCTGGCTTCCACTCCATCCAGGCGGAGTGGAAACATTTATTGATTGCCTACTGTGTGCCAGACACTGTCCTAGGCTCTGATGACACAGCAGGGATCCAAGGTGCTTACTTTCCATGGAGACCCACAGTGGGCAGAAAGGGGTTGTGACTTCTCTGTGCTAGAGACCCAGGGAGTCTGTCCTCCCCTACTCCAGCCCCAGGCACTGTCACTGGGGAGACAAGGGAGTCTCTGAGCTAATGCTTGCTTTAGGCAGGAAGTGAGGAAGGGAAGGGGGAGCTCTGGGGTGCTCCTAAAAATGAGATGTCTGCATTTCTGTATAGGAGTGAATGGGGACTTCGAGACAAAGAGACAGCCGCTGAGCTGAGGTGGGAGGGAAGAGGTAGAGTGAAAGCAGAAGCCCCTGTACACCGAGCATCTCTTGGCCAAAGATCTTGGCCTCGGTCCTTCTGGGTGGCCTGACCTGTCTGTGTCCCTGGTGAGGGGTGTGACATATGTCCCTGTGGTTCTGTGTCTTGTCTCTGTCACTGCCTCTGCACTCTCCACATATTGTTGTATGACCTCTGAACATCATGAAGCACCTTTCTCTGCAGCGAGGGTCATTCGAGGGCTTTCTCTCGCCTTTGCTCTTTCACCTGATCCTCGCGGACAGCTCCGCCCAAGGTGGCAAGAATGACCATGTGTGAATAAGGGGTGTGGAAGCTGGGCTGATGCGGGAGAGGTGGGAGGGTGCGCGTGAAGCTGGACACAGATCAGAACGTGAACCCCACCCCATCCTGCTCCCAGCCAGAGCTCAGTCCTTCTAGAACTGAGCCATCTGCTCCCCACTTCCCCAGAGCCCTGGAGGCGCCACCCTCACTTCCCTCCACTGGGGCTGGCTCAGGTGCCTGCTCCTTTCTGGTTCCTCTGCCCTGCCCCCAGATCCCACCCCTCGGCAGGCACCCAGGTGCCTGGCTCCATGACGCAGCAGCTGCGGTCTCCTCTTATCAGGGCTCCCCTGTGGGTTGGGGTGGCTCCATTTGTTTAAGACTTAGTCCTGAGGAGCCCCAGCCCCCATGACGTCAAGACTGGCTCCATATAAGGTGAGGGGTCCGCAGCCCATGGTCCCCAAGCAGCCACCCAGCTCCGACATGGCCCAGCCGGTCCACAGCCTCTGCTCCGCCTTTGGCCTCCAGTGCTGCCTCCTCTTCCTTCTAGCTTCTTGGGGGGCAGGTAAGATGCCCACAGGGGATACAGAAGACAGAAACAGCTTGTTTCTTAGTGTTCATAGCGTTGGACAACAAATAGAAATGAATGAAGGGGGCGGGCACGGGGCTGCTACAGACAGTTGTCTAGAGTGTTCTCTGCTCAAGTTTGCTGGCTAAGGGACATGTAGTAGGAGATGAAATCCAGCCTGTGCTCTGCTCTTTAAAACATGGCTCACAGGGCTGCACCCATCCAGAGGGGGTTTCTTCAAGTTTGCATAAAGACACTGTAGAGGCTGCCAGCCCTGGATGGTGGGGGTAGGCACCTGACATTCATTGAGCACCGTGCACGGAATTCACAGCTGCTCATGGTGATTTCTTTCTTCTTCTTCTTCTTCTTCTTCTTTTTTTTTTTTTTTTTTTGAGAAGGAGTCTTGCTCTGTTGCCTAGGCTGGAGTGCAGTGGCACAATCTTGGCTCACTGCAGCCTCTGCCTCCCGGGTTCAAGCGATTCTTCTGCCTCAGTCTCCTGGGTAACTGGGATTACAGGCACCTGCCACCACGCCTGGCTCATTTTCTTGTATTTTTAGTAGAGACAGGATTTCACCATGTTGGCCAGGCTGGTCTCAAATGCCTGGCCTCAAGTGATCCGCCTGCCTCGGCCTCCCAAAGTGCTGGTATTACAAGTGAGAGCCACCGTGCCCAGAGACTCATCTCATTTCATCTCAGCATCCCCTGAGGTGGCTAATAATATCCCATCTTATAGTTGAGGAGAGTGGATTCACAATGATTATGTCCCATATCTCACAGCTAGAGGGAGGTAAGCAGGGATTCCAGCTCCACTGCCCCCAGCCCTGGGGGGACAGGTGGAGCTTCTCTCCTGAGAGCTCTGTTTTGTGCAGACCTAGCTTCCAGTCCTGACTCTGACCCATTTGCCTACTCTGGCCTTCCACACCATCTGTAAAATGGGCTGGATGCTGCTGCCCAGCCGTACCAGTATTTGATGCCTACAGAGCATTTACACTGCACCAGGTGTTGCTCTAGGGACTTCATCCACATTTACTCATTTAATCCACATGGAGACTCAGAAAAGTGTGCGTCAAAGGCTCTGTCCCTGTCTTACAGTTGGGAAACATCTCAGGACTTTGATGGGAAAATGACTATGGACAAGTTCGACGAACAAAACATACCCTAAAGATAAGATGAAATTATGAAATTAGTTCACTTAGTCAAGAAACGGACTGCTACTGAACCCGGGGAGCAGAGATGCTGAACACAGGGGCGGTGTGGAGGGCCTGGGCAATTTGGAGGAGGGTCTCCACAAGGCAGATGTAGAACAGCAGATTCAGAGACACTATCTACCCACTGGACAGTCATCCAAGGACAGAGCCATCCACAGGGTGATATTAGAGGCAGTGCCCCTTCCCTGAGCACAGTCAGGTTGAGGCCAGGGGTGGAGGCAGGGGCAGGTGGGTGGTGAATGGCGATGACTGAGGAATCTTTGAGCTGCCTCTGAAAGGTCTCAGCAGTGCGTCCTGTCTGTGCCCTGACTTGATGTCTGTCTCCCCTACCTTGAGGGTCTGGAGACAGAGGTACCACAGCTGCCCAACACCTCCCGGCCCCATCTCTCCCGCCTTTCCTTCCCCTTCCTCTCAGGCGGATTGTCCACTGGCTGCTCTCTCCTCCTTCCATCTTGCAGCTTAAGGAAGAGGAACCTGCAGGGGGCGGAAGGGAATCCACTCCATACACAGTCGCTCTGAGATTTGCTTCAGGGCGGAGATCTGAATTCCTGAGATTCCGATGGGGCCATGTGGGCGTGGTCTCGGAGAGGAGATAGGCGTGGCTGGGCGGCATGGAGGGAGGGGTGGGGAGGACAAGGGGAGCTGGCTGCTCCCATTCTGCAGATTTTGAAGACAAGAGTGAGTGGGTTACAGGTGGGGAGGGCTTGAGGCTGGGCTCGGGTTGTGATGAGGTCGGGTGGAACTGGAGTGTGAATCAGAGCTGGTGCATGGCTGTGCCCAGCAGAGAGAGAGGCCAGGGCAGGAAGGGAAGAGGGACAACTGGGATGGATGAAGCCCTTTAGTCTACCATTCTGGTGAGGAGACCCTGACGTTTGTCCACAGGACCAGTCAACACCCAGACAGATAACTAGATCCTGGAACCCCAGAGTCTGCATCATGCAGTCACAGAACCACAGGTACAATCTAGATTAAATCATCCGAGGGCAGCACAGGTGCAGTCCAGATTAAATCATCACAGAGAGGCATAGGTGCAGTCCAGATTAAGTCACCAGAGGGAGGCACAGGTGCAGTCTAGATTAAAGCATCTGAGGGAGCACAGGTGCAGTCTAGATTAAATCATCTGAGGGAGCACAGGTGCAGTCTAGATTAAATTATCACAGGGAGGCACAGGTGCAGTCCAGATTAAATCATCACAGGGAGGCTCAAGCGCAGTCTAGATTAAATCATCTGAGGGAGGCTCAAGTGCAGTCTAGATGAAATCATCTGAGGGAGCACAGGTGCAGCCCAGATGAAATCATCTGAGGGAGCACAGGTGCAGTCTAGATGAAACCATCTGAGAGAGTACAGGTGAGGCAGGAGATGGGAATTGGGGCTGGGGTCCTTGGAAGAATCTAACAAGAACATTTTCCTATAACAAATGTTATTTGATTTAATTTCTATAACACAAATAATGTATGCTCATTGTAGAAAATGGAAAATAGAAAAAATAAGAAAGAAAAATAAAATCTCTGTATACTCCCTAGTCCCCAAGCAATCATTTGATTATATCTCCCTTTAGCTTTCCTTTTTTTTTTTGTAGAGACAGGTCTCGCTATGTTGCCCAGACTGGTCTCAAACTGGTGATCCTCCTGCCTCAGACTCCCTAAATGCTAGGATTATAGGTGTGAACAACTGTGCCCACCAGCTTTTCTTTTTCTATGTCTGCATTTTAAGCCACTTATTGAACTCATACTGTATAGGTATTTTAACAAACATTTACCCACATTATTGCAAATGGAGCATGCCATTTATGGGGGTAAGGATACCAGGAAACACTAGAGATGCTCTTTTGGGACAGCGTGCCCTGACAGCGACTCCAAGGCATGAGTTGCTTAGCAAGATATTCTTTCTCCCTTCCTTCCTTCCCTTTCCTTTCCTTTCCCTTCCTTCCTTCCTTTTCTTTCTTTTCTTCCTTTTCTTTCCCTTTCTCTTTCTTTCTTTCTCTGTCTCTCTTTCTTTCTTCTTTCGACAGAGTCTCACTCTGTGGCCCAGGTTGGAGTGTAGTGGCATGATCTTGGCTCACTGCAGCCTCTGCCTCCCAGGTTCAACTGATTCTCCTGCCTCAGCCTCCTGAGTAGCTGGGATTACAGGGTCCTGCCAACACGCCTGGCTAATTTTCATATTTTTAGTAGAGACGGGGTTTCGCCATGTTGGCCAGGCTGGTCTCGAACTCCTGACCTCAGGCCCACAATGGCCTCCCAAAGTGTTGGGATTGCAGGTATAAGCCACTGTGCCCAGCCGATGTCCTCTCTTTCAAATGAGTGAACAAAGCAGATGGCGGGGACCTTTGGCACTGTGCATCGTTTTGATGTTGTGGGATTTGTTCTTATTCTTTTATCCCAGCTGAGCATCCACCTACAGTGTCTTGTACTAAAGTTGGATTTTCCTCTCTGCACCTCCTGCCTATTCTTCAGTGACCAAAACAGTTCTTTTCGGGCTATGATGGTTGTACGTGGAATGAATATCTCCTGGTGAAAACTTACTAGGGAAATAAGTCACTACCAAAGTAGATCGTCTGGGGCAGAGATGCTCCTCTTGTCCTGGGGGTTTACACTGATTTGCCTCTTGGCTGTGTCAGGACCAAGGAATCCCTTGAGCTTTACCTCAGCTTTTTACAATCTATGGTTCCACAACTGTTTGATGCAGATCTAAAATTCTAAAATCTTGTTATCTGAGTCTAGTTATGGACTGTGATCCTGTGGTTTAATGACAACTGGTATCCCAGAATTGGTGGGCCAGAGGCCTTCTTTCAACGTCTTTTAATCTCAGAGCTCAATTACTGAACAGCAGAAGTCGCCCTTGGTCTTCCAGCCTGTGGAGGTCACAAATACATTTGGTTTTTACTTAACGTGCATGATGAAATGTTGTTGGCAAGGCTTTTAAGGAGTTTTCATCAGTCTTATTCTTTCATTCATTATTCAACAAATATTTACAAAGTGCCTCCTATGGATCAGACACTGTTCTAGGCTGGAGACAGCGATGAACAAAACAATAAAAATCCCTGCCAGGCCAGGCCAGGCCAGGCCAGGTGCAGTGGCTCACGCCTATAATCCTAATATTTTAGGAGGCTGAGATGAGAGGATCACTGAAGACCAGAGTTTGAGACCAGCCTGGCCAACATAGTGAGACCCTGCGTCTTAAAAAAAAAAAAAAAAAAAAAGGTGAGGAGGGGGCATACTGGCTCACATTTGTAGTCCCAGCTGACAGGGAGGCTGAGGTGGGGGTACTGCTTGAGCCCAGGAGGTCAGGACTGCAGTGAGCTGTGACCATGCCACTGCACTCCAGCCTGGTGCAGAGTAAGACTCTATCTCAAACAACAACAACAACAACAAAAACCCCGGCCGGATGCAATGGCTCATGCCTGTAATCCCAGCACTTTGGGAGGCTGAGGTGGGCAGATCATGAGGTCAGGAGATCGAGACCATCCTGGCTAACACAGTGAAACCCCATCTCTACTAAAAATACAAAAAATTAGCTGGGTGTGGTGGCATGTGCCTGTAGTCCCAGCTACTCAGGAGGCTGAAGCAGGAAAATCACTTGAACCCAGGAGGTGGAGGTTGCAGTGAGCCCAGATCGCACCACTGCACTCCAGCCTTGGCGACAGAGTGAGACTCCATCTCAAAAAACAAACAAACAAAAAAAGCCTTGCCATTGTGGAAATTTAATTGTATTTATCACATATCAGAAAGTGATGAGTGCTGTGTTATTAAAACACAGCAGAGAAAGTGGCCCAGGAATGCAGAGGCTGCTGTTTTCAAGAAGGTGGCCACAGCAGGTGAGAGGTGGATGGAGCAGGCAGGGGGGTAGGGCTACTGCTCAGGCTCCCCTTACTACCAGGAGAAGGACAGGGCAAAGCACGAGATTATTTCAGAGACTACAATGTGGATTCAACAAACATTTAAATAGCTTCTGTGCTCCAGAGTCTTCCATGGTCCATACTTCCTTTAATCCTCACATTAAGCTGGTGCAGTCAGCATCATGGTTATTTACAGTCGAGAACATGGAGCTTCAGAGCACTTAAGAGACCTGAGCAAGAATGCAAAACCGCTGAGGGACCGAGCCTGGATGTCAAACCTGTCCTCTGATTCTTTAAGGCCAGTGGAAAATGCCCTTTGCATTGCTGCCAGCTCCTTTATTCACTCAATAGATAGTCATTCATCCCTTATCATGTTTAAAAACATCTGGGGCACAGTGAAAAGTCTAATTTTGCCAATTACTTAACCTCTTTGCGTCTCCTTTCCCCACCTGTAAAACAGTAAGATCACACTCCTCACTTCACAGGTTCATAATTATTTGATTAAATAAACAAATATATGAACAGCACCTTTCAGGGAGTCCACACATGTCAGTGTCTTTCCTTCTTTAAAAGACTGGGCTGACCTATTGGCTGTGCACTGTGGTCTTAACCAGCAATGATCTGGGCCCGGGACCCCAGGATGTGTGTTCAGATTCTGTCTCGACCTCTTACTTGCTGGGTGTCCTTGAGAAGATTACTTAACCACTCAGAACCTTGTTTCTTCATCTATAAAGTTTGGAGAATAGGATAGTTCTCAACCTCAACAGGTTCTTGTGAAAAGTAAATAAGTTAATGTATGCCCTCACTTGTAGAACCTGCCTGTCTCATTGTAGAGCTCTAGAAATGTTGCCCATTGCTATTGTTGTGGGACTATGTACAGGTCACTTTTCCTCCGTGAAATGTAAATTTCTCAGATGTAAAATAGGGGAAGTTGACCGCTTCTAAAGAGCCTTATGGAGCATTGGGAGATCAATCACCATAGAAGAGAATCCAGAAAGAGAATGTCTGTGAGGCCACCAGCCACATCCTGGGGCCGGGGAAGGTGTCCAATAAACAATAGCTATTACTGGTATTGCTGCCAAGGAGATCAGGTAATGGGATTGGGACAGTGGAGTGCAGGCCTGATCATTCAGCCCCCTTCTCTCCCCTCATTCTCAATTCCTTTCAGAGACTTGGGCTTCTCTATTACCCTCACACCCTTCTTGTCCTGCCCATATTTCTTTCAAGGACTAAGCTCCCCAGGCCGATTCTGCCCATCAGCAGGCAGGTGGACTGTGGTTTCTTGTGATTGGGAATAGGTCCAGGTTCCGGTTGCCGCCTTGAGCTAACAGGGACCAGAAACCTCAGTTATGTAATGACACTATCTCTTTCACTCTTTGGTGATCTCTTGGCCTTCACTCTTTTGGCTAGGTATCAGAGACATCTCCTCTGTCTCCATCAGGTTGTTTTTCCATGGAATTAAGGCGTGTATCTGTCCACTGATAGGGGTGTTTTCTCTCACACCCTGTCCTTAAACATAGTCAGTCCCTACCACAATCTAGTTGCCTCGTTTACTCCTGTCAGGACCCCCAAGCAGATATCTTTTCCTTTCAGGATGGCCCCTTTCATCTATCCCCAGTTGGCTTTAAATGTGTGAAGAGGGGGACCCAGTGGGGTGACCATAAGGGTTGGGTCATCTCATCCATTCCCCTCATCCAACTTTATCACCGAAATGAAAGCTTCCCATCTCCTTACTCTACCCATCCTCCATTCTTCTTATACATCTCTCACTCACAATTTGTGTCTACCTGCTAATCCCTATGGGAAGTTCTGCCAGAGGTCTTACCTCAATTTCTCACACTGTTACATTTGGGATGGTGTTAGAATGTTATGGAAAGGTGAAGAGTCTAACGTTTACTCCTGGTCTTCTCAGCTATGCCATAGAAAGAAGACTCCATTCCATAAGTTACAGACCCTAAAGGGGCACCTGCACAGTAAAATGCTAGTCCATACATGCCCTCAAAACCTTACCATTGGATAGGCATGGCAGGGAGTGGAGGTCGGCAGGCACGCAAACAACTGTAACGTGAAGTTGAAGGTAACAGGACAGAATGGTGAATAAAGACCTTTTCAAGCACTGAAATGAAGCTGGATTTTATCTGCTTAGACGGATCAGAAAAGATGCCTTAAAGCCAGAAGGCCTTGAGATGGAGAGTTGAGGAGATGTGGAAGGGGATGAGGTGGCATGCTTGCTGAAGGCACAGCCTGAGCCTAGGGGCTGGAGGTGAGAATGGGGAATAGATATCATAGTATTCAGAGGAGACTGGCTGGGGAGTCATATCAGGGGGAACAAAGAGATCCCCTAGAGAAGGAGGTGGGAAGGGGGAGTTGGAGAAGAACATGGGGGAAGTTTCTTATTTGCCTCTCTCCCTCCACAGGTGCTACTACATTCCAAGAATATCAGAAAACTGGGGAACTCTCAACATCCGATCACATATTTCCCCTCACTCCAGGCCTTGTTTATAGTATCCCTTTTGATCACATTGTTCTGCATTCAGGACAAAGACCTCCAGAGCTCCCTAAATCTACAGAAATCCATGAGCAAAAACGCCACTGCAACACCACACGCCATTCTAAGCCAACTGACAAGCCTACAGGCAACTCCAAAACTATAGACCACAAAAGCTCTACAGATAATCATGAGGCTCCTCCCACTTCTGAAGAAAACTCCAGCAACCAAGGGAAAGACCCAATGATCCGGAACCAGCGCTCTGTTGATCCTGCTGACTCCACTACCACACATAAAGAATCCGCTGGAAAAAAACATATAACACCAGCACCCAAGAGCAAAATAAACTGTCGTAAGTCCACAACAGGCAAATCAACGGTAACAAGAAAATCAGATAAAACTGGAAGACCTTTGGAAAAGTCCATGAGTACTTTGGATAAGACAAGTACCAGCTCACATAAGACTACAACTTCCTTCCACAACTCAGGCAATTCACAGACCAAGCAAAAAAGCACATCTTTTCCAGAAAAAATCACAGCAGCCTCAAAAACAACATACAAGACCACAGGAACCCCAGAAGAGTCAGAAAAAACTGAAGATTCCAGAACAACAGTTGCCTCAGACAAGCTCCTGACAAAAACTACAAAAAACATACAAGAGACCATATCAGCCAATGAGCTCACACAATCTCTAGCAGAGCCTACAGAACATGGAGGAAGGACAGCCAATGAGAACAACACACCATCCCCAGCAGAGCCTACAGAAAATAGAGAAAGGACAGCCAATGAGAACACCACACTATCCCCAGCAGAGCCTACAGAAAATAGAGAAAGGACAGCCAATGAGAACACCGCACCATTCCCAGCAGGGCCTACAGAAAATAGAGAAATGACAGCCAATGAGAATACCACACTATTCCCAGCAGAGCCTACAGAACATGGAGAAAGGACAGCCAATGAGAACACCACACCATCCCCAGCAGAGCCTACAGAACATGGAGAAAGGACAGCCAATGAGAACACTACACCATCCCCAGCAGAGCCTACAGAACATGGAGAAAGGACCCCATTTGCCAATGACAAAACCACATCATCCTCAGCAGAGTCTACAGAACATGGAGAAAGGACCCCACTGGCCAACGAGAACACCACACCATCCCCAGCAGAGCCTACAGAAAATAGAGAAAGGACAGCCAATGAGAACACCACACCATCCCCAGCAGGGCCTACAGAAAACAGAGAAACGACAGCCAACGAGAAGACCACACTATCCCCAGTAGAGCCTACAGAAAATAGAGAAACAACAGCCAATGAGAAGACCACACCATCCCCAGCAGAGCCTACAGAAAATGGACAAAGGACCCCATTTGCCAATGAGAAAACCACATCATCCTCAGCAGAGCCTACAGAACACGGAGAAAGGACCCCACTGGCCAATGAGAACACCACACCATCCCCAGCAGAGCCTACAGAAAATAGAGAAAGGACAGCCAATGAGAAGACCACACCATCCCCAGCAGAGCCTACAGAAAATGGAGACAGGACTCCTTTGGCCAATGAGAAGACCACGCCATCTCTAGCAGAGCCTACAGAAAATGGACAAAGGACCCCATTTGCCAATGAGAAGACCACATCATCCTCAGCAGAGCCTACAGAACACGAAGAAAGGACTCCACTGGCCAATGAGAACACCACACCATCCCCGGCAGAGCCTACAGAAAATAGAGAAAGGACAGCCAATGAGAACACCACACCATCCCCAGCAGGGCCTACAGAAAATAGAGAAATGACAGCCAACGAGAAGACCACACTATTCCCAGCAGAGCCTACAGAAAATAGAGAAAGGACAGCCAATGAGAAGACCACATCATCCCCAGCAGAGCCTACAGAAAATGGACAAAGGACCCCATTTGCCAATGAGAAAACCACATCATCCTCAGCAGAGCCTACAGAACACGGAGAAAGGACCCCACTGGCCAATGAGAACACCACACTATCCCCAGCAGGGCCTACAGAAAATAGAGAAAGGACAGCCAATGAGAAGACCACACCATTCCCAGCAGAGCCTACAGAAAATAGAGAAAGGACAGCCAATGAGAACACCACACCATCCCCAGCACAGCCTACAGAAAATGGAGACAGGACTCCATTGGCCAATGAGAAGACCACACCATCTCTAGCAGAGCCTACAGAAAATGGAAAAAGGACCCCATTTGCCAATGAGAAGACCACATCATCCTCAGCAGAGCCTACAGAACACGCAGAAAGGACTCCACTGGCCAATGAGAACACCACATCATCCCCAGCAGAGCCTACAGAAAATAGAGAAAGGACAGCCAATGAGAAGACCACACAATTCCCAGCAGAGCCTACAGAAAATAGAGAAAGCACAGCCAATGAGAAGACCACACCATTCCCAGCAGAGCCTACAGAAAATAGAGAATGGACAGCCAATGAGAACACCACACTATCCCCAGCAGAGCCTACAGAACATGAAGAAATGACCCCATTGGCCAATGAGAAGACCACACTATCCCCAGCAGAGCCTACAGAAAATGGAGAAAGGACCCCATTTACCAATGAGAAGACCACACCATCCTCAGCAGAGCCTACAGAACATGGAGAAAGGACCCCACTGGCCAATGAGATCACCACACCATCCCGAGCAGAGCCTACAGAACATGGAGAAAGGATAGCCAATGAGAAGGCCACACCATCCCCAGCAAAGCCTACAGAACATGGAGAAACGACAGTCAATGAGGACACCACACCATCCTCAGCAGAGCCTACAGAAAATGGAGAAAGGACCCCACTGGCCAATGAGAACACCACAACATCCCCAACAGAGTCTACAGAACATGGAGAAAGGACAGCCAATGAGAAGACCACACCATCCCCAGCAGAGCCTACAGAACATGGAGAAAGGACACCATCAGCCAATGAGAAGACCATACCATCTCCAGCAAAGCCTACAGAACACGAAGAAATGACCCCATCGGCCAATGAGAACACCACACCATCCCCAGTAAAGCCTACAGAACATGGAGAAAAGACTACATTGGCCAATGAGAAGATCACACTATCCCCAGAAGGGCCTACAGAACATGGAGCAAAAACTACGTCGGCCAATGAGAAGATCACACCATCCCTAGCAAAGCCTACAGAACATGGAGAAAGGACCACATCACCCAATGACAAGATCACCTCATCTGCAGCAGAGTCTACAGAACATAGAGATAGGGCTACATCAGCCAATGTGATCACACCAGCCCCAGCAGAGCCTATAAAACATGCAAAAAGGACCACACTGGCCCATGAGAAGATGACACAAGTCACAGAAAAGTCCACAGAACACCCAGAAAAGACCACGTCAACCACAGAGAAAACCACAAGAACCCCAGAAAAGCCTACGCTATACTCAGAGAAGACCATATGCACCAAAGGGAAAAACACACCAGTCCCAGAAAAGCCTACAGAAAACCTGGGGAACACCACACTGACCACTGAGACCATAAAAGCCCCAGTAAAGTCCACAGAAAACCCAGAAAAAACAGCAGCAGTCACAAAGACTATAAAACCTTCAGTCAAGGTCACAGGAGACAAATCTCTCACTACTACCTCTTCTCATCTAAATAAAACTGAAGTTACTCATCAGGTGCCCACTGGTTCTTTCACCCTCATTACATCTAGAACGAAGCTGAGTTCTATCACATCAGAAGCCACAGGAAACGAGAGCCATCCATACCTCAATAAAGATGGCTCACAGAAAGGTATCCACGCTGGACAGATGGGAGAGAATGATTCATTCCCTGCATGGGCCATAGTTATTGTGGTCCTGGTGGCTGTGATTCTCCTCCTGGTGTTCCTTGGCCTGATCTTCTTGGTAAGGGACAGATGTGCCCCACAGAAATCAACCTATGGGATAGGGAATTGAGGATACATTAGGGGTCAGAGTTACAGGGAATAATGAGTCTAGGAAAAGAGACATGGCAGAAGTGGGAGGAACAGTAATAGAGGGAGAGTTTTGGTGAAAACTAAGGAGAAAGACAATAAATACACAGGAGGTAAAAAGCTGGAATTGGGGACAAGGCTGTGGCTGAGAATGAAAGGGTGTGAAAGAGAAAGTGTGGGGGGTGGAGAGTCTGGGGTATGAGAATAGGAGGTGTAAAGACAAGGAGAATATGGTAGAGTGGGGAACTGGAGATGGAGCTGGGACTCATTGTATTGGACCTGGAGCTGGAATAAACATCAAGGTTTGGATGGAATCTTGAGAATAGAATCAAGACCTGAGGTGAGTGTTGTGGAAAACAAATCGCAGATGGTTCTCATTCCTCCTTTCTCATCCCAATCACAGGTCTCCTATATGATGCGGACACGCCGCACACTAACCCAGAACACCCAGTACAATGATGCAGAGGATGAGGGTGGCCCCAATTCCTACCCGGTCTACCTGATGGAGCAGCAGAATCTTGGCATGGGCCAGATCCCTTCCCCACGGTGATCTTGGAGTAGGCGCCCAGCCCTGGCTCTTCCATGCTCTGCCCCTTTCCTGGATGAGGAACCGGACTCACAATTTCTATTTCCGGGACTACAGGAAGGGCAGAGAATACTGACGGTTACCAGTATTAACCCTTCATCTGTTCTTGAAACTGGTTGGGGAATGAGGTGATAAGCAAGGAGGGTGTAAGTTTAGGGGACAAAGAAGAAAGAATGAATAATACGAGCAGACATTCTCTGTAGAAGGTAATGGTCTGAGAATGAAAAGGTGTTTGATGGACATGTTGTGGGGGCACCAATGCAGAACACTGCACTGAGTCCTAAAGGAAGGACAGGAGCCTTATAGGCAATGCCCCAGACTGACTTGTGAGTGGGGTTTATGGGGAAAGGGAGGGACTGAGGGCAGAGTCTCTGGGTTTCAGGACAGCATTATGTTATTTCCATTCACTATTACTTAAGAGTTTGTGTGTAAACAGGCTCATCTCTGAGTTCTCAGGACCCTTGCCCCCACCCCCATTTTTTTAATGAAAAAAAAAACAAAAAAAACGGATCCAAGAAGAAAAGAGAATTTATTTCCTTCTCCACTCTCTCCATGCCCTGGAGAAAAAAAAGTCCAGAAGAAATCATAAATATCTCTCATCTACATGGTTGCTTCCTCTTCCTCCCAAATCCCTTAGTTTTCCTAAATGTCTACAGTGGACGCCCTGTTGGTTTGGCTTGCTGGGTTGTGGGTGGACACGCAAGGAGGGGATTTTTATTTGGCCAGCAGTCTCACCCACTGATCTCCACCCCAGACCTTCCCTGATTGGTGTCTCAGCATTTATTTTCCTGTCTCTTCCACCAAAAGCCAGCTGTAGCTTTATCTCGTAAAAGTTACCCATCTTCTCTACTGTCCCCATTCTCTCTCCTCCCACCTTCACCCCAGATTCAAGTTTTCCTCCTTGTAGGCATTTCATCTGTGTGTGTTTTCTGGATTTTCTCTCTCTCTTCTTATGGCCATTTCACCTTATTACTGATTGGGTAGAGGGGGAAAAGGAGAATGATGATGATAGTTTCCTTCTGTCTATTGACCTTTTTTATAATAAAGTATAACATGTTTATAAAGGGCATCATAGTTATTAGACTATCCATTGGGAGAAAGTTCTGACTGGCGTTCCTGGCTCTGGCTGAGACCTTACAGAAGTGGAGGAGACAGAGGAGCTGGAGGGCAGGACTGGCAATCTATGGAGGGTCAAGAAAGGGGAGGCTGAATTTCTATTGCTCCAAAAATGGCTCCTTTCTGGGTTTAGGTAAGAGCCAGCCTCAGTCCAGGCTGGGTTTATTTGCATGGTGACAAAATGAGTAGAAAAACCTGTCAATTAATAAGCAAGTATTTTAAAGCAACTATTATATACTCTGTTGAGGATATAAAGAAGTATAAGACATAGTTCTCACCTGAGACACAAAGACAGGAAAATTAAAATTAAATAATTCAACAAGAGTTGTCACAAGTTAGGTGCTATATAGAATAAAACAACACCCTAATTCATTAAGCCCAACTCCGTGAGCATCTACTATGCCCCCTATTTATGTTAGGACACCAGCCCTGCTCCAAAACCGTTGTGTGCCCATGTCAGTCCCAACAGAAACCTCCCATCACCCATGCAGCCTTGGCTCTCTTACCAGAGTATGGCATCATGACTAATTGAACAGGTGCCCCAGTTTGCTGCCAGGCTCCTAAACGTAACTCCATCCAGAATCAAACAGCAGGGCCACAGGTCACTCGCTATCTGCTCCTTTGGGCATCCCCATTTGCTGAAAGCTGGAAACCTATCATGGTCAGTAATCCCAACCCTGACACTGATGTCACTGAACTATCTGGCCCTGGCTGGGCTGGGAAGGCCCTTATTACTGAATCTCCCACCAGAGACCCGCTCTGCTAAAGGCAAGATTGAAGCTTGACTCTCAGAAAGCAGACATGCCAGATGCCAGAGGGACCCAGACTTAGGCCCCTGGAGAAAGGAGGCAGAGGGACACCTGGGTTCTGGAAGGGGCTGGAGAGCCCTCGAGAAAAGGAGGAAGATGCCTGGATTTTAGTTGTCTGGGTAGACGGTGACTCAGCCTGTGGCATCTGCCAGGACAGGAGTGTCTCTCTGCCCTGGGAGGGATGCAGAAACCCCTAAACTCAGCCTGGACCCCAATTCAAAAACAAAACGAAATAAAAACATCTCTGCCTCTAGAGTCCTAAACATCCAACCGGACAGACCCCTCCCCTATCAAGACACCAAAATGCAGCACTGGAGGTCAAAGGGTGTATAAGGGGGATGGGGAGGTTCTTCGCCCGGCAAAGGCGGACTGTGGGCCCTGGGGCGCGGCGGGTGTCTCCCTCCCACTTTCCTCTCTATTCCCCGCTAATTATCACTTTGAAATCTAGGCGGAAATCCTTTAACAAGCTCCGGGGCTGGGCCCTCATTAGGGATAATTACTTAATCAGTAGGACGGGAGGGAATGCGCTCCCCCAGCCCTCGGGGAGTACACCTCGGGGGGAGCGAGTGCCCCGAGGGCAGGAGGCTGCCGGGGCGCCGGAAGCTGCTGTCCCGGCGGAGTCGCAGCGGGGGCTCCGGTTCCCCGAGACTGCGGCCCTCCCTCGTTCCTCCAGGTTCCGCTTTGCGGGCGGCTTCTGATCTCTTGCGGACAGCTCAGATTAGTGGCTCGAGGCCGCCGCCCCCGCAGCGCCCCAGCCCTACTGCGCCGAATCTCCTCCTCCCAGCCCCCAGCCCCCAGGGAGGGGCCTGGACTGACGGGCCTGGGCGTAGCTCCTACCCCCGTGACATTGGCCATAAAACTGACACCCGTTTGTGCTGTGCTTTCACGTACATCGCACCTGTGATCCTCCGATCACCCTGCGAGTTACGAGGCCTGCTTTACAAGCCTTATAAGAAGTTACAGACCTTATAAGAGTTCTTATAAAGCTTGCTTTACAGATGAGAAAACCGAGGCTCAGAGAAGAGCCCTGTTCAAACCCACACGGCTCCTATGGAACAGAAGGCTTGCTTTATTTTCTCCAAGCCTCAATTTCACTTTGTTCCTCAGTGGAGCCAGGTTCTCTGACACCAAGGCAGCCCCACCTGGACGGGTGGGATGTTACAGGGACCACCTAAGGAACAGGGTGTAATTGAGATTTGCACGAGGGTGTCCAGCCCCTTCTTCCAGAGTCCAGGCCTCCCTTTCCAGCTCCTTGAACGTCCAGAGAGTCTTCTTCTGGCCTCACTGCCAGTATCCCAGGTCAGGGTTTTTTCTGCCAGCCTCTGTCCCCGGAGACACATTAACTGGCCTCATAGTCACAGGCTCTGCATCCTCCCCTCACAGTGCCCAGCTGTCCCTGGAGAGGTGCTGGCAAAGTAAGAAGATCCAATGATTTGGGACACAGTCACCTTCATTTTTCTCCCCTCTGCCTCCTACAAAGGCCTCTGTCCCAGAAATGAGACATCCCAGAGAAAACAGGTTTCTGCTGACCTCTGGCTGGGAGGGTGGGTCTCCTCTCCTCCCACAGATGTGATTCCCTTGTTCTCTCCCGCTCCCTCCTTCTTCCCTCATATTGTCATGGCCTTAAGATACCCCTCCCTGGAGAGGGAGCGTCCAGAAGTTACGGCCTCCCCTGCCTGGTGGCAACTATAAATGCCACAGCTATGGTCAAGTGAGAAAAGAAATTAAGCCAGACATATTGTGGGAGCAACCCTCAGAACCCAGGAATCCAGCATTCCCAGTCCCCACTCACCACTGTCTTGGAACCTACCCCAACTGATCTTACTCCTCCCAGAACCCTGCCCCTGGCAAGCTTTTAATTCTTCCTGCAACTTCATGTCCCATTGAGACACCAGGCATCAAGGCCCCCTCTGGAGCCCATCTGCCCTCTAGAACCCAGGCATTCTAGATAACAACTTCCCACATGGATTATTTCAAGATGAGGTGAGGGAAATTACCTCCCACCTCCTGCATCCAGGTGATGCTTCTCTTTGGAATCTTGAGACTGGTAAGTGAATTATCCATCAATCGGAGAAGACACTGAGGCCACAAAAAGTCTGAAGGAGACAAGGGTTCCTGTCCCAGGCATTCTGTTTGCTTTTCTTATTCTCATTCTTTTGCAAAAGCAAAAAGCAAGCAAAGATGATGAACTTCTTTTTTGCCCCTTTCTGCAAAAGCCAGTACTAACCTTAACCCCCACTAACCACGATTTTGACCCCCAACTTCACCTTGCAGCAAACCCACCTTCATCTTCCCCTTCCAATGCTCCGCTGTAAGCATGAACACAAATAATAGCTGTGTTGTATTTCCTTAGAATCCCGGGTTTAACGGCTGCTCAACAAATGCTTTGTATCTAACTTGAAAATTCTAGTTTCAATATCATCTTTAAATATTTATTAGAGCTAGGCTCCAAGTCTAAAGCCAAGTGAAATGAAAATATCACTTCCAGAAATACTGCCTAAATTAAAATCCTCAGTAGGGCTTTCATAATCCCCGGATAGAGACAGGGAGGGATCCTTCGGATCCCAGGGATACGGGAACTGTGGGTGATATTAGCCTGAAGAGAAGTACAATCCAAATTCCTGTCTTCCTAGCCATTTCACCTGACTTCTCTCCACCTGACTTCTCTCCTTGGTCCCTTCAATGTTTCAAGTTTCTCTGCCTAATGACTACAACCCAATGTCAGGCAGATTTATAAAGCCCCTTCGCTTCCACTGTAGGATGGAATGCCATAAAAAGGGAGCAAGGAGACAGTTGTGGAATTGGAATAAACAGAAACAGCCCTAGGCTGAATGAACAGGAGGCTGCTTTGTGGTGGCTTCTTTGATGTCTGTTTCCTGCATCCTCTCTCTGCTCTCTTATCCCAGGCACTCTCCTGGAGACCCTGCCTTGCACATCCTGTTCTTTTCCTCCTCCCTGCGTCTCTGTGAGCTTGTTCATTTTAAGAGGCCCAAATTATTACTGCAACAGGCAACTTCCAAACTCATATTAAGTCTACCTTGGCTCTGAAATCCAGTCCTTTATTTTCAATTTTTTTTCAATAATATCTTCACTTGGATGTCACATCATATCAAACGTGACATTCACGTGTTCATCTGGCAAACATTTTTTGAGCATCTACTCTGTGCTAGTTCTGAAGATAAATCAGTGAACAAAACAGCAACAGGCCCTGCCTTCAGGGAGCTCACAGTTCACTAGGAAAGGCAGAGATCACACAAAGAAGGCATATAATAAAAGAGAGGCACAAGTGTGCAAAATACTGTCAGGACCCACCTCGTCTTCCCACCATCAAGTCTAAAAAGCCGCCTTCATCAGCATCCATTCTCCCCTGCTAACATTGGAGTGTTCGTGCATCTTGGCTCTGGCTCCCCCATCCCACACCTCCTGCCTTCTTCATGGGCTTCTTCCCCTTCCAGTTTTTCCTTCTCCTTCTACAGGGTCCTTCCCAACACCAGCCAAATAAGCCCTAAGCAGTGTGCACAGGAAGCACCCAGAGGAGAGTATTTTTAAAAAGTAGATTTCTAAAGACCCGGCACGGTGGCTCATGCGTATAATCCCAGCACTTTGGGAGGCTGAGGTGGGCGGATCACGCCAGGAGTTTGAGACCAGCCTGGACAACATAGCGAAACCCCGTCTCTACTAAAAATACAAAACTTAGCCAGGTGTGGTGGTGCACACCTGTAATCTCAGCTACTTGGGAGGCTGAGGCAGGGGAATCACTTGAACCTGGGAGGCAGAGGTTGCAGTGAGCTGAGATCACACCAGTGCACCCCAGCCTGGGTGACAGAATGAGATGCTGTCTCAAAAAAATAAAAAATAAATAAATAAAATGGAGATGGCCACTGGATGCAGTGGTTCAGGCCTGTAATCCCAGCACTTTTGGAAGACAAGGTGGGAGGATTGCCCAAAGCTAGGAGTCAGAGACCTGCCTGGGCGACATTGCGAGACACTGTCTCTATTAAAAAAAAAAAAAAAAAATTAACAAGTTCCCCAGGCACTCCTGATGTGGTCCAGGGACACACTTTGGAAAGCTCTGCTCTGCTGGCAGCCATCTTCACAGACCCCCACCCACATCTTCTCAGCCTTGCCCCCATCAGCTCCCCTTCATCACCAAGCCTCTTGAAACAATCCCCTACAAACACTATCTTCATGTCCTTATCTCCTACTCTCTGTGTGTATGTATTTTCTCTGCAAGTTTTACCAGAGCAATCCATGTAAATAGTTTAAAGAGTCCAATAGTTCCATAGATTTATTGCAAAAACTAGCACGGATGCACCCTCCCCCTTTTCATGTCCAATTCCTGTTCTCCAGAGGAGACGACTTTTAACTTTTAGCTTTTTATCCCAGTATTTGCAAGTGCAGATTTAAACATCATGCCCATATTGTATTGCAATTCATAGATTTTTTTTAATGAGACCTTAAATTGCGTCTTTTATTGGACTAAAGAATATTGTAAGTCTCAAAATAGCTTCCTGTCCCAATCTCACCTCTGAAAGGACTTACTAATTTAAATATATCTACTATGAACTGAACAGTGTCCCCCCTAAATATGTTTAAGTCTTTTTTCTATTTTTTTTTTGAGACAGGGGCTTGCTCTGTCATCCAAGCTGGAGTGTAGTGGCACAATCATAGCTTGCTGCAGCCTTGACCTCCTGGGCTCAAGCGAGCCTCCCATCTCAGCACTCACCCCTCCCAGAGGCTGCCACCATGCCCAGCTAATTAGTTTTGTTTTAAATTTTAGTAGAGACCATATCTCACTATGTTGCCCAGGCTGGTCTTGAACCCCTGAGCTCAAGTGATCCTCCTGCCTTGGCCTCCCAAAGTGCTGGGATTATAGGCATGAGCCACCGTGCCCGGCTCATATGTTGAAGTCTTAATCATCAATGTGACTATATCTGAAGATAGGGTCTTTAGGAAGTAATTAAAGTTAATGGGGTCATAAGAGTGGTGCCCGAATTCAATGGGACTGTGGCCTTATCAAAGGAGAAAGAGAGTTCTTTCTGTCTTCACTATGTGAGGACACAGCAAGAAGGCAGCCATCTGCAATCCAGAAAGGAGCCCTGACAAGGAACCAAGTTGTCCAGTACCTTAACCTTGGACTTCCCAGCCTTCAGAACTGTGAGAAGACAAATTACCATTGTTTAAGCCACCCAGTTTGTGGTATTTGCTATAGCAGTCCAAGGTGATTAAGACAGTATCCAATATCATGGAGGGATAAATTTTCTTTTCAAAACAAAACTAAAAATATTTTTTAATTCTAATTTTTAAAAATCAGTAAACTTCATTTTAGCAGTAATCATAAAATAAAATGCAAAGGAAATTCTCTAAGTTACATGACTCGAGAGAAAATATCCATATCTATTGTTTCTGTTGTTTAAAACATAATTTATCTAGAATTTGGCTCATAAGTTTTAAAACAAACAGTATGAAAATATGACAGTGCATTTACTGTTAACTCCTGCTTATGTTTTAGAAAGCTCTTATGGAAAGAAAAAAAAAATGCTTTCCAGGTAGCAGACACAGATAGGTTATTTGGGGAATTGATAACTAAAAATTAGAGTCTTATTTTTTATTTTTTATTTTTTTGAGACGGAGTCTTGTTCTGTTGCCCAGGCTGGAGTGCAGTGGTGCGATCTTGGCTCACTGCAACCTCTGCCTCCCAGGTTCAGGCAATTCTTCTGCCTCAGCCTCCCGAGTAGCTGGGATTACAGGCATGCACCACCACACCTGGCTAATTTTTTTTATTTTTAGTAGAGACGGGGTTTCACCATGTTGGCCAGGCTGATCTTGAACTCCTGACCTCAGGTGATCCACCGACCTCGGCCTCCCAAAGTTCTGGGATTATAGGCATGAGCCACCATGCCCAGCCTTAGAGGCTTTATTAGCATTCAAAACCATGGATGCAATGAAGTGTGGAGTACTCTTAAACAAGCTCCAAGTCCATGAAATGCCGTGTCAGAATTTTTCCTTTCCTTTTTGCATAGCAAAGTACTTGCACAATCCCAAATATTTGTCTTCCTGAGCAGCAGCTACAAAGATGATGCCACCAGGCTTGGCCAGGGTAGCTGCTGATTTTCCCTTCTTCCTCCTCCTCTTCTCCTCCTCCTTTTTCTTCTAATTCTTCCTCCTCTTCCTCTTCTCTCTCCCTCTCTGCTTTCTCCTCCGCCTTCTTATTTTCTTAACCATGATAAAATATACATAACTTACAATACATCATTTTAGCCATTTATAAGAGTAAAGTTTAGTATCATTAAGTACATTCATGTGGTTGTGCAACCATCCCTGGTAATTTCTTCTTGATTCTCTGTCCCGGAACTACTAAACTCAGGCTGGGTTTAGCATAATCGTTGCCTGTGTACTTGAAAAGTGGAGAGTTGCTGACCTCTGATGGGTAGCTTGGTCTTGCTGGGCAAACCCTTCTGGAAGCTGTTCTAGCACAGCTCAGCCACCACTTGCACGGACTCCTGCTGTGCTGGAGCTCTCCTGACACAGCTTTCCCAGCTGCACAGTCGTTGCTATGTAGAGGAACTAATACTTGAGCGACTATTTTCTTATAGTTGGATAACTCTGTTTCCTTATAAATATTTTTCTTTATAAATAGAGAGTGCTGTCCCATCAATCCTGCATCCTTATACTAGCAGTCCTGAGGCTTTTCCTAACTGTTCAGCTGCCTGTTGAGGCATTCCACATTTTTAAATGCATTGCTGTTTGTTGGTATAACCGTACAGCCTTTTCTGGGTCTACATTTTCTCTGAGCTTTCCAGCTTGCTCCAATGCCTCTGAGGTTGCTGTGTCAGTGCTGCTGTTTTTTAGATCCATCAAAGGCTGGGATTTCTGCATTTCCTTCAACATTGTGTCAACTAGGTTGGGCGCGGTGGCTTACGCTTGTAATCCCAGCACTTCGGGAGACTGAGGTGGGCGGATCACTTGAGGTCAGGAGTTCATGGCTAACATGGTGAAACCATCTCTACTAAAAATATAAAAGTTAGCCGGGCGTGGTGACGTGTGCCTGTAGTCCCAGCTACTCAGGAGGCTGAGGCAGGAGAATCACTCAAACCCAGGAGGCGGAGGTTGCAGTGAGCCGAGATCACACCACTGCACTCCAGCCTGGGCAAAAAGAGTGAAACTCCATTTAAAAAAACAAAACAAAACAAAACAAAAACAAGAAAACATTGTGGCAATTTGCTCAGAAGCGCTACTTTTCCATATTCAGAAGGGCACTGTCACAGTACGGCTTCCATTTTGAAAAACCAGTCTGCAGGTATTTCTTTGCTTTGGGCCTCTCATTTCTTTTTTGGTCCTGCACATGGTCCTGCATGGAGGACAGGAGGGACTTTTCCTTTTGGCCCCTGAAAGAGTCCCAGTCAGCTATGCATAGGTTTTTCATTTCGGACATCATCCATTTACTTATTCATGGTCTCTCTCCCTTATTTGAATATAAGCTCTGTATCAACTTTTCAATCACTGTATCCCATGCCTGGCACATCATGTGGCCCACAGAAGGTTCTTAAGGAATATGTTTGAATAAATGAATGAGAAGGCCTGGATGCAGAGAGTGTATATCAGAGAGAAACCCAGACTAATCCCCCAGATTCTTCTCTAATCCATTCCCAGTGCTACCACTTAATCTAGTATGTTATACTAGAAGAGTAAATAAATGAAAGTAAGAAAGACAGGAAGGAAGGAGGGAAAGAAGGAAGGAAGGGAGGGAGGGAGGAAGAAGGAAGGAAGGAAGTAAAGAAGGGAGGAAGGAATTAAAGAAGAAAGGAAGGAAGAGAAAGAAAGAAAAAGAAAGAGAGAGAAAGAAAGAAAGAAGGAAAGAGAGAGAGAGAGAGAGAGAGGGAGGGGGGAGGGGAGGGGAGGGGAAAGGAGGGGAGGGGAAGAAATCTTCCCAAGGACTTTTCCCCCTAGTATCTCCTTGTGTCTCTTTACAAACTGCCTAACTCATCAACTTTCACCACCTGAAGAGGCTGGAAAAAAGCTGGCCTCCTGTGAATTTTACACCCCGGTGCTCTCAGATGGTGGATGAGAACCTGCAGGCTCCCTTCAGGCAGGGATCGTGTGCTGAACGTCCCAAAGAGTGATGGGGGACTTGCACCAGAGTGTCTCTGCTCAAGCTGCCCTCCTATGACCTCCTTGTCACTTCCACCCAGACAAGGGGATTCTTCTGATCAGTCCAGATGACCTGGATGAAGTTTTCTTTCTTTCTTTCTTTTTTTTTTTTTTTGAGACAGAGTTTTGCTCTTGTTGCCCAGGCTGGAGTGCAATGGCACGATCTCGGCTCACTGCAACCTCTGCCTCCTGGGTTCACGCAATTCTCTTCCCTCAGCATCCTGAGTAGCTGGGATTATAGGCATGCACCACCACACCTGGCTAATTTTGTATTTTTAGTAGAGACGGGGTTTCTCCATGTTGGTCAGGCTGGTCTCGAACTCCCAACCTCAGGTGATCTGCCCGCCTTGGCCTCCCAAAGTGTTGGGATTACAGGCGTGAGCCACTGTGCCTGGCCCTGGATGAGGTTTTCAAACAACACACTTTCCCCTAATCTGATGAGACCCAACTATCCTTAGTGTTATAACACACACAGAGATAATGTGGAGCCTCCTTAACATAGGTTAGATTTTATTTCACCTAGGCAAGTACAGTTCCAAAAAACATTATGGCAGAAAGGACAAGGTGCCAAGAAGATCGATCAAATGACTCATGCACTACAGAAGCACAGCTGAATCAGCAACCGGGCCCTTAGCTGCGGAGGAAACTGCAAATGCTGAGCCTCTGAAATACATGATTCCAAATAAAAGGTAACGACACCAGCAGTTCTGCTGATGTAAAGGAAACAAGAAAGACATATGCACGATGCTCCTAATTAAATATCAAAAATGTAAAGTAGGTGTCGTATTTGACTAAAAATTGATATTTTTCAGGAAGGACTATGCCCCCAGGGCCCACTGTAGCCTTTGAGACCATGGTGGAGTCTGTGTCCACAATGGCCTCAACCACAGGCTCTGAGAGTACCTCAACCTCTGAGATCATCGCCATCTCCACCATGGACTCTGAGACCTCCATAGGCTCAGAAGCCACCACAACTATTGTTGCAGCCTCTGAGGTTACCACACCCTCCACCACAGCATCTGTGCCACTGTGGCCTCAACCACCGGCTCTGAGAGCAGCACGGCCTCTGAGATCATCACGTCCTCTACAATGTCTGTGTCAGCCACAGCCTCCAGCACAGCCTCCAGCACAGCCTCTGAGATCACCATGAGCTCTGCAGCCATCCCAGTCTCCTCCACAGCTTATGAGACCATCAGGTTCTCCACTGCAGTGTCTGAGCCAGTGACAGCCTCTATCCTGGCCCTTGAGTCCACCCTGGCCTTCACCACGGTCTCTAACACCACCACATCTTCCACAGTAACATCTGTGCCCACCACAGCTTCCACCTCAGGCTCTAAGAACACAACAGCCTGTGAGGCCACCATGTCTGAAACTACCATTGCTGCCATCACAGCCTCCGAGGACACCACAGTCTCCACTCAAACCTCTGTGATAGCTGCAGAGTCTGTGCCCCACACAGCCACCAAAACACCTACTGACACCACCACAGCATCTGTGTCCGCCACAGTCCCCAAGAACAACACACTCTCTGTGATAACATCTACACCTTCCACAGCTCCCAACACAGCCTCTAAAACCATGACCACAGCTTCCAAGACCGCCACGACCTCTACGATAACATCTCTGCCCACCACAGTCTTCACCACAACCTCTAAAATCACCGCAGGCTCTGAGACCCCCACAGCCTCCACCACAGACTCTGCGACCACTGCAATCTCCACAAAAGCCTCTGGGACAACTGTAGAGTCTGCGCCCTCTACAGCCCCTCCAACACCTGCTGAGACCACCACAGCATCTGTGCCCACCACAACCTCTACCACAGGCTCTGAGAACACCGGACACCACACAGTATCATCTGTGCCCACCACAGTCTTCGCTACAGCCTCTGAAAGCAGCACAGGCTCTGAGACCACCAGAGCTTCCACCTCTGCCACTGAAGTGACTACAGCCATGACCACAGCCATGACCACAGGTTCTGAGACTGCTGTGGTCTCCACCAAAGCTCCTGTGACAACCACACAGTCTGGGTTCTCCACAGCCACCGTAATGCCTGCTAAGACCACTACAGCATCTGTGTCCACCACAGCCTCCACCACACTCTATCAGAATACTATAGACTCCGTGACCAAGTCTGTGCCCACCATGGACTCTACCATAGCCTCCAAGAGCACCACTCTCTCCAAGATAGTATCTGTGCCTACTGCAGTCTTTATCAAAGCGCCTGAAACCACCACAGGCTCTGAGATCACTCTGGCTTCCATCATAACCTCAGGAACCACTGCAGTCTGTGACTACATTGGCCTCTAGCAAAGATTCCGAGATCCCCACAGCCTGGATGATAACCTCTGTGCCTACTGTAGCTCCTACCTCAGCCTCTGAAACTACTGAGGCCTTCTCCACAGCCTCTGAGTCCACCACATCCTCTTTCAAAATATTTGTGTCCACCACATCCTAGCCTCCACTATGGCCTTTGAGGCCACATCAACCTCTGAGACCCCCACTACCTCCACGATAGTATCTGTGCCCACAACAACCTCCAAAATAACCTCTGAGAACACTGCAGGATTTTTATCCATGATGGGCTCTGAGACCACCACAGCCTCCACTACAAGATCTGAGACCACTACAGCCACTGAAACCTCCACGGCTTCCCTCACAGATTCTGAGACCCCCAGTGCCTCCATAATAGTATCTATGCCCACAACCGCCTCCTCCACAGACTCTGAGACCACCACAGCCTCCACTGCAATATCCACGAGCAACATGGCTGTGAGCACAGCCTCTGAGGTCACTTCAGGGTCTGGAAGCAGCATGGCTTCCACCACAGGCTCTGAGGCCACCTTGCCATCCACAGCAGTATCTGTGACCTCCACAGCCTTCGCTTTGGCCTCATCGCCCTTCTTGGCCTCTACCACAGCCTCTGGGGCCACTGCAACCTCCACCACTGTCTCTGCCACTTTCGTGCCCACCAAGGTCACTGACATTTCTACTCAGACCATCACCAAAACAGTTGTGTCAGGTACTAACCCCCATGTCTTCTCTGATCACACACATTTTAATTCCAATGGCAACCACTAGCTCTTCACCTGTTTCTATCATCTCTGCCCTGTCTCAAGTCAAGCCTGTACACTGTTAGGTATCATTTCCTGGAGGGCCCCTAGAGGCGAGGTTGAGAGTGTGACCCATGAGGAGATGTACTACACTCGAAAAGAACTGCTTGAATTTTCTAATTTATATAAACAGAAATCTGGAGAACAGGCATTAGAATGGATATGAAGGGTGTGGGATAATGGTGGAAGGAACATAGAGTTAGGTCAGGCTGAATTTATTGATTTGGCCCCACTAAATAGGGACTCTGCATTTAATGTTGCAGCTTGGGGAGTTAAAAAGGGTTCTAATAGTTTATTTGCTTAGTTAGCTAAAATATGGATTAAAAGATGGCCCGCTGTGAGCAAGCTGATCTCCCTTGGTTTAATGTAAATGAAGGGATCCAAAGGCTTAGGGAGATTGGGATGGTGGAGTGGATTAGTCAATTTAGACCTACTCATCCCAGCTGGGAGGGTGCAGAAGATATACCCTTGATGATGCTTTGCAAAATACATTTGTGAGGGCAGCACCTGCATATCTGAAGAGCCCTATAATTGCTCTTCTCTGTATGTCAGATCTAACAGTGGGAACCGCCGTCAGTCAACTGCAAAATTTAAATACAATGGGAATAATTGGATCTAGAGGTGGCAGGGGCCAAGTGGTAGCACTCAAACATCGAAGGCAATGTGGGTGTAGGTACCATAATGGACAGCAGAGGCAAAGTGGCAATCAGAATAGTCCAACTCATGCAGAGCTCTGGCATTGGCTAATTAATCACAGTGTTCCTAGAAGTGAAATTGATAGGAAGCCTATTGCATTCCTATTTAATTTATACAAGCAGAGAACTTCTAGGCTGAATGGACAAAAGACTAATTTGAATTATAAAAACAGAATCACGGCCCCTCAACCAATTTCCAGACTTGAGCCAGTTCACAGACCCAGATCCCCTTGAATGAACGGGAGGCTGGGTCCCCTTGAGGAAGGACCCCACTACATTACCAACAATTTGTGCAGTGAATCTTTCTCCCATCCTTCCCCAAGACCTCTGGCCTTTTACCAGGGTAACTGTGTATTGGGGAAAGGGAAATGATTAGACATTTTGGGGACTACTGGACACTGGCTCTGAGCTGGCGTTGATTCCAGGAGACCCAAAATGTCATTGTGGCCCTCCAGTTAAAGTATGGGCTTATGAGTCCGGGAGTGGTGGTTCATGCCTGTAATCCCAGCATTTTGGAAGGCCAAGGCAGGTGGATCACGAGGTCAGGAGTTTGAGACCAGCCTGGCCAAAATAGTGAAACCCTCTCTACTAAAAATACAAAAATTAGCCGCGTATGGTGGTGCACGCCTGTAGTCCCAGCTACTTGGGAGGCTGAGGCAGGAGAATAGCTTGAACCTGGGAAGTGGAGGTTGTGGTGAGCCAAGATCTGCCACTGCACTCCAGCCTGAGCAACAGAGTGAGACTCCGTCTCAAAAAAAAAAAAAAAAAAAAAAGTAGGCGTTTATAGAAGTCAGGTAATTAATGGAGTTTTAGCCCAGGTCTGACTTATAGTGGGTCCCGTGGGTCCCTGGACTCATCCTGTGATCATTTCCTCAGTGCCAGAATGCATAATTGGCATATACTTAGCAGCTGGCAGAACCCCTGCATTGGCTCCATGACTGGTAGGGTGAGGGTTACTATGGTGGAAAAGGCTGAATGGAAGCCATTAGAGCTGCCTCTACCTAGAAAAATAGTAAATAAAAAAAAAAATCACATCCCAGGAGGGACTGCGGAGATTAGTGCCACCATCAAGGACTTGAAAGACACAGGGGTGGTGATTCCCACCATATCCCCATTCAGTTCTCCCATTTGGCCTGTGCAGAAGACAGATGAATCTTGGAGAAGGACAGTGGATTATCGTAAGCCTAACCAAGTGGTGACTCCAATTACAGTTGCTGTACCCCATGTTGTTTCATTGCTTGAGCAAATTAACTCATCTCCTGGTACCTAGTATGCAGCCATTGACTTGGCAAATGCCTTTTTCTCCATTCCTGTCCATAGGCCCACCAGAAGTAATTTGCCTTCCGCTGGCAAGGCCAGCAATACAGCTTTACTGTCCTGTCTCAGGGGTATATCAACTCTCCGGCTTTGTGTCATAATCTTATTCAGAGAGAGCTTGATCACTTTTTGCTTCTGCAAGATATCATACTGGTCCATTACATTGATGATATTATGCTGATTGGGTCCAGTGAGCAAGAAGTAGCAAACACACTGGACTTATTGGTGAGATATTTGTGTGCCAGAGGATGGGAAATAAATCTGACTAAAATTCAGGGAGCTTCTACCTCAGTAAAATTTCTAGGGGTCCAGTGGTGTGGGGCCTGTCAAGATATCCCTTCTAAGGTGAAGAAGTTGCTACATTTGGCCCCTCCTACAACCAAGAAAGAAGCACAACGCCTAGTGGGCTTACTTGGATTTTGGAAGCAACACATTCCACATTTGAGTGTGTTACTCCAGCTCATTTATTGAGTCACCCGAAAGGCTGACAGTTTTGAGTGGGATCCAGAACAGGAGAAGGCTCTGCAACACGTCCAGGCTGCTATGCAAGCTGCTCTGCCACTTGGGCCATATGACCCAGCAGATCCAATGGTGCTTGAGGTGTCAGTGGCAGATAGGGATGCTGTTTGGAGCCTTCGGCAGGCCCACATAAGTGAATCACAGCAGAGGCCTCTAGGATTTTGGAACAAGTCCTTGCCATCTTCTGCAGATAACTACTCTCCTTTTGAGAGACAGCTCTTGGCCTATTACTGAGCTTTGGTGGAAACTGAACATTTGACTATCAGTCATCAAGTCACCATGTGACCTGAACTACCTATCATGAACTGGGTGCTTTCTGATCCATCTAGCTATAAAATGGGTCGGTGTGCGGCAGCATTCCATCATCAAATATAAGTGATATACACATGATCGGGCTCAAGCAGTTCCTGAAGGCACAAGTAAGTTACATGAGGAAGTGGCTCAAATGCCCATGGTCTCCACTCCTGCCACCCTGCTTTCTCTTCCCCAGCTTGTACCGATGACCTCATGGGGAGTTCCCTATGATCAGTTGACAGAGGAAGAGAAGACTAGGGCCTGGTTCACAGATGGTTCTGCACAATATGGAGCACTAACCGAAAGTGAACAGTTGCAGCACTACAGCCCCTCTCTAGGACATCCCTGAAGGACAGCGGTGGAGGGAAATATTCTCAGTGGGCAGAACTTCAAGCAGTGCACTTGGTTCTGCACTTTGCATGGAAGGAGAACGGTCAGATGTGTGATTATTTACTGATGCATAATCAGTAGGGGGTTTGGCTGGATGGTCAGGGACTTGGAAGAAGCACGATTGGAAAATTGGTGACAAAGAAATGTGGGAAAGAGTTATGTGGATGGACCTCTCTGAGTGGTCAAAAACTGTGAAGATATTTGTATCTCATGTGAGTGCTCACCAACAGATGACCTCAGCAGAGGAGGATTTTAATAATCAAGTGGATACGATGACCCGTTCTGTGGATACCATTCAGCCTCTTTCCCCAGCCAACCCTGTCATCACCCAATGGGCCCATGAGCAAAGTGGCCGTGGTGTCAGGGATGGAGGTTATGAATGGGCTCAGCAACATGGACTTCCATTCACCAAGGCTGACCTGGCTATGGCCACTGCTGAATGCCCAATTTGCCAGCAGCAGAGACCAACACTGAGCCCTCAGTATAGCACCATTCCTCAGGATGATCAGCCAGCTGATTACTGGATTACTGGCTGGACTTCTTTCATCATGCAAAGGGCAGAGGTTTGTCCTCACTGGAATAGACACTTACTCCTGATATGGGTTTGCCTATCCTGCATGCAATGCTTCTGCCAAGACTACCATCGTGAAGTCACAGAATGCCTTATCCACCATCATGGTTCCACACAGCATTACCTCTGGCCAAGGCATTCACTTTACAGCTAAAGAAGGGTGGCAGTGGGCTCATGCTCATGGAATTTACTGGTCTTATGTTCCCCATTATCCTAAAGCAGCTGGATTGATAGAACGGTGGAATGGCCTTTTGAAGTCACAATTACGACATCAACTAGGTGACAATACTTTGCAGGGCTGGGGCAAAATTCTCTAGAAGGCTGTGTATGCTCTGAATCAGTGTCCAATGTATGGTACTGTTTCTCCCATAGCCAGCATTTCTGGGTCCAGGAAGCAAGGGATGGAAGTGGAAGTGGCACCACTCACCATCACCCCTAGTGATCCACTAGCAAAATTTTTGCTTCCTGTTCCTGTGACATTACATTCTGCTGGCCTAGAGGTCTTAGCTCCAGAGGGAGGAACGCTGCCACCAGGAGACACAACAACAATGCCATTAAACTGGAAGTTAAAATTGCCACCTGGACACTTTGGGCTCCTTCTACCTTTACGTTAACAGGCTTAGAAGGGAGTTACAGTGTTGGCTGCTGTGACTGACCTAGACTATCCTGATGAAGTCAGTCTACTACTCCACAACGGAGGTAAGGAAAAGTATGCATGGAATACTTGAGATCCATTAGGGCGTCTCTTAGCATTACCATGCCCTGTGATTAAGGTCAGTGGGAAACTACAACAGCCCAATCCAGGCAGGACTACAAATGACCCAGACCCTTCAGAAATGAAAGTTTGGGTCACTCCACCAGGAAAAAACCATGACCTGCTGAGATGCTTGCTAAAGGGAAAGGGAATACAGAATGGGTAGCAGAAGAAGGTAGCCATCAATACCAACTATGACTGCGTGACCAGCTGCAGAAAGAGCACTGTAATTGTCATGAGTATTTCCTCCTTCTTTTGTTAAAAACACGTTTGTACATGTATACACTTGTACTAAGAAAATATCTTCATTTTATTTCCTTTCTCCTTTATTATGTGATGTAAGATTTATTGACTTCACATCAGCATTTAAGTATTATTAACTTTGCGTAATAGCATATGGGCTGGGGATTGGTGCGTTTCCGGTTGTATGAAGGATAGTTGTATTATGTTGGGCATAATTATGACCTTATTATTGTCTTTATTTGAAGATTATGTATAATCTCAGGAGATGCGCATGGGTTCAAGTTGACAAGGGGTGGACTTATGATGGTTAATACTGAGTGTCAACCTGATTGGATTGAAGGACACAAAGTATTGATCGTGGGTGTGTCTGCGAGGGTGTTACCAAAGGAGATGAACATTTGAGTCAGTGGCCTCAGAAAGGCAGACCCACCCTTAATCTGGGTGGCACAATCTAATCAGCTGCCAGAGTGGCTAGAATTTAAGCAGGCAGAAAAATGTGAAAAGAGAGACTGGCCCAGCCTCCCAGCCTACATCTTCCTCCCGTGCTGGATGCTTCCTCAGTTTTGGAACTCGGACTGGCTCTCCTTTCTCCTCAGCCTGCAGAAGGCCTATTGTGGGGCCTTGTGATCATGTGAGTTAATATTTAATAAACTCCGCTTTATATATATTCCATCAGTTCTGTCGCTGTAGAGAACCCTGACTAATACACCCCTCTTCCAACATTGGAGATTACAATTTGACATGAGATTTGGGCAGGGACACAAATCCAAATCATATCACCTTGCTCCAGTCTAAGACCAAACAATTATGTTCATTCTCTGGCACTTTCCATCAGCAAGCCGGTTGCATCTGATTCTATCCTCTTCGTTCTGAGCACCCTCACCTCTATTCTGGTGACTGGTGCTGTTTGGGATCCTATTTTCACCACTTCTGACCTAGGCACACCCATTGCTATCAAAGCCACCACCACTGCCTCTGCTGTGTTGATTCTCACTCGCACCTGTCTGAGCCCACCCTCTCCTGTCCCTGTGAGCAGCCTTCTCCACTTGGGTCAGGTCCTCCCACATCTGCCCAAGCACACTCACCCCACCTTTGCTGACCACCACAGTGTGGTAGATGATGTCACCTCTGTCCCAGCCACGGCCACTGGCATGCCCATGAATGAATCCAATTCTGTCATCTCCTCCTCCAGCTCCCTCCTTACACCCAGTGATCACAGTCACAAAAGAAGCAGGGCCTGCCACTTTGTATACAAGCCCGCCCTCTTCTATTTGGGTGGCCACTTCCGAAGTCAAATAGATCTTCCACTTCCATACCCATCACGGTCACGTTTCCTCAACCTTCTGCCTCCTCCATCACCAACTCCACCAGGTGACACATTCTACCTCCTCCTCTGTACAACACCCACCTCTATTGTGAGGACACGGCCACAGAGGAATGGCTTTCTACCATCTCTCCTCCCCCACCACCCCTCTCCTGAGCTACTCTCACCATAGACATGTTAGATTCACCCCGCTCTGCTCTAAGCGCTCCCACTCCCCTTTAATTATCTCTGCTATGAATGCATCATGTTGTGTGACCCCTGGAACCAGTCCTACCGCCCCTAGCTCTGTCACCATGGCCCCTGGAATGGACTCCATGGCCTCTGCTGCAGCCATCCTGTGACCGGAATAGTCTCAAACACCTCTGACCTGGGTACATCCACTATGGGAGCATCATCTACCACCTCAGCCCCCAGCTTCAGGACCACTACAGGATCCACCCGTGAGCCAACCAGCAACACCTCCCAGTAAACAGTCCCAGTGTCCACGGGCACAAATACAGTTAGCGTGAGCCACACATCCAAACATGTGATCAAACTGAGTGGACATTTACAGCCCCAGGCCATCATGCTCATTTCCCTGGCTGTAGTCATGGTTGGTGTTGGATTGTCAGTAGGACTGAGGTTTTGCCTTGTGAGTGACTGAGCATGGAAATGGGCAGAGCTTTCCTGAGAAGATAGATCACGAGGAGGATTAGAATTGACGGAAGAAGGGCCACTAGGCTATTAGCATGGAGAGGGGTCTGGAGAGTCACTTGTACCCTAGTCCAATCGACCAAGAGTGCAGGAGCAAATGTATAGTCCCATGAAGTCAGATTTATCAGTTAGTTGCAAAATGGGAGGCTGTATACCAGGGAGCTGAGGAGCTTCTCACCAAACAACGGAAATGTCATTACAGTATTGGGGGAAATGTCATTATAGTATTGGGGGAAATGTCATTATAGTATTGGAGGAAAGTGTGGATTTTTGGTGAAATTTAAATGAAAGAATTTTAAAAGGCTCAAAAGAAAGCAGGGCTGTTTGTAAAGGGGTCACCGGCAGCTTGAAACTGTGAAATAGATTATTTCCTTGGAAACTACAGTTAAAATGAACGTGGAATGTTGTATTCAGAGAAACCCCTTATCTGTACCCCAGTTGGAATTGGAGGCTGCTTCTCTGTGTCAAAGTCACTTAGAGTTTCCAGACAAGAATGGGATATTTCCTTCTCACTGATTTAGAATCAAACAGCAAATTTGTAATAGTCTGCGATTTTAGAGAATGAAATTTTTCATTGGCTAAATCACTGCAAGTGAGTAGGTCACTGGAAGTGAGTAAGGGCTGTGATACTTCACAGCTGCAGTGCGCCCTGGGGAAAAATATTCCTCTCAGTGCCCCTCACAGCTGGCCACCTATGCTGTTATGCATCTACCTCCTGATGGACAGTGGCCGACTGCTGCTTTCGCAGTCTGATTTTTACTGTCTCACATAGCGTAGTATAAAGACCAGGGAGAAGGAGAAAGACAGAAAATATAAACGATAGATATAGCAGGAAGAAAAAAAGAAGAAGAAGAAGAGGAAGAGGCCGGGCGTGGTGGCTCACACCTGTAATCCCAGCACTTTGGGAAGCCAAGGCAGGAGGATCACCTGAGGTCAGGAGTTCGAGAGAAGCCCGACCAAAATGGTGAAACTCCATCTCTACTAAAAATACAAAAATTAGCCGGTGTGGTGGTAGGCACCTGTAATCCCAACTACTCGGGAGGCTGAGGCAGGAGAACTTCTTGAACCCGGGAGACAGAGGTTGCAGTGAGCCGAGATCGCGCCACTGCACTCCAGCCTGGGCTATAAGAGTGAAACTCCATCTCAAAAAAAAAAAGAGGAAGGGGGCCCCAAGTGAGAGGAAAGTGTCTGGGTATGAATAGGAGAGCATTGAGAATATGATGGAAAATGTGTCTTATAAAATAGCTGGGAATGTAACACTAGAAAAAACATCTTTGGAAAGTGATGAACATTTAGGTCCTCAACAGGTTTTTCACTTTCAAGACAGACAAAATCATAAGCTCCTTCCAGGGTGAGAGTGGGGCACGTCCCACCTCATGCCTTTATGATTTTACCCAAGTGAAAACAAATTCACTTTTCCAGGTACCTCTTAGCACAACTCAAATAGGCTAGAGATTTCAAAACTCTTCACGAAACACTAAGGGAAGTTGACAAAGAAATGCCCTTCTGGAGAATGGAGGCTGTAGAAACACTCCCCCTGGTGTAGGGGAGGGTTTGACGTTCCAGAGGCCCCAGCCCTCCGCAGTTCTTGGTGCCAATGTGACAGCCACTGGCCAGCAGCAGACTGTGTTCTATTGTCCATCCTGGTCTTAATCTTCTATTCAAATGTATTTCTCTTGTTCTATTTTAAGAAATAGAACATTTGTATTTTCCCATTTTGGCTTTATGTATTCCTGTATGCAGTCTTGTAAATTTGTAGGAGGAGCCAGAGTGAGTACACAATACATAAATGAGAAATTCACACAAGCCACAAACAGTTAACATAATTTACAATCAACTTACCTGAGTTTCTTATTTCAGAGTCTCTGACCCCTCCCTAAGGGAAGAACAATATGTGACTCACCAGCCATGAGCAACCCCCTAAATGTTTAAGATAAAGATGTAATATTAGTTAACTAGCATTTTATTAGCTATCTACTAGGTATGAGGTCCAGGGCCCAGAGTGCTTAGAGAGCATCATCTCTCCTTTGCTCTGCTCAACCACCCTTGGGGATGTGTACTCCTATTATCCCATTTTATAGACTAGAAAACTGGAAGCAGAGACATAAGTAACTTGCTGAAGACCACAGGACAAGGCCACGCAGAGCTAGGCTCTAATTCTGGTCCACTTGACAGCAGAGCCTGTGTTCTTAGCCAGAGTGTTTGTTTGTTTTTTTGAGCCGAAGCCTCGCCCTGTTGCCCAGGCTGGAGTGCAATGGCACAATCTCGGCTCACTGCAACCTCCACCTCCCGGGTTCAAGCAATTCTCCTGCCTCAGCCTCCTGAGTAGCTGGGATTACAGGCATGTGCCACCATGCCCGGCTAATTTTTTGTATTTTTAGTAGAGATGGGGTGTCACCATGTTGGCCAGGCTGCTCTCGAACTCCTGACCTCATCATCTGTCCACATCGGCCTCCCAAAGTGCTGGGATTACAGGCGTGAACCACCGCACCTGGCCCACAGTGTTTTTTAGATAGTTCTCCAACCTTTAGCTCTTTATGGCCTGTCTCTTATTTTTCTTTATCTTTAAAAATTGAGGTGTAATTCTTACCAATAAAAAATGATAAGTATGCAAGGCAATAGGTATGTTAATTTGATTTAATAATTTCAAAATGTATACATATATCAAAACATCACATTGTACACCATAAGTATATGCAATATTTATTCACCAGCTTTGAAAGTGGGAAAAACACAAACTGTGTTTCCTCTGCTCTCACACCACCACCAACACAAAACACTTCTGGTGACCAAATTAAGAGGGGAAGTTCTTCCCACACTAAGCAAGCAATCAGTTCTGCAGCAGACACCAGCTCGGTGTCCTCCGATTCAGTGCTGGCACTGCCTACCTGGAGATAGCATCAGATCCACAGACTAAGCGCGCAGTCCCTCAACACCAACCGCTCCTTCCCACAGGCTGCCAAGTCCAGGCCTCTGGAACTTCTGACCAACTGGAGCAAGTTGGAGTTGGCTACTCCTGTTTGGTTTCGATTAATTTGCAGGAGTGGCTGACTGAACTCAGGGAAACACCTTTACTGGTTTATTACAAAGGATATTACAAAGGATACAGGTGAAGAGGCGTGGAGGGAGAAGGAGCAGGGAGCTTCCATGCCCTCCCCAGCACCCCATCCTCCAGGAACCTCCATATGTTTTCTGAGCCCTGGCCTTTGGGGTTTTTACAGAGGCTTCATTATGTAGGTATACCTGATTAAACCTTGGCCACTGGTAATCAACTTAACCTTCAGTCCCCTCTCCTCCCTGGAGGTTAAGGGTTAAAGGGTGGTGCTTTGGTCTTTCCGGTGATTAGCCCCCATCCTGTAGCCAACAGTTGACTCATTCGCATACAAAAAAAAAAAATCACTTCAGTACCTAAGGATTTTAGGAGCTGCATGCCAGGAAATGTGCAGAAGTCCAAATATATGTTTCACGTATCAACTTAATACAGTTGGGAGAAAGGTTAAAAGTTAAATTACACTTAAAAATAAAAAGAACAGCCGGGCGCAGTTCTGTAACCTCAACACTTTGGGAGGCTGAGGCGGATGGATCATCTGAGGTAAGGAGTTCAAGACCAGCCTGGCCAACATGGGGAAACCCTGTCTCTACTAAAAATACAAAAATTAGTCGGGTATGGTGGCTTATGCATGTAATCCCAGCTATTCTGGAGGATGAGGCAGGAGAATTGCTTGAACCTGGGAGGCAGAGGTTGCAGTGAGCCGAGATCGTGCTACTGCACTCCAGCCTGGGTAGCAGAGCAAGACTCTGTCTCAAGAAATAAAAAAAAATAAAAAGAACAATATTAATTGAAAAAAATAAATACTGTTCACAGATGAAAAAATTTTGAACTATAATTTACAAAAGTACACAAATATTATTTGTACAGCTTGATTAATTTCAAAATGTGTTAACACTTGTACAACCATTACCCAACTTAAAATGTAGAATATTTCTACCATCTGAGTAGTTTATTTTGTGGCCCTTCCCAGATAATACCCACTCCATCAAAGGTAAGCACTATTCTAGCTTCCATTTTATGAACTTTAAAAAAAAATTTTCATTTTAATTTTTGGATGGGGTCTCACTCTGTCACCCAGGCTGGAGTCCAGTGGTGCCGTCTTGGCTCACTGCAGCTTCTGTCTACCCAGAGATAGAGCTGGGTTCAAGTGATCCTCTCGCCTTGGCCTCCCAAAGTACTAGGATTACTGGCATGAGCCACTGTACCTGGCCTTATGAACTTTTATTTATTTTTACCTGACCTCATAGACATGCAACCTTTTTGGTTGATTTACACAATAAAAGATTCCCTACTCTTAGCTGACTCTGTTCCCAGGTACAGGATGCAAATTTACCTTGTCTTGTTTTTTTTATTTTTGTAGAGATGGGGTTTCACCATGTTGCCCAGGCTGGTCTCTGGAATGCCTGGGCTCAAGCAATCCACCTACCTCAGCCTCCAAAAGTTTTGGGATTACAGGCACGAGCCACCATGCCCAGACTTATCTTGTCTTGAAAGTTGAGCAGCATAGATCCCTACCAAGGTACAAGTATACTAATTAGGAAGACTGTTTTCTCCAATAAATAAATAAATAAGAGGAAGAGAGTCCTAAATATCATCCACACACACACACACAGGAAGACTTGATGAGAAAATAGACAATATTGAAAAGTGAAAATTTATGAATTTTGATAATCCAAGAAGGTTTAATGATAAGAAAGAAAAGGAGTTAACTACTAATATATATATTTTTCTCTTTTAGAAGGATCTTTCTTTACCCTGACAAATAGAGGCATTTATAACCTCCATGACAACAGCCTTGACCTTGGTTTATACCTGGACTCAGTCCTGGGCTCTGGGACATTCCACAGCCTGGGAAATGCACTCATTCATGGAGGGGGACTTGAGATGGGACACACAGGAACACATGGCTTTGGACATGGAGTGGGCCATGAGCTGAGCCACAGCCATGGAGATGGCTGTGGAGTGAATCATGGTGGGCGTTATGGACTTGGAGGAGGCTACAGCAATAATCATGAAATGCATCACAGAGAAGGTCGCCAAGGCAAAGGAGAGTATAGACATAGACTGGATAATGGAAGGTGCTATGGAAAAGAAAATCTTGGGGAAGAAGGGGGATCATGGAGGAGAAGGTAGTGACCATAAAATGGGTCAGGATGGGCTTCTCTGAGGTCTCCAAGGAATTGGCCATAGAGATGGTCATGATCAAAATCAAGAAAAGAACCAGAGAAAAGAGCACAGAGGGTTTGGCCAACGGGACAGTCAGAAAAATAGGGAGTGGTTCTGGAGGAGACCTGCAGCCTCACCAGCTTTGGGTGTGAGCTCAAGTGAAAATATCCCCTGAGCATAACCATGGTTCCAACTCTTGTGGGGAGGAGGGGTCACGATGATCAAGCTCAGAACAATTTCTCTTTGATCTCTCAACACACAAGTCAGAACTCTTTAGGCTTTGGCTTTCTATCGTTTCCTCAGGATGGAACCTGACCAGTAGGAGGAAGAATAAGATTATCACAGTTTATAATAATGGAGGGGGTAAAAAATTTCCCCTGAGAATTTGTAATTACACAACTTTCTTTATTTGGATTTGTAACTTCAAACTCTACAAACTGAGTAGATCAGAAAATCCTGTTAGACTCACTCAGTGCCCTCCAGTTCTTCATCTTTGGGAAGAGTCTCCCTCCCTACTTCTTTGCCTCTTTCAAATGCTATGTGATAAGTTAGAAGAAATTTACTGGGACAGTGCTACAAATTAAAATCTCAAAATACACCTGGCATCTATGTATTTATGTATTTATGTTTGTCTTTTTTATTTTCCCTTTGTCCTTTATTATTGCATGCTTATTAAGTGCCAAACACTATGCTAGTGCCTGTAAATACATCACCATTTATTTCTCAAAACAATCCAATGACAACTTAAACTTCTTGCTATATAATGGACTACGTGCCCTGACTGAAAATACACTGTAAAGCTAAGTTATGGACTTCAAAATCTTCTTAAAAGAGTCAGTGAATTGGCATGAAAGTATGGAATGCTAAAATTAAAGACTAAATAGGACCCAGGAGGTAAGGGAAGTACTGAAGCCAACTTTTGCAAAACCCAAAGAACTTAAGCTTCGGGTATTACAGCTTCAGCTGGATCAGCCCAAGGTCATGGGTGGGGAGGAATCACATAAATCTGTAACTTTCAGTGAGAATGTAAACTAAAAATAAACCTGCCCCTCCTCTAAGGAAATGTAAGCAAAATTGCCTGTCTCTAAATTTGGTGCAGAGGAGGGTAGAGGGAGTATCCCTTGAGAAATAAATTGTAACCACAACAACCAACAATACCTTACTTACATGGTTTGTAGCCACAAATCATGCAGTCTAGGTAATTCAAAAGACCGCAATCCTATAGTTTAACTTAAAATAATCCTCAAATTATACAGCATATATATGTATTAAAACATTAAATTGTACCCCATAAGTATATACAGTAACAATGTTAATAAAATATTTTAATTAAAAATATAATAATAAAATAATCCTCAAATGGTAATGTCTCCATATGCTTGGAAAAAACATGCAAATTCTCTGTGAAAGATCGTAGCTTAATCTGTAATTCCAGAAATTTGGGAGGCCGAGGCAGTAGGATTGCCTGAGCCCAGAAGGTCAAGGCTGCAGTGAGTTATGCTAGTGCCACTGCAGCCTTGATCTCGACAGATAACATTCCAAGAAAAATAAATTTATAGTCATGATTCTCAAATCATAAGTGAAAACAGACACCCTGAGTGAAAACCAGCAAGGAAGAAAACAAAACCAAAAAGCTAGACAGCAGTATCAGATCCTCAAAGACTTTAGGTATTGAAATTATTAAATACAGAATATAAGGTAAGTAGGTTTAAATGTACGTCCTGGCTTTATTTTTAATTTTTTTTATTTTTACTTTTTGTGGTACATAGTAGGTGTATATATTTATGGGGTACATGAGATGTTTTGATACAGGTATGCAATGTGAAATCAGCACATCGTGGAGAATGGGGTATCTATCCCCTCAAGCATTTATCCTTTGAGTTACAAAAAATCCAATTACACTCTTTATGTTATTTTAATATATACAATTAAGTTATTATTCACTATAGTTACCCTGTTGTGCTATCAAAGAGTAGGTCTTATTCATTCTTTTTAATTCATTTGTTTTTTTAAATTAATTTAATTCATTTAATTAATTCATTCATTAACCATCTCTACCTCCCCCAGTCCTCCCCACTACCTTTCCCAGCCTCTGGTAACCATTCTTCTAGACTCTATGTCCATGAGTTCAGTTGTTTTTGATTTTTAGATCCCACAAATAAATGAGAACATGCAATGTTTGTCTTTCTGTGCCGGGTTTTTCACTTAACATAATGATCTCCATGTCCAGCGATGTTGTTGCAAATGACTGGATCTCATTCTTTCTTTATGGCTGAATGATGCTCCACTATGTATATGTACCACGTTTTCTTTTCTTTTCTTTTTTTTTTTTTTTTTTTTTTTCCGAGATGGAGACTTGCTCTGTCATCCAGGCTGGAGTGTGGGCAGTGGCTCGATCTGGGTTCACTGCAACCGCTGCCTCCCAGGTTCAAGCAATTCTTCTGCCTCAGCCTCCCGAGTAGCTGGGATTACAGATGCCTGCCACCACGCCCGGCTAATTTTTGTATTTTTAGTGGAGATGGGGTTTCACCATGCTGGCCAGGCTGGTCTCGAACTCCTGACATCATGATCTGCCCACCTGTGCTTCCCAAAGTGCTGGGATTACAGGCATGACCGTGCCTGGCTCTTTTTTTTTTTTTTTTTTTTTTTTTTTTTTTTTGAGATGGAGTCTCACTCTGTCGCCCAGGCTGGAGTGCAATGGCACAATCTTGGCTCACTGCAACCTCCGTCTCCCAGGTTCAAGCAATTCTCCTACCTCAGCTTCTCGAGTAGCTGGGATTACAGGCGCCCGTCACCACACTGGGCTAATTTTTGTATTTTTAGTGGAGATGGGATTTTGCCATGTTGGCCAGGCTGGTCTTGCATTCCTGAGCTTATGATCCACCCACTTCGGCCTCCCAAAGTGCTGGGATTATAGGTGTGAGCCACTGCGCCCGGCCTGTACCACACTTTCTTTATTCATTCATCCATTAATAGACACTTCCAAATCTTAGCTATTGCAAACAGTGCTGCAACAAACGTTGGAGTGCGGATATTTCTTTGATACACTGATTTCTTTTCTTTTGGCTACCTCCTCAGCAGTGGGGTTGCTGGATCATGTCACGGCTTTATGGTTGTCTGCTAACACCCATTCTCCACCTTTAGCAACAGATCTCTCAAGTGTCAGCTGAGCACACGTCTACCCAGCTAGAGACAGTCTTTCTCAGTTTCTCTTGCAGCTTAACATGGCTGTGTGACTGCGTTCAGGCTGAGGGTGTGTAAGCAGACAACAATAATTTTTTTTTTACAATAATCTTTCATGAAGTTAAAAAACAAGATGGAATTAAAATACTTGATGATATTAGGGTATGATTTGGGAGATGGGTAATACGAATTAAAATGTTCTGAGGTCTTTGTGTTATTTTGATAGCGAGTAAAGATATTAATTACATTAGGCTCTGATAAGTATGCGCGCTACAATTTTCAGAGTACCCTCTAAAAGGTGAAATTTGGACTTGAATCCAGGATCTCAGTTTCTAAATAATTCTGGAAGAAGAAAATTCTTAGAGTGCTATTGGCTTTTCAGCTGCAGAATACTGGCACATCAGAAGAATTGCTGGGAGTCCAGGACCCAACCTGTCACTGAGCGTTCCCGCATACCTGACCCTCTGGAACTTCCCATCACAGCCACTAGGCAGACTCACTTCTGAGCCTTTCCCAGCACACCGCTGACCCTTTCTGTTTCTCCAGCTCACTCATTCAGAGCTCCTTCATGTCTTCAGCCACCTCCTGCTTGCCAGCTTCCTTCTAACAGAACTTGCATGTCAGGAAAGCTCGTTCGCCTACAAATAAACTATCTGAGAGACTGTGTCTTCCAGGAAGCTTCTCGTCATTGATGGGGGAAATGCAGACAACTCACTTTGGTCATTGCAATGGTTTGGATGTGGTTATTAAACCCTGCCAAGTCTCATGTTGAAATTTGATTCCCAATGTTGGAGGTGGAGCCTGGTGGGAGGAGTTTGGGTGGTTGAAACAGATCCCTCATGAACAGCTCGGTGCCATTCTCAACCAGTGAGTTCTCACTCTTAGTTCCCACAAGAACTGGTTGTTGAAAAGATCCTGTCACCTCCTCCATTCCTTCTTTCCAGCTTCCTCTCTCTCGCTATATGATCTGTGCAAACCGGCTCCCCTTCTCCTTCGGCCACAAGTGGAAGCTTTTTGAAGCCCTCACCAGTGCAGACGTTGGTGCCATGCTTCTCATACAGCCTGCAGAACCGTGAGGCAAATAAGCCTCTTTTCTCTATGTCACCCACAGTCAGGGATTCCTTTATAGCAACACCAATGGACTATGACAGAAAATACAGACTGTATATTGGAACCCCATCAGCCTGGTCACAGATGCCATCTCAGACCTCCCCAAACCCTCTGCTCATTTGGGTCTCTTCAGTCACGCTCTTTTAGCTGACTGTTTCCCCTCTGCTGGCCATATCCAAGTGTCCAGACCAAATTCAAGCCTCCTCCAGGACTTGGACTGTTGATCTCCCTCCTCCCATCAGACTGTGTCCCGATATGGCACTGTGTCTCTCCCTAAGGTGTGTACTCTCCTGAGAGACGCTTCCTTGGAACTGATGCTAAGGCACATCAGAAGGATCTCAGGGTGGAAAGGCTCCTATACAGCCGTCTGAAAACAAAAACAAAACAGAGGGGAGCTCCTATGGTTGAGGGTCAGAAGGAGACCCTACCTTCCTTCTCCTGCTATGAGTCTGACAGGGGGCGTATTCAATACTCTCCCACACCCTCAGTTCTCATGCCCCAGAGACCCCAAACATGTTTTCATTATCTCTCTTCATTATGTCTTCTGGATCTCTCTTCCCCTGTTCCTTCAATGTGCATTGTTGAGTGCCTACTGCATACTCAGTAACACTCCATTTGTCTTCTGCCCATAACCCAGGAGCCCAGAGTCCTAGTTACTGGTCTCTTTTGCGTCACCTATTACTGTTTGCTGTAGAGATGTGAGGTCCTACTCTCTTGGCTCAGTTCATTAGGGCTTCTTTCATGCTAAAGCAGGCCCACAGGACTTCCTGACCAGAAAACAAATTCTTGAGCTGGAACAGGTTTCTAACCCGATCCCTGCTTCAAAGGGTGGGTCCCTTCCACTCTGACAACCATGATCTCCTCATCCCATTCTACTTCCTGCTGCAACCCAGCCAAGCACCCTGCCTAGTGTGGTCATGTCATTCTCCTTTCTCACCTTCCTCTTGACCCCCGCTCTATTCCGTCCCAGGCTTGGTATCGTTCTCTCACCTGCCTGTAGTTGGCAGACTGTCAGGTCAACTGCCCCACCCCTCCTCAGACCATATGAAGCTATAAAGGCCCCTGCAGCTCTTTCACAACAGAGAAAGAGGCAACTACATTGCCTGGAGGAAGCCTAAGGAACCCAGGCATCCAGCTGCCCACGCCTGAGTCCAAGATTCTTCCCAGGAACACAAACGTAGGAGACCCACGCTCCTGGAAGCACCAGCCTTTATCTCTTCACCTTCAAGTCCCCTTTCTCAAGAATCCTCTGTTCTTTGCCCTCTAAAGTCTTGGTACATCTAGGACCCAGGCATCTTGCTTTCCAGCCACAAAGAGACAGATGAAGATGCAGAAAGGAAATGTTCTCCTTATGTTTGGTCTACTATTGCATTTAGAAGCTGGTGAGTGATTTTATTTAAAATCGGGTGGTCTGAGAACCTTTGAGGAGTTGGGAGAGAAATGTGACCACTACTGGGGCCAGCTCTGCTTCTCTTCCATAGAGTGAGGATCATCATTTTACTCGAATCACTTCAGCCTAACAAGGTATGTCATGCAGGAAGCAGTCAGACACAGTGGTTAAAATTGGGCTCTGGTCTCACATTGCCTACATTTGAATTATGGCTCCATCTATTAACTGTGTACTTTAGGTCAGTTGCTTCTCTGCGCCTCGATTTCTGCATCTGTAAAATGGTAACAACCTGTGTAATATGGTTGGGGTTTTAAATATTAAGAACAAGAAGAGTCGGCTGCTTTTAAAATGTCACTCTTCTGGCGGGGTGCGGTGGCTCATGCCTTTAATCCCAGCACTTCGGGAGGGTGAGGCAGGCAGGTCATTGAGGTCAGAAGTTCAAGACCAGCCTAGCTAATGTGGCAAAACCCTGTCTCTACTAAAAATACAAAAATTAGCTGAGTGTGTTGGCTTGTCCCTGTACTCCCAGCTACTCAGGAGGCTGAGGCAGGAAAATCGCTTGAACCCGGGAGGCGGAGGTTGCAGTGAGCCAAGATGGTGCCACTGCACTCCAGCCTGGGTGACGGAGTGAGACTCTGTCTCAAAAAAATAAAATAATAAAATAAGGCCAGGCTCAGTGGCTCACGCCTGTAATCTCAGCACTTTGGGAGGCCAAGGCGGGTGGATGTCTTGAGGCCAGGAGTTTCAGACCAGCCTGGCCAACATGGTGAAACTCCATCTCTACTAAAAGTACAAAAATTAGCCTGGCGGGGTGGCTTATGCCTGTAATCCTAGCTACTCAGGAGGCTGAGGCAGGAGAATCGCTTGAACCTGGGAGGCGGATGTTGCAGTGAGCTGAGATTGCTCCACTATACTCCAGCCTGGGCGGCAGAGCAAGACTCCGTCTCAAAAACAAATAAATAAATAAGCAATAAAATAAAATAAAATAAAATAAAATAAAATAAAATAAAATAAAATAAAATAAAATAAAATACCACTCTTCTATATTCTACAAACTCAATTTCTCTCCTACCCCTACACCTAATTCCACGTCAGCTTCCCACGTACAGGCTGGGGAGGTTGAATGTCTTCATCCTTCTGGGAAATCAAGGGCAAAAATTTGACATAACCTTAACTCCAGCCAAGCCTCCAAGAAGTTAAAAGCCTTCCCTCTACCTTTAGACGTTGGTTTACAGCCCTTATTCCTGGGAGCTCTTATGTATTTGAGCTACATATAACTCGTTCTTCTCTAGCCTTGGCCATAGTGATCAAGGGCCCCTGGAACTTGAATGCATATAGTCACCTGGCTTCTTGTTGTACATGCAGACTCCTGGGCCCCATCTCAAATTCTAATTCATTTAGTCTGGAATGATTTGCTTAAGAATATTTTCAACATGCTCCCTTAAGTAATTCTGATATAAGTGTGTTCTGAATATTATTCTGAGAAATATTTTCCAAGAAGGAAGCAATACTACTTAAGAAAAAAATTGATCAGTATATACTAGTTTCACCTAGTCCTATAATTCTTTTATAATACTTTATATCTGTATTGTATCTTGCATAGCAGAATGTGGAAAAAGGTTAGCTACCAGTGAAACTAGATGATGTAACTCTGGCATTGTGGGTGGGTGGTTGACTTAGCTTAGTCTCCACAAGTGCAGATTTAGTAGCCTGGGTTCAGTTTCCTGTTCCACCACTCACTAGCTGTGTAAACTTGGGCCAGTGTCAACTTTTTTTTATTTTTTATTTTTGAGACGGAGTTTTGCTCTTGGAACCCAGGCTGGAGTGCAATGGCTCGATCTCGACTCACCGCAACCTCTGCCTCCCGGGTTCAAGTGATTCTCCTGCCTCAGCCTCCCGAGTAGCTGGAATTAATGCCCGGCTAATTTTGTATTTTTAGTAGAGATGGGGTTTCTCCATGTTGGTCAGGCTGGTCTCGAACTCCGAACCTCAGGTGATCCGCCCACCTTGGCCTCCCAAAGTGCTGGGATTACAGGCGTGAGCCACCGTGCCCAGCCCAGTATCAACATTTTGAAGCCTCAATTTCTTCATCTCAGCTGGTGATAATAATAGCATCTATGTTATAGCACCATAGTGAGCATTAAATAAAATTATGTAATGAATTTAGCCAAGCAATAAGCAGAAAGTATATATACACAATATATATTTGTCATTATATGATTTCTTCAGCAACAAATTCCAATGAGACTAGCACCTCTGCCAACACTGGATCCAGTGTGATCTCCAGTGGAGCCAGCACAGCCACCAACTCTGGGTCCAGTGTGACCTCCAGTGGGGTCAGCACAGCCACCATCTCAGGGTCCAGCGTGACCTCCAATGGGGTCAGCATAGTCACCAACTCTGAGTTCCATACAACCTCCAGTGGGATCAGCACAGCCACCAACTCTGAGTTCAGCACAGCGTCCAGTGGGATCAGCATAGCCACCAACTCTGAGTCCAGCACAACCTCCAGTGGGGCCAGCACAGCCACCAACTCTGAGTCCAGCACACCCTCCAGTGGGGCCAGCACAGTCACCAACTCTGGGTCCAGTGTGACCTCCAGTGGAGCCAGCACTGCCACCAACTCTGAGTCCAGCACAGTGTCCAGTAGGGCCAGCACTGCCACCAACTCTGAGTCTAGCACACTCTCCAGTGGGGCCAGCACAGCCACCAACTCTGACTCCAGCACAACCTCCAGTGGGGCTAGCACAGCCACCAACTCTGAGTCCAGCACAACCTCCAGTGGGGCCAGCACAGCCACCAACTCTGAGTCCAGCACAGTGTCCAGTAGGGCCAGCACTGCCACCAACTCTGAGTCCAGCACAACCTCCAGTGGGGCCAGCACAGCCACCAACTCTGAGTCCAGAACGACCTCCAATGGGGCTGGCACAGCCACCAACTCTGAGTCCAGCACGACCTCCAGTGGGGCCAGCACAGCCACCAACTCTGACTCCAGCACAGTGTCCAGTGGGGCCAGCACTGCCACCAACTCTGAGTCCAGCACGACCTCCAGTGGGGCTAGCACAGCCACCAACTCTGACTCCAGCACAACCTCCAGTGGGGCCGGCACAGCCACCAACTCTGAGTCCAGCACGACCTCCAGTGGGGCCAGCACAGCCACCAACTCTGAGTCCAGCACGACCTCCAGTGGGGCTAGCACAGCCACCAACTCTGACTCCAGCACAACCTCCAGTGGGGCCGGCACAGCCACCAACTCTGAGTCCAGCACAGTGTCCAGTGGGATCAGCACAGTCACCAATTCTGAGTCCAGCACACCCTCCAGTGGGGCCAACACAGCCACCAACTCTGAGTCCAGTACGACCTCCAGTGGGGCCAACACAGCCACCAACTCTGAGTCCAGCACAGTGTCCAGTGGGGCCAGCACTGCCACCAACTCTGAGTCCAGCACAACCTCCAGTGGGGTCAGCACAGCCACCAACTCTGAGTCCAGCACAACCTCCAGTGGGGCTAGCACAGCCACCAACTCTGACTCCAGCACAACCTCCAGTGAGGCCAGCACAGCCACCAACTCTGAGTCTAGCACAGTGTCCAGTGGGATCAGCACAGTCACCAATTCTGAGTCCAGCACAACCTCCAGTGGGGCCAACACAGCCACCAACTCTGGGTCCAGTGTGACCTCTGCAGGCTCTGGAACAGCAGCTCTGACTGGAATGCACACAACTTCCCATAGTGCATCTACTGCAGTGAGTGAGGCAAAGCCTGGTGGGTCCCTGGTGCCGTGGGAAATCTTCCTCATCACCCTGGTCTCGGTTGTGGCGGCCGTGGGGCTCTTTGCTGGGCTCTTCTTCTGTGTGGTGAGTGCCTAATATGTAAGAAAATGCCTGGGGGAAGGAGCAGCAGAAACACAAGGAAATGGGTGTGAATAGAAGGGGTCTCAAGTCAGGGGTGGGTAGGGAGGAAGGGAGATCAGGAAAGAGTAACACAGAGACATGGTAGGTCAATGCAGAGGAAGCTGCTGACCTGCGGGAAAAGGGGGCCACAGAAAGGACTGGAGAAAGGAGAACTAGGTAAAGAGTATGGTTGGAAGTGGGAGAAGATTCCAGAAGGCGTACGTGGTAAAGGCGTGGGAGACAGGGATGCAATTCTGAAACTATTGACTCTTCTTTTTTTAGAGAAACAGCCTGTCCCTGAGAAACACCTTTAACACAGCTGTCTACCACCCTCATGGCCTCAACCATGGCCTTGGTCCAGGCCCTGGAGGGAATCATGGAGCCCCCCACAGGCCCAGGTGGAGTCCTAACTGGTTCTGGAGGAGACCAGTATCATCGATAGCCATGGAGATGAGCGGGAGGAACAGCGGGCCCTGAGCAGCCCCGGAAGCAAGTGCCGCATTCTTCAGGAAGGAAGAGACCTGGGCACCCAAGACCTGGTTTCCTTTCATTCATCCCAGGAGACCCCTCCCAGCTTTGTTTGAGATCCTGAAAATCTTGAAGAAGGTATTCCTCACCTTTCTTGCCTTTACCAGACACTGGAAAGAGAATACTATATTGCTCATTTAGCTAAGAAATAAATACATCTCATCTAACACACACGACAAAGAGAAGCTGTGCTTGCCCCGGGGTGGGTATCTAGCTCTGAGATGAACTCAGTTATAGGAGAAAACCTCCATGCTGGACTCCATCTGGCATTCAAAATCTCCACAGTAAAATCCAAAGACCTCATTCTTATCTGTGTGTCTGCATTTTCTAATCCTTTTTGCCCCAGGCAAGGTCCCTGTATCTCTGAGACACCCCGATTGGCTGGAGAATTGACTTGGGAGAGATAAGGAGGGAGGGCGGGTGCCAGCATGCTATGGGCTCCTGCGTGAGGCCTGTGGTACACAGAGATTAGGTTGTGATACATGAAGAGCCAAGAGCAGGATGAGGTGGAGGCGTTACAACTACCTGCTCTGTGTGTGGGGGGGGAGTGGGGAGGGGGGTACGCATATTCACTTGAAGTCGAGGTTCCCAGGGCATTTCCATGTGCTCCAGGCCTGACTACCCATCAGGGTGGAGGAGCTGGTGACACTCATCTCCCTGAGTGCTCCCTGGTTTCCCAAGGGAAAGACTTTCTGGCCTGCTGAGGTCGAATCTTCCAAGAGGCTCTTGCAAAGACCCGAGATTCTCATAAATCCCTGCCCAGAAGAGCTGCACGTATCCCTTTCATGAGTCCAGGGAAGAGGGTCCTCCAGGTCTTGGAAGACAGAGGGGAGCTGCTTTAGAGGCTAAGTTGCTTTGAGCCCACAAGGTAATGGAGGGCTCCTACTTGGGACAGAGCCCTCAGCAGAGAATTAGCAGTCTGTTGGTGGGTTCACCCCAACTCACAGCAGTAGAAACTGCTCCATCTTCCACCACTTATTGGGTTTCTCCAGTGTCAGCAAACCAAAGAATTGGATCTTACCAATGCGGCTATAGGAAAACAGCCTGTTGCATGGTAAGAGTGATACCATCTTGAAGTGAAACCACCACAATGGCCATTTTTTTTTTAGATGGAGTTTTGCAGTGGTGCAATCATAGCTCATTGCAGCCTTCAATTCCTGGGCTCAGGCAATCCTCCTGCCTCAGCCTCCTGAGTAGCTGGGACTACAGTTTCGTGTGCCACCATGCCTGGCTAATTTTTAGAATTTTTTGTAGGGACAGGGCCTCACTCTGTTGCACAAGCTGGTCTTGAACTCCTGGCCTCCTTGAACTCCTCCTGCCTTCGCCTCCCAAAGTGCTGAGATTACAGGTGTGAGCCACTGCACCTCGCCAGATGTCCAATGTCTGACTCCTGCATACCAAGGTGTTCTGTATCAAGGGCTTTAAAACAATGCCTGTAGCGTAATTAACCTCTCACAAAGATGCTTATCTAACCTCCCCAGCAGTCATGGGTTTCAGCAAGAAAGTCTGTGATGTGACCAGTTGCACATGTTTTCCCCTAAAAGCTTACTCTAGAAAGGATATTTTTTGGAGAGGGAGTGTGGGAATCCACCATCTTGTGGCCACCTCAGACATCACTTCTCTTTGGAAGACTCCATTAAATATTTCTCTGTGAGAAACTGGATTTGTCAGTCTCTTTCTTTGATCTCTTTTCCCCTCAAAATTTAGGGGTAGGTTTGTGTAGACCTGTTCATGGTAGAACATTTGGTGATCCCCCAGCCAGTAGCTGGGAGAACAAGGAATGGGTAAGGAGAATGAAGCATCTGTAAGGAAACCCCAGGGCGGCAGCCACGTCTGTGTAGGGTTGGATGGCACAACTGTTCGATACCTGTGTACCTCTGTGTGAGTGCAGGGATGCCTTGAAAATGCCAGGTGGCCTAGAGCAGTTATTAACTGAAAGCCGCATAGTGCACTGGGGTACGGAAGGTCGGCCAATAGCCACTGCAGAGGGTTGGGTGCTTCTTTTGGCAATGAAGATCCGGCTAGCAGCAGAAGCCAAAATTAAATGTCTAGAGAAGGAATTGCAACTAGAAAAAGACGTGTACCTCTCCATGTCTCTCCTCACATCCAACTTAGCAAACAAAATTGAAGACCAAGAGACAAAAATTGAAATGTTAGCATGTAGATTTGTCCACCTAGGGCGAAAGATATGGAAATGACCAAAAATCAGAGCTCTCATGAGAAAGCCCAACTGGGATGTGAAAACTTGGAATCCCTGGGATTGTTATGAAGAGGAAGACTGATGACATAGAAGTCACAGGTGTGGAGGGGGATGGGGATCATTGGCAAGCTCGCTGTCTCATGCAAAGGAAAGTGAAACCTAACATTGGCAGCAAAACGGGGGTCAGCTGATACAGGAGACTCTCACTGTCAGGGAACCTACCGCTGCAGAACTCTTAGAGATTGCAAAGGCCTTTAAACAACTACCGAGGGAATCCCTGGCTGCTTGGATGGTCTGATTGTGGGACACAGGGGCTGATGATATTTCCTTAACAGGAGAAGCAGAAAAAATGAGTAACATCACCACCCATGCAGCCCTGCAGAAGCATCTTTGCTAAGGCAAGGCAGACGCAAGGGAATCATAGCTTATGGACTGGCTCATTCTAGCTATGAGGGAGGCTTGACCTAATGAGGGAAATTTACCGGGAAGGATGACCTCCTGGCAGTCAACAGAAAAGGCCCAAGGGCTTCTCCAAGAATTAGGAATGAGTCAAGTCATCTATGTTTGGGTTCTCACAGGACTTAAAACAGTTTTTTCCTGCAGGGATGAAAAATAAATTGCTGAAGGGTGCACCAGGAGAATGGCACAACCCTTGGCTCATGTTATTGAGTCCTATAAATGGGACAAGAAGTATATGATGTGGGAAGGCCAGGCACAGGGGCTCACACCTGTAATTCCAGCAATTTGAGAGGCCGAGGCAGGCGAATTACTTGAGATCGGGAGTTCGAGACAAGCCTGGACAATATGGTGAAACCCCATCTCTACTAAAAATACAAAAATTAGCTAGGTGGTGTGCCTGTAACCCCAGCTACTTGGGAGGCTGAGGTAGGAGAATTGCTTGAACTCAGGAGGCAGAAGTTGCAGTCAGCTGAGATTGGGGCACTGCACTCCAGCCTGGGCAACAGAGTGAGACCCCGTCTCAAAAAAAAAAAAAGGGCTGGGCACGGTGGCTCATGCCTGTAATCCCAGCACTTTGGGAGGCCGAAGTGGATGGATCACCTGAGGTCAGGAGTTCAAGACCAGCCTGGTCAACATGGTGAAATTCCTTCTCTACTAAAAATACAAAATTAGCCGGGCATGGTGACAGGCGCCTGTAATCCCAGCTACTTGGGAGGCTGAGGCAGGAGAATAGCTTGAACGTGGGAGGCGGAGGTTGCAGTGAGCCGAGATCGTGCCATTGCACTCCAGCCTGAGCAACAACAGCGAAACTTCGTCTTAAAAAAAAAAAAAAAAAAAGATGTATATGACGTAGGAGAAGCCATCACAGATTTGGGAGCTACTGAGAAAGCTAGGGACGGGGTGTGCTTTGTAACCCGGCAAGGGCTGACAAAGGGGAAAGATAATGCTCCACAGGAAGAAGGGGGAAAATAAGGGAAAGCGACCAACTAGAGTCAAGAACAGGCAAATGTGGCATGACTTATTGGGAGCAGAAAAATTCTGAGAAAAAAATATGTAAAAAATGTTAAAATATGGAAAATATGAAAAATGCTGTGTTAGTAGCCTTATGGAGGGAAGTACAGACTGAAGGGCTGTTTTGTCCCTTCATTTCTGCCCCTCTAGCAGAAGAGGAAGATGACTCAACCCCTCATTCTAATACTCCAGCCTATCAGAGGGGGATTCCATGCTGGGCCCAAGATTAGCAGTGGGACCAAGGTCAACCCCACGTTGCAGGTGACCAGAGGCCCCATATTGAGCTCACCATTTACTGTTCCTCTCAAAAAAATAAGGAGAAGACTATTTCCTTAGTAGATACTAGGGCAGAATATACTTTAATTCATGGAAATCCATAAATACACCCTGGTCAATGGTCTGCCATCACTGGTTATGGGGACAAACGATCTGGATGAGAAGGACTTTAATACATCTAGGTATTGGGGAAGCTCCCCTGCCCCATATGTGGTGTTTATTTTTCTTATTCCAGAAAACATTTTAGGCACAGGTATTCTGTTAGGAAAGACTTAGCAAACTTCAGCGGAAAAATTCAGATCGAAGGTGCATGTAGTGAAGACTGTTTTTTTTTTTTTTTTTTTCTTTTTCTTCTTTCTTTTTATTTATTTATTTATTTATTTATTTATTTATTTATTTATTTTTTATTGATCATTCTTGGGTGTTTCTCGCAGAGGGGGATTTGGCAGGGTCATAGGACAATAATGGAGGGAAGGTCAGCAGATAAACAAGTGAACAAAGGTCTCTGGTTTTCCTAGGCAGAGGACCCTGAGGCCTTCCGCAGTGTTTGTGTCCCTGGGTACTTGAGATTAGGGAGTGGTGATGACTCTTAACGAGCATGCTGCCTTCAAGCATCTGTTTAACAAAGCACATCTTGCACCGCCCTTAATCCATTTAACCCTGAGTGGACACAGCACATGTTTCAGAGAGCACAGGGTTGGGGGTAAGGTCACAGATCAACAGGATCCCAAGGCAGAAGAATTTTTCTTAGTACAGAACAAAATGAAAAGTCTCCCATGTATACTTCTTTCTACACAGACACAGCAACCATCCGATCTCTCAATCTTTTCCCCACCTTTCCCCCCTTTCTATTCCACAAAACCGCCATCGTCATCATGGCCCATTCTCAATGAGCTGTTGGGTACACCTCCCAGACGGGGTGGTGGCCTGGCAGAGGGGCTCCTCACTTCCCAGTAGTGGCGGCCGGTCAGAGGCGCCCCTCACCTCCCGGACGGGGCAGCTGGCCGGGCGGGGGGCTGACCCCCCCACCTCCCTCCCGGACGGGTTGGCTGCCGGGCGGAGGGGCTCCTCACTTCTCAGACGGGGCGGCTGCCGGGCGGAGGGGCTCCTCACTTCTCAGACGGGGCGGTTGCCAGGCAGAGGGTCTCCTCACTTCTCAGACGGGGCGGCCGGGCAGAGACGCTCCTCACCTCCCAGACGGGGTCGCGGCCGGGCAGAGGCGCTCCTCACATCCCAGACGGGGCGGCGGGGCAGAGGCGGTCCCCACATCTCAGACGATGGGCGGCCGGGCAGAGACGCTCTTCACTTCCTAGATGTGATGGCGGCCGGGAAGAGGTGTTCCTCACTTCCTAGATGGGATGGCGGCCGGGCTGAGACGCTCCTCACTTTCCAGACTGGGCAGCCAGGCAGAGGGGCTCCTCACATCCCAGACGATGGGCGGCCAGGCAGAGACGCTCCTCACTTCCCAGACGGGGTGGCGGCCGGGCAGAGGCTGCAATCTCGGCATTTTGGGAGGCCAAGGCAGGCGGCTGGGAGGTGGAGGTTGTAGCGAGCCGAGATCACGCCACTGCACTCCAGCCTGGGCACCATTGAGCACTGAGTGAACGAGACTCCCGTCTGCAATCCCGGCACCTCGGGAGGCCGAGGCTGGCGGATCACTCGCGGTTAGGAGCTGGAGACTGGCCCGGCCAACACAGCGAAACCCCGTCTCCACCAAAAAAAATACGAAAACCAGTCAGGCGTGGCGGCGCGTGCCTGCAATCGCAGGCACTCCGTGAAGACTGTTCTTGAGAGAGGAAGAAAATGGGAGCCCCTACAACTTCCTGCCCCTACATGGCGTTGTCAACATTAAATGATTCATATTGTCCAGGGGGTATGCTGAAATAAGTGCAATTATTATCCTCCCAATAAGTGCAACTATTATCCATCCAGCACAAAGCCCATGAAAGAGTCTTGTCTTTTTTCGCATTCCCGTCTTTTCTTCTAGTTTTGTTATCTTGTTGGCATTATGTCAGCCGCTGAAGCTTTTACTGTGCTGCAGCCATGGCTTTTCTTTTTTTAACTTTTATTTTAAGTTCGGGGGTTCATATGCAGGTTTGTTACATAAGTAAATGTGTGTCATGGGGGTTTTTTTGTACAGGTTATTTCGTCACCCAGCTATTAAGCCTAGTACCCATTAGTTATTTTTCCTGATCCTCTCCCTCCTCCCACCCTCCACCCTCTGATAGGCCCCAGTGGGTGTTGTTCCCCTCTATGTGTCCAGGTGCTCTCATCATTTAGCTTCTACTTATAAGCGAGAACATGCGGTATTTGGTTTTCTGTTCCTGCATTAGTTTGCTAAGAATAATGGCCTCCAGCTCCATCCATGTCCCTGCAAAGGACATGATCTTGTTCTTTTTGTATGACTGCATAGTAGTCCATGATGTATATATACCACATTTTCTTTATCCAGTCTATCGCTGATGGGCATTTAGGTTGATTCCATGTCTTTGCTATTGTGAATACCACTGCAATGAACACATGCATGCATTTTTTTTTTTTTTTGAGATGGAGTTTTGCTCTTGTTGCCGAGGCTAGAGTGCAATGGTGCGATCTCAGCTCACTGCAACCTCTGCCTCCCGGGATCAAGCGATTCTCCTGCCTCAGCCACCCCAGTAGCTGGGATTACAGGCATGTGGCGCCACGCCCATATAATCTTGTATTTTTAGTAGAGACAGGGGTTTCTCCATATTGGTCAGCCTGGTCTCGAACTCCTGACCTCAGGTGATCCACCTGCCTCAGCCTCCCAAAGTGATGGGATTACAGGCATGAGCCACCGTGCCTGGCCACGTCCATGTGCTTTTATAACAGAATGATTTATATTCCTTTGGGTATATACCCAGTAATGGGATTGCTGGATCAGATGGTATCTGTCTTTAAGTCTTTGAAGAATCACCACAGTGTCTTCCACAATGACTGAACTAATTTATACTCCCACCAACAGTGTATAAGCATTCTTTTTTCTCCACAACCTCGCCAGCATCTTTTATTTTTTGACTTTTTAATAATAGCTGTTCTGACTGGCGTGAGATGATATCTTATTGTGGGTTTTTGTTTGTTTGTTTTGAGATGGAGTTTTGCTCTTATTGCCCAGGCTGGAGTGCAATGGCACGATATCATTGTGGTTTTGATATGCGTTTCTCTAATAATCAATGATGTTTAGCTTTTTAAAATATGTTTGTTGGCCACATGTATGTCTTCTTTTGGGAAGTGTCTGTTCATGTCCTTTGTCCACTTTTTGATGGAATTGTTTGCTTTTTTAAAATAAATTTGTTTAAGTTCCTTATAGATGCTGAATATGAGCCCTTTGTCAGATGCATAGTTTGCAAAAATTTTCTCCCATTCTGTAGGTTGTCTGTTTACTCTGTTGATAGTTTCTTTTGCTGTGCAGAAGCTCTTTCGTTTAGTTAAATCCCATTTTCAATTTTTCCTTTTGTTGCAATTGCTTTCAGAATCTTCGTCATGAAATTTTTGCCCATGCCTATGTCCTGAATGGTATTACCTAGGTTGTCTTCCAGGGTTTTATAGTTTTGGGTTTTACATTTAAGTCTTTAATCCATCGTGAGTTAATTTTTGTGTAAGGTGTAAAGAAGGGGTCCAGTTTGAATTGTTTGCATATGGCTAGCCTGTTATCCCAGCACCGTTTATTGAACAGGGAATTCTTTCCCCATTGTTTGCTTTCGTCAGGTTTGTTGAAGATCAGATAGTCGTGGGTGCGTGGTCTTATTTCTGTGTTTTCTATTCTGTTCCACTGGTGTATGTGTCTGTTCTTGTACCAGTACCATGTTGTTTTGGTTTGCAGTAATGTCTTATGGTATTGGGTGCTCATCTATGGAATGGAGATGGGCCATCAATCCTCAGAAGATGCAAGGCCCAGAGCCCACAGTGAAGATTTTTTGTTTGTTTGTTTTGTTTTGTTTTGAGGCGGAGTCTCGCTCTGTCACCCAGGCTGGATTGCAATGGTGCGACCTTGTCTCACTGCCACCTCCGCCTCCTGGGTTCAAGCGATTCTCCTGCCTCAGCCTCCCGAGTAACTGGGACTACAGGCACCTGCCACCATGCCCAGCTAACTTTTGTATTTTTAGTAGAGATGGGGTTTCACCATATTGGCCAGGCTGGTCTCGAACTCCTGACCTTGTGATCCGCCCACCTTGGCCTCCCAAAGTGTTAGGATTACAGGTGTGAGCCATTGCACCCGGCCCACAGTGAAGTTTTTAGGGGTTACATGGTTGGGTAACACTCCTTTGATACTGGGTGCAATAATTGACAAAGCCCAACAATGTCAACTCCAGAAACAGTCAAAGAAATCCAAACATTTGTGGGTCTTTTGGGTTATTGGAGAGTACGCATCCCATACTTAGCACAGTTTTTGAGATCCCTATACAGACTTATCAGAGAAAGGGCACATTGGGCCTGGGACACACCACAGCAGGAAGCTTTGAACAGGCTGAAGTGTTGGTACAGCAGGCACAGGCCTTAGGCACCCCTTTGGAGGGTACAGCTAGGACTTTGGATGTTACTGCTGCTCCTGAGGATATGAGTGGGGCCTTATGGCAACCGCAGTCTAGGGAATCAGTCCTTTTAAGAAAGGAGCCAAAACCAGATACTCTCCTGTTGAACAAGAAGTGCTAGTAGTAGAGAATGCTTTACAGCAGGTGGAATTGCTAACAAAGACCCTTCCCATGACTGTGAGAATAGGTCTACCAATCAAGGGATGGTTAGAAGGATTTTTAAACAACCCACCTCCGCTGTAGCCCCAACACCTACCTTGAATAAATGGCATGATTATTTGCAACAAGGAAGAATGCTAGCAATGAGTCCCTTAAGCCCAGAATTACATACTGCATTAGGCTCTGTTATGACGTGAACAAACAAAGGATACCACCTGACCCTCTCCAACTCCAGCACCTGACATGGTAAGCATCCAGATGATGCTTGGTGTACAGAGGACTCCAGCAGGGGAAACCGCTGTTCTTGGACCGCTGTTGCTACACAGCCACAAACTGATACAATCTGGTTTGATACAGGTGGGCATCAGAGGAGCCACTGGGATGAGTTGCAAGCAGCCTGGTTAATAGTCACATATGAGCCTGGCCCCTGGTTCTTTGCACTGATAGCTGAGCTGTATTCAAAGGCCTAATTATGTGGCTGGCTCAACAGGAACTAGAAAAGTGGATGATTATGCACAAACCTATATGGGGCATGAACATGTGGCAAGACATACGGAAAAAGCCGCAAAGCCTTGTGGCTGATTTAACTGTATTTCAGGTGACTGCACATAAAAACCACTCAGTTCCACAAAACATGGAAGCTAAAACCCTAAAAAAAATTAGAAGCATCATGCCAGCTCAGGCCTCTGAACTATTGACCTGGGTACATAACAAAAGTGGTCACAGAAGTGCAAGAGTAGGCTGGGAGACAGTCAAGGAAGCAGGATTACTCTTAAAATGTAGTGACCAGGCTGGGCACGGTGGCTCATGCCTGTAATCCCAGCACTTTGGGAGGCCGAGGCGGGCAAATCACCTGAGGTTGGGAGTTCGAGACCAGCTTGACCAACATGGAGAAACCTGTCTCTACTAAAAATACAAAATTAGCTGGGCGTGGTGGCATGCACCTGTAATCCCAGCTACTCAGGAGGCTGAGGCAGGAGAACTGCTTGAACCCGGGAGGTGGAGGTTGTAGTGAGCCGAGATCACGCCATTGCACTCCAGCCAGGGCAATAAGAGCAAAACTCCGTCTCAAAAAAAAAAAAAAAAATATATATATATATATATATATAGTGACCTAGTCCTGGTACAGTGGCTCACACATGGGGAGGCCATGGTGGGACGATTGCTTGGGGCCAGGAGTTTGAGTCCAGCCTGGGCAACATATCGAGATCCCATCTCCACAACAACAACAAAAAATATATAGTGCCTTCCCAACAGCTCTTACAAATTGTTTACCATGTTCTCTATTGTAGATCATATTGAGCAGGACACATTCAGATATTCAGAAGGCTGTCCACCATGTAACAGATTGGCAAGTGGATTATTTAGATACTGTCCCTGTAAGCCAAGGAAATAAATACATGTTAACCTGCATGGACACCGCTACTGGACTGCTGCAAGATTCTCCCTATAAGCAAGCTAATCAAGCCAGTACTATTAAAGGCTTAGAGGCTCTCAGTGCTATGTATGGATATATCTGGCACATTGACAGTGACCGAGGGACCCATTTCGCTGGATATGACGTGCAGGACTGGGCCAGGAAACGTGATACACTATGGCACTTTTATCTCCCATAGAACCTCCAAGCAGCAGGGTTAATTGAAAGAAATACCAGTCTGTTGAAAGCACAAATTCAAACTCTAATTTGGGAAACCTACCTTGCATAGGCAGATGAATGTGTTATCTCCAACCTTCATTTCTTTAAATTCAGCCAAAGCAGGGACGCCTGCCCCATGTGACCGTCTAGGACAACGGTCCCCCAAGCCTACCACTGTTCCCATAGGGGTAATTGAGACGACTGCTTTGCTTGCTCCCAGACCTCATTGACAACCAGTGTCTTTTGCACATGAAGATGCCAGCAGATATACTACCGAGGAGGAAACACACCGAGCTTGGAACGACAAATAGCCCCAGGCTGGATAGGCTATTTCCTGCTAGAGAGTGACAACACCCTAAATAAAGAACAAAACAACCTGATACCCAAAAACAGGCTGGGTTTATTTGGTTAATTCCGTCTTTTGGCCATGTTAGTCAACTTGCTCCTCAGTCTTGGGAACAAATGAATCATTCTAAAGATACTTGGCCAAATTGCACAAGGGATATGTGATGGATAGCAAGAGACTGATTTTTATATACTATGCTATAATATAATAAAATACTCATTGGGCATGTTACAGAACGGACACTGTGTGCAGGAATCTTTTGGTTGGCCCCAAATGGAACTTCCTGGATATGTGGTACCAATTTATGGCCTTGGTTACCCCCTGCATGTTTAGGAAGATGTTCTTTGGATTATACACGGGCACAGACTGAATAGTTCACACACTACAAAGCCTATCAATCTCCCTCATTTGAAATCCCACTGGTTCTGATCTGTTTTTTATTGGTATGATTGTTTGGCCTCCATTTGTCTTCCTCATCCGGTTATTGAAGATATTATCTGACATATAGAAACTCTATAAAGCCTGTAATCCCTGCACTTTGGGAGGCCAAGGCAAGTGGATCAGTTGAGGTCGGGAGCTCGAGATCAGCCTGGCCAACACGGTGTAACCCCATCTCCACAAAAAATAACAAAATTAGCTGGGCGTGGTGGCGCATGCCTGTAATCCCAGTTACTTGGGAGGCTGAGGCAGGAAAATTGCTTGAACCTGGGAGGTGGAGGTTACAGTGAGCCAAGACCGTGCTACTGCACTCCTGCCCAGGTGATAGAGCGAGACTCTGACTCAAAAAATTAAAAAAAGAAACTCTACAAAAAATAAAAAAAAGAAAACTTTAAATGATAGCTGCATGGGAATCTCTCTTTTAAACATGGAAGTCACTGTCATGAGAAAGTCTGTCCTCCCAAATTACCAGGCTTTACATATACTCACGCTGCACAACGGGGCACTTGTGCAATTGGAAAAACTGCTGTGTTTATATTCCTGATGAATCAGTTAATATCGCTAAATTAATGACTGATATAAAAGCCCACATAACCAAGCTCTCAGACCCCTACTTTGAATAATTGGCTTCACAGCTGGTTTGGGTCCTGGGGCACCTGGTGGCATAAGCTGCTTCTTGGTTTAGGTGCTGTACTCGTACGTTCCTTACTGTCTTGTTTGAGCCTTTACTGCTGCTGTGTTATCTGCCTCCAGTGGAGCCAACGCACTGCTGCTAAAGCTATGCACTATCAAGGGTCCTCCCTTTAGGCCCAGGGACTATCATGGAAGAGATGAGCACGTGAAATTGTCAGGGCCAGTTTTGAGAGGTGGAGTGTAGGAATACAGCCTGTTGCACGGCAACAGGGACGCCATTTTGAAGCAAAGCTGCCATTGAGAGGTGACAGGGTGCTGGAAGTCCGCACAGCCCTCGCTCGCTCTCAGCGCCTCCTCTGCCTGGGCTCCCACTTTGGCGGCACTTGAGGAGCCCTTCAGCCCACCGCTGCACTGTGGAAGCCCCTTTCTGGGCTGGCCAAGGCCGGAGCCCACTCCCTCAGCTTGCAGGGAGGTGTGGAGGGAGAGGTGCGAGCGGGAACCGGGGCTGCACGCGGCGCTTGCGGGCCAGCTGGAGTTCCGGGTGGGCGTGGGCTTGGCTGGCCCTGCCGGTCCTGGGCAATGAAGGGCTTAGCACCTGGGCCAGCAGCTGCGGACGGTGTACTGGGTCCCCCAGCAGTGCCAGCCCGCCGGCGCTGCACTCGATTTCTCACCAGGCCTTAGCTGCCTTCCCATGGGGCAGGGCTTGGGACCTGCAGCCTGCCATGCCTGTGCCTCCCACCCCCTCCATGGGCTCCTATGCGGCCCGAGCCTCCCCGACGAGTGCCACCCCCTGCTCCAGGGCGCCCAGTCCCATCGACCACCCAAGGGCTGAGGAGTGCAAGCGCACGGCGCAGGACTGGCAGGCAGCTCCACCTGCAGCCCCAGTGCGGGATCCACTGGGTGAAGCCAGCTGGGCTCCTGAGTCTGGTGGGGATGTGGAGAACCTTTATGTCTAGCTCAGGGATTGTAAATACACCAATCCGCACTCTGTATCTAGCTCAAGGTTTGTAAACACACCAATCAGCACCCTGGGTCTAGCTCAGGGTTCATGAGTGCACCAATCGACACTCTGTATCTAGCTGCTCTGGTGGGGCCTTGAAGAACCTTCGTGTCCACACTCTGTATCTAGCTAATCTGGTGGGGACGTGGAGAACCTTTGTGTCTAGCTCAGGGATTGTAAACGCACCAATCAGCACCCTGTCAAAACAGACCACTTGGCTCTACCAATCAGCAGGATGTGGGTGGGGCCAGATAAGAGAATAAAAGCAGGCTGCCCCAGCCAGCAGTGGTAACCCGCTCTGGTCCCTTTCCTGACTGTGGAAGCTTTGTTCTTTTGTTCTTTGCAATAATCTTGTTACTGCTCACTGTTTGGGTCCATGCTGCTTTTGTGAGCTGTCACACTCATCGTGAAGATCTGCAGCTTCATTCCTGAGCCAGCGAGACCACAAACCCACCAGAAGGAAGAAACTCTGAACACATCGGAACGTCAGAAAGAACAAGCTCCAGACGTACCACCTTAAGTGCTGTAACAGTAACCACGAGGGTCTGCGGCTTCATTCTTGAAGTCAGTCAGACCAAGCAGCCACCAATTCTGGACACATCATGATGACCAGTGGTCCACTTTTGCATAGCAAAGTGCACTGCAGCACAGTCTTCAAACAATGCCTGCTGCATAAATAACCCTTCACAAACATGCTTCTTTAACCTCCCGAGTGGTTATGGGTTTTGGCAAGAAAGTGTGAGATGTGACCAGCTGCATATATTTTACCCTAAGACCTTGCTATAGAAAGGATGTTTTCTGGAGTGTCCATCGTCTTGCAGCTCTCCCAGACGTGGCTTCTGTTGCTTAGTCCTTGTTCAAAATTTCTTTTGGAGAAACTGGATTTGTTAGCCACTTATTTCATTCAGCCTTTATTCCATGAAAGGGTCATACATGTAAAGTGGCTCCCAAACGCTGAAGGAGCCGAGAAACCAAAAACAAGGCAGATAGATCCAGTTTGTCAGTAAATGGTGATTTGCTGGGGAATTTACAGACAGAAGTGTAGTCTTGGGTGGCAGCAAGTCAGGTAGATCTCCACACCTGTTACCCCCAGACCCAGGGCTTACCCCAGAAAGGGTGTATACTTCCTGTAGAGACAATTAAAAGCAACCTTTCAGAACAGGCAGGAATGCTATGTGCGTCGTAGCCTGTAATTTATGCCATAATATCAAGGTTGCTTTGATCTAAAGGCAGGGGCTGGATGTGGTGGCTAATGCCTGTAATCCCAGAGCTTTGGGAGGGAGAGGAGGGAGGATTGCTTGGGGGCAGGAGTTTGAGACCAGTCTGGGAAACAAAACAACACCTCATCTCTACAAAAAAGAAAACCAAAATTAGTTGGGAGTGGTAGCATGTGCCTGTGGTCCCAGCTACTTGGGAGGCTGAGGCAGGAGGATCATTACAGCCCAGGAGTTAGAGGCTGCAGTGGGCTGAGATTGCACCACTGAACTCCAGCCTAGGTGACAGAGCAAGACCCTGTCTCTAAAAACAAAACAACAAACAAAAAACGAAGACAGGATTTACAGTAAGTACATGTCCTTACCAAGAACAGTAAATAAAGTAGGAATGAGGAGGCCCATGTGACTCATGGGACCTGGGTTAATCAGAAGTCAACATGGCAGATTAGCATCCAAGATAGAGTCACTTTGTCTCCACAGCCTCTCAGCTCCCTCAGTCTTTGGGGGAAGGTTTGCATGCCCCTGCTCACTGAGGAACAGAGAGGCCACGCTGAGCCATATGCAGGCAATCATCATCATCTGCTCACTTAAAGGGATCCAGAAACCAGAAGGGAAAGACAAGTTGAACACCCTGAAAAGGTGCCTCCCACTGATAGGAACTGTGGAAACCCTTATGTGGAAAAGCATGAAAAGAAATAAGATCAGGCAAGGGTGTCCAGCTAGATCATTTTTTAAAAAAATAGTAAAACATGTATTTTCAAATTTTAATAGACAAATTGAAAGAGGCTGGCCATTATAGAGAATTATGCTAGTAATCCGGAAGAGCAAGCGCGAAAAATAACTCAAACAGACACAATTATACAGGAATAAAAATCACCCGGCAAATATAATACATTTGGAGGATAGATCCAGGAAGACTAACGTGCAAGTAATAAGGCTCAAAACAGAGAAAAAGAGACGAAATGGAAGAGAAGAATTAGAAGGGAAAAAAGAAGAGCTGGAATAGAGAAAAAAGATTTGAGTCTGTCTATGAAAAGCTTCACCAAGTACAACTCTGTAAATATACTAAAAAACACTGGTTTATTTATTTATTTATTTTAGACGGAGTCTTGCTCTGTCGCCCAGGCTGGAGTGCAGTGGCGTGATCTCAGCTCACTGCAACCTACACCTTCCAGGTTCAAGTGATTCTCCTGCTTCAGCCTCCCGAGTAGCTGGGATTACAGGTGCGTGCCACCACACCCAGCTAATTTGTGTGTGTGTGTGTATTTTTAGTAGAGATGGGGTTTCACAATGTTGGCCAGGCTGGTCTCGAACTCCTGATCTCAGGTGATCCACCCACCTTGGACTCCCAAAGTGCTGGGATTACAGGCATGAGCCACTGCACCCGGCCTAAAACCACTGGTTTATATACTTTATTTTATTCTTATTATTTTTTTAAATTTGAGATGGAATCTCACTCTGTCACCGAGGCTGGAGTGCAGTGGCGCAATCTCGGCTCACTGCAACCTCTGCTTCCTAGGTTTAAGAGATTCTCCTCCCTCAGCCTCCCAAGTAGCTGGGATTATAGGCGAGTGCCACCATGCCTGGCTAATTTTTTTTTTTTTTTTTTTTTTGAGACGGAGTCTCGCTCTGTCGCCCAGGCCGGACTGCCGACTGCAGTGGCGCAATCTCGGCTCACTGCAAGCTCCGCTTCCCGGGTTCACGCCATTCTCCTGCCTCAGCCTCCCGAGTAGCTGGGACTACAGGCGCCCGCCACCGCGCCTGGCTAATTTTTTGTATTTTTAGTAGAGACGGGGTTTCACCTTGTTAGCCAGGATGGTCTCGATCTCCTGACCTCATGATCCACCCGCCTCGGCCTCCCAAAGTGCCTGGCTAATTTTTGTATTTTTAGTAGAGATGGGGTTTCACCACTGTTGGCCAGGCTAGTCTTGAACTCCTAACCTCAGGTGATCCACCCATCTCAGCCTCCCAAAGTGCTGGGATTAGAGGCATGACCCACCTCGCCCAGCCAGGTTTATATACTTTAAACAGGTGAACTATATGGTATGTAAATTATAGCTCAATACAGCTCTTAAATTTTTACCAGGCACATTATGTAAATAAAAATTTTTATTTCCTGGCCGGACATGGTGGCTCACACCTGTGATCCCAGCATTCTGGGAGGCTGAGGCAGGCAGATCACTTGAGGCCAGGAGTTTGAGACCAGCCTGGCCAACATGGCAAAACCCTGTCTCTACTAAAAATACAAAAATTAGCCATGCGCGGTGGTGCGCGCCTGTAGTCCCAGCTACTTGGAAGGCTGAGGCAGGAGAATCACTTCAACCTGGGAGGTGGACGTTGCAGTGAGCTGAGATCATGTCACTGCACTCTAGCCTGGGTGACAGAGTGAGACTCTGTCTCAAATTTAAAAAAATTATTTCCAAAAATAAACAACAAATGACTCAAATGAATGGGCATTTTGAGCTAGAGGAAGGAGAAAAGGGGGGAATCCCTGGTGAGCAATTTACCTTGTGATTGATTCACATAGTTGTGCTGTGAGTATCTCATTACTCCCAGCAACTGGGGTGTGCAGGTAGAGTTTGGAAGCATCATTACCCAGCTTTCGTCATGGAATACACCTACTCCTGTAATGTGACAAAGCCCCAGCCCACCAAGCATGCGTGACCCAAGCAAAATTCCAGGAAGTGGACAGGGTTAAAGGGCTGCCCATCTAGACCTGTGCCTTTGCACTGTGGATTTAGCACAATGATCTTCACATGGCATCTGTGCCCCCACATCTTGGGCGTACATAAAGACTTCCTGAAGAGTATTATGCAGGCGTGGGTTGTTTGATGGGAACCATTTTCCAGATCTTCAACTTCCGTATGTGCTTGTTGCCTAGAACTGATCTGTCTGAGGGCACCTCTGTGGTCAGGGCTACACTTTTCTGACTCTTCTTTGATGAACATCCAACATTTCCTCTGTAGCTCCCATATTATTATTACCACATTTCCGCAGGGTGTAGAACATTTCAGGGTGTCAAATAAAGCCTTTTAGTGAAGGGATACCTCAAAAACCACCTCTAATTTAGGGATCATATACCCAGAGTAGGACTTCCTGTTTTCTCCTGCCTCATATAAATTCCTGTGAAGGGCTACGTGGAGTGTAAGGAACTGGTAATTTTGGCATGTGTTAAGGTGTTATTTACGCAGATACACTGTAGAATGAAGTAACAGGAGTAATAAAAACTTCTTTTTTTCCTTTCTTTCTTTCTTTTTTTTTTTTTTAACAATCTCTTCTCTTCCATCCACTCTTTAAAAATGCATCCCTCTTGAGGGAGTATCTCATGAGATTGGAGCAAGAGCAGAATCAGCAGAAAGAATAGAGGAGGCAGTGGCTTATTTAACCAAGGAGAAAAATCCCATGGCAGCCAACCCACCTTATCTGTCTGTCTGCCTATTTTAGAATATTCAAGATTTGTCAACAACTTGCTGGGACAAAGCAATGTGCTATGAAGCACACTTCCCTGAATTGTACACCATTTTCTGTAAGGGGAAAGAGCTTCCTGTTCACTAGTTTCTTGGTTTAGGTAACAATTGTGTATTTGGCATGATTTCAAGGAGAAAGATGTTGTAAGCTCCAACTGATTAATGTTACACCTTAAGATAAAAGACACATAGAGAGGCCATACGGCATGTCAGCTAAGAGCACAGATTGTGGAGCTCGAATTTCTGGTTTCAAATCCAATTTCATTGTGACTTTCCACAAATTCCTTAATTCTTCTGGGTCTCAGTTTCCATATTTGTAAACATGAGAGTGAAAATAGTACCCACTTCACGGGGTTATTGTGAAGCCTTAGAATAGTCCTGCATTTCGTAAGCGCTCTGTAAGTTGTGTTATTTTTAAAATGTTAGGTAAGTGGGCCAAGCGAGGTGGCTCATGCCTGTAATTTCAACACTTTGGGAGGCGGAGGCGGGTGGATCACCTGAGGTCAGGCTTTTGAGACTAGCCTGACCAACATGGTGAAACCCCATCTCTACTAAAAATACAAAAACTAGCTGGCGTGGTGGCAGGCACCTGTAGTCCCAGCTACGTGGGAAGCTGAGGCAAGAGAATAGCTTGAACCTGGGAAGTGGAGGTTGCAGTGAGCCGAGATTGCACCACTGCACTCCAGCCTGGTCGACAGAGCGAGACTCCGTCTCAAAAAAATGAAAAATAAAAAATGTTAGGTAAGTTAATGATTCATATTTTCTTGAAAATATGGAAAGACGTATCATAAGAGAAGCATTTTTGCTTAATTCACCAAAAAGTTACTGGGGGCTATAAATTGAACACAGAGTCTTACAAGGCACAGGAAATTTTTTAGACGTTTATAAACATATCTTTTGATGCAGAGGAGTATGACAGGGTGATCAATAAAAGCTTTTCAAGCAAAAAATTATTACAGACCATATGACATCCCAGAAAAGACAAAACTATAAAGGCAGTCAAGAGTCAATGGTTGCCAGGGGTTACGAGGGTGGGGTGATGAATAGGTGGAGCACAGAGGATTCTTAGGGCGTGAAACTACTGTATATGATACTACAATGGTGGATGCCTGTCATTGTACATTTGTCAAAACCCATAGAATATACAAGAGTAAACCCTGACGTCAATGAGGTGGGGAGGTTGTGCTTGCGTAGGGGCAGGGAGTCTATGGGACCTCTGTACTTACCACTTAATTTTGCTGTGAACCCAAAACTGCTCTAAGAGATAAGGTTTATTAATTAGACATACTGTGATATATATATATAGCAGTAGAATATTTATGTTACTGATATTTAATATGATATATGGAGAGAGACCAGTAGAATAATATGGGGAAAGTAAAATGGAACTATAAGTTCGTAGAGCAGGAGGAACCATTTAAAAACCTAGACTATTGAGGAAGAGCTTGCTTATATGTTATTCAAAAGGATAATGGAAGCTAGGTGCAGTGGCTCATGTCTGTAATCCCAGCACTTTGGGAGGCTGAGGCGGGAGGATTGCTTGAGCCCAAGAGTTCAACACCAGCCTGAGCAATATAGTGAGACCCCCCACATCTCTTAAAGTAAAATAAAATTTAAAAAAAGGATAATGATGAGTATTGAGATGCTGCTAGTGTTTAGAGTCTACTGGAAACATTTTAAAGAGTAGTAAAAACTTTTATTATTTCAATGTCTACATTTACAATATGGTAGAAATTACATTCTTTGCAATAATTAAATGTATGATAAAAAATTTAGATTAAACATAGACAGAGGAGGGAAAACAGCTTTTCAAAATTGTTTTTGAACATATACACAACAGAAAATTTGAAGATGGGCACTCAAGCACATAGGACATTTCTACACAAATGGTGGCTCCAGATAGCTGAAGAAGCTTAAGCAGCCGTAGGAGAGATCTCCAAATCCAGGGACAGTGGCTGCCATCAGAGTGGTTCATTTGTGGGAAAATGGGTCACAGACATAGACCATATCAGGCTATATTTCACAGAAAATCTTCTTCTTTTTGTTACTTTCTGATAAACTATATGCTATATGGAAGGTACCATTGAGACTCCTTGTGATGAAAATAACTCTTACTTGAATTGGGGGTAAACTAAAATTAGAAGGGAAAGCAGACCCCTTGTCCAGCCAGGTTGAAGAAAATCTAAGCCGGTACAGGGTGAGGTTGAGAGAGATGGCAGCGAGAATCTGGAACACAGGCCTTTCCTAAATCAAACTTTCAGCACAGGTCATTCGAGGGTGAATTTCAAATCTATGCTATGTTTATAAATTGTGTACTCTACGTAATTGCCGGGTCCCTGGAATTCCCTACTCTGTGCGAAACTAATCTCTTACTCTCTAAAACAAACCCAAGTCCTAAGCCCACAACCCCTGTTTGCTCTTTCCTTCCTAGTCATCAGAACCCTCATGACTCAGACTCTCCAAGGAGGCATTTAAAAAAATGATCTCGGACCAGTCAGCTCCACTCGAGCAACCTGCTCTTAACTCATTAATTTTCCCGACATGTCCCTTATGATGACTCGTCCATCTGTTTTTCAAATTCCACATAGCTGGGCCTCTGTAGCTTTGTGGTTTTATATTCCGCATACTTTCTAACAGTGACAGCTCCAGAATTTCTATGTCAGATGAAGTTGGGAACAGGCAGTCTGGTTGGAGGAAGATATTCAGGGGCCAGACTCAAAGTCCTGTTTGGACATGACAACCTCCTTTTATAATGGCGAAGAGCACAGGCTCTGCAGCTGGACTGATAGTTTAATTCCTGACTCCATCACTTACTAACTTTGTGAGTTTGGCCAAATTACTTGACTTCTCCATGGTTTAGTTTCCTTATTTGTAAAATGAAGACAATGGTAGTACTGTGTCTCAGAGTCGTTGGATGCCAATGCAGGATCCCAGTGACCAGATGGAACGAGAGGGAGCTCAGGAGAGACCAGCTTGAAGGGCCGAAGTCTTGTTCCCACATTGCCAGTAGGAGGCATAAATTCCCCCTCAGAGGACGTGCAGGAAAGAAGTGGAGGGGAGAGCCCTTGAAATGGGGGGAAAACAGTCCTGAGAGGGGCATTAAATTTCATATGGCCAAGTATTTACCCAAAAGAGACCTGAAACATTGTTTTCTTTTTCTTTCTTTTTTTTTTTTTTTTGAGACGGAGTCTCACTCTGTCACCCGGGCTGGAGTGCAGTGGTGAGATCTTGGCTCACTACAACCTCTGCCTCCCAGGTTCAAGCAATTCTCCTGCCTCAGCCTCCCAAGTAGCTGGGATTACAGGCACCCACCACTACGCCCAGCTAATTTTTTTTTATTTTTATTTTTATTAGAGATGGGGTTTCACCATGTTGATCAGGCTGGTCTCAAACTCCTAACCCGCCCGCCTTGGCTTCCCAAAGTGTTGGGATTACAGGCGTGAGCCACCAAAATTTTTTTCTTTCTTATTGTTTTTAATTCTTCCCCCAAGCTTATTGAGGTAAAATAGACAAAAATTATATGTTTTCAGCGTGTACAATGTGTTGATTTGATGAGTATACATTGTGAAATAATTACCACTATCAAACTAATGAACACATCACCAACACATATTTAACATTTCTTTTCTGTGTGTGTTAGCAAATTTCAGATAGACAATACAATATTGTTAATTATAGTCTCCATGTGATTAAAGTTCCAGAACTCATTCTTCTTATAACTGAAAGTTTGTACCCTTGACTGTTGTTTTTAATCTTTAAATTGAGGCTTAAAATATATGCAGTAAAATGTGCAGAGTGGACACATAAGTGCTCAAGTCGTTGAATTTTATTTAATTCTTTAATGTATTTATTTTAAAGAAATAGAGACAGGGTCTTGCTATGTTGCCTAGACTGCTCTTGAACTCCTGGGCTCACACAATCCTCCCACCTCAGCCTCTCAAGGTGTTGGGATTACAGGCATGAGCCACCGCACCCGGCCAATTGTTGAATCTTAACACATGCATACACTCACCTACCCACTTTCCAGATCAAGATGTGCCGCATTCTCATCACCCCAGAAGCCTCCCCTGCCTCCTCCCCATCAGTGCCACCCTAGAGGTAGCCAGTATTTTGACTTTAATCATCATCAGTTGATTTTTCCATGTACTTGACTTTCATATAATTAGAACCATACAGTATGCCTTCCAAAAGAGACACTTTTAAAAGAAAATGAAATTTCATCACCAATATTTGGCAAGCTTATACCCGTATCCTCATTTCCAACCCCAGGCTTCCCTGCCATTGGTGGGAAAGAGAGTCTGGAAACTGAGTTGGGTGAGTTATAGCAAGCCAAACTACATTTTTCCTTGCATATCTGAATTACACGGGGTAAATTTCAATCAACTGCTAGTTGTGAGCCTAGAAATAGGGACGCAGGTGAGTCAGGGTCCCTGACCTATGCTTAAGAGCCATTGCCAAAGATTGACTCAGGGAAATGGGTAGTTCCGTGCCCCATCCTCTTCCCTACTCACTTCCGCTTGATACTAGAAGTGAGACTCACTCAGTGTCCACTTTCCCCACCCTTGGAGAGCTCACAGGGAGTGGAGTGTATCACTCACGTAGCCATGTGCTGCTCTGCAGCTGGGAAGGAGCACTCTGGAGAAAGCCGGGTGTGTGTCCTGATGCTCTTATCACCCTCCAAATCCCCAGCTTCCCCTAGATAGACTGCTATTGACCTTTACCATCCATTTGTTTCCTTTTCTTCTCTTCTTCCTTCTTTCTTCTACAAAGGCCTCCTGCTTTGAAAATGAGGCATACCCAGGGAAAACAGGTTTCAGGTCAGCTCTGGTTCAAAGGGTGGGTCCCTTCCACTCCGACAAGTTTGATCCCCTCATTCTGCCTCCCTCCCTGCCCCTCCTCATGTGTGCGCCCTCTGGTCTTGCCGACTCTGCTCTCTCCTCCGCCTTGATTCCTGTAGGGTACATCTCTCCAAACGGCCCTGCAGAAAGCACAGTGCGGAAATGCCCCTCCCTGGGGAGGGAGGACCCAAAGCTCTGGCCTCCCCTACTCAGTATCAGCTATAAATGCCACAGACACGTTTGCGAGGAAAAAAGAAGAAAAATAAGAAGCCAAACTGTGGAGCAATTTGGGGGCTCCCCCCAACCATGCCATCTGCCTACAAGGCTTACCCTGGCACTGGCTGGCCTTTGGGTCTTTTTGTGCAACTTTATTTTCTATCAAGGCCCAGGGGGTTTGCCCCTTGTCTCTCTGCCTCTTTGACCTATCCTTCCTTTGGAACCCAGGCATCTAAATGACAACTTCTATGTGCATCATTTAGAGATGAGAAGAGGAAATATCTCTCCTGCTTTCTGGTTCCTGTGGCTGCTTCTCTTTGGACTTCTGGGACCCAGTAAGTGACTTAGCAGTTAAGGAGGGAGAGGGGCATGGAGGCCACATAAGCCCTGAAGGAGATGGGGAATCCCCTGCCCAGGCATGACTCTTCTTCCAGAAACAATGATGATTCATTTTTTTTTTTTTTTTTGCCCATTTCTGCAAAAGCCAGTACTGATCCCAATTCCACTGACCATGATTCTGATGCTGTCTTAGAAGCAAATCTGTATTAGTCTCCCCCAGCTGTGGTTGTGAGCACATGTGGTGGGGCGGTGGGGCGGTGCTGGGGAAATGGAGGGGGGTGAGATTTTACTTTCCTTTGTATCTTGGATAAAAGTTTTTTTTTTAACCGGAAAACTCTAGTTCCAATAGCATTCTTAATTCCAAATTAAAACCAGGATCTCAGTCTAAAGTCAAGTAAAAATCCTTCAATCCTTCTTTGTTTTTTTTCCATAGGTTATTTGGGTACAGGTGATATTTGGTTATGTAAGTGCTTTATTGGTGAATTGTGAGACTTTGGTGCACCCGTCACCAAGCAGTGTACACTGCACCCACCCTATCTGTAGTCTTTTATCTCTCGTGCCTCCCCCGTCCTTCCTCCCTAGTGCCCAAAGTCCATTGTATCATTCTCATGCGTTTGAGTCCTCACAGCTTAGCTCCCACCTCTCAGTGAGAACATACGATGTTTGGTTTTCCATTCCTGAGTAACTTCACTTAGAATAATAGTCTACAGTCTCATCCAGGTCACTGCAAATGCCATTAATTCATTCCTTTTTATGGCTGAGTAGTATTCCATCGTATATATATGCCAGTTTCTTTATCCACCGTTGATTGATGGGCATTTGGGTTCCATGACTTTGCAATTGTGAATTGTGCTGCTATAAACATGTGTGTGCAAGTGTCTTTTTTGTATAATGACTTCTTTTCCTCTGGGTAGATACCCAGTAGTGGGATTACTGGATCAAATGGTAGATCTACTTTTAGTTCTTTAAGAAATCTCCACACTGTTTTCCATAGTGACTGTACTAGTTTACATTCCCACTAGCAGTGTAGAAGTGTTCCCTGATCACTGCATCTACGCCAACATCTACTGTTTTTTGATTTTTTGCTTCAACCCTTCTTCGGATGCTGCCTGATTCCAAATCCATGTATAATCCCCTGAGAACTTCCCTGGTAGAAACAAACCGGAGTTCGGCCACTGAGGGGTTGGCTCTGACATTGGATCAGCAATGGCTGTGAAAGGAAACAGCCCAGGGGAGAAGTGAATTGGGCTCCGTGTGACTCCAGTGGGCTGTCTGAGATAGTACTGTTCACTCCAGTCTTTGATTTCTTACATCAACATATCTTCCCTAATTATGAGACACCAGGTTAACTGGCTCATCCATTCCATTGCCTTTACTGTAGGATGGCTCGTCAAGAAGTGGGAGGTGCGGTTGAAAGAGAAGGTATAGGTTGGATGATGTGGAGGATTTGGAGTGCTTCCCCCTTCTTCCTCAGTATGCATCTGTTTCCTGCACCCCACTCTGGATTCGCTCCCTCGCCCGCTTCAGCACTTCCCTCGGCGTTCTTTTTCTTCTCTTTCCCCTTGCCTTCACCCTGAATGCTTCAACTGTTCTCTACCTACCCATGCCTTCCAGATCTGCCCGTCGCCTGTCCTAATCCTGAACTCCAGTCCTATCTGTCTGATTTTAAACAAGAGTCCCCTTACCTCAGAAGAAACTGTCATTCATGTAGTCATTCAACAAACATTTATAGAGCTCCTCCTCTGGGCCAGGCACTGCTGCGTGCTAGGCCATGGGTGAGGAATGGAGTGGGAAATGCCATGGTCTTGACCCCCATGGAACACTTGGTCTACTGTAAAACATAGACTTAAATAATATTTCCTAACAAAAGGGAGCAAGTGTGCAAGGGCTGAAAGGCCCCTCCTCTTTTCCTACCACTAGATCTATAAAGTAACCAACAGTGTCTCCTGTAGCCCCATTACAGTGGATTAGCAAGGACCAACTCCTCCATCTGAATGCTGGGCGCCTTCTCACCCTCCTGCCATCTCAGGGGCTTTGCTCAGTGCATTTCTCCTTCCCCTCCCATCTCACTTTACCTTTCTTGGGTCCTTTCCATCAGCATCCAAACAAGCTCAGTTCTGTATGCACAAGTATCATCCAAGGAGACGATTAAAAACTTGGGTTTCCAGGCCCTGACACCCCACCAAGCAAGATCTTGATTCAGTAAGCTTGGTGGGATGGCGTGGGTTCTTCAGACAGTGTGATCCCAGAGGTCCCTGGACCAAACACTGAATGATGTCCATCCTAACATCCCCGCATCACTCCTCAGCCACCACCTCTCCCTCCACTCTCCTCCTCACCCCCATTCTTTTTTTTTTTTTTGGAGATGGAGTGTGGCTCTGTCGCCCAGGCTAGAGTGCAGTGCTGCAATCTCGGCTCACTGCAACCTCTGCCTCCCAGGTTCAAGCGATTCTCCTGCCTCAGCCTCCTGAGTAGCTGGGACTACAGGCGCACACCGCCACGCCCAGCTAATTTTTTGTATTTTAGTAGAGACAGGGTTTCATTGTGTTGCCCAGGCTGGACTCGAAGTCCTGAGCTCAGACAATCTACCCACCTTGGCCTCCCAAAGTGCTGGGATTACGGGTGTGAGCCACCGGGCCCGGCCCCTCACCCCCATTCTTGAAGGACTTCCCCACACTTGCTATGTCACTTCTCACCTCCCACTCACTTGTTTATTTTATTTTATTGTATTAGGTAATGGATGTAAGTAGTTCTGAAAAAGAAATACTTGTAGTCCTACAAGGCTTCTCATAAAACTTCAGCCCCTGATTCCCTTGCCCCAATTGCTTCTTATTCTGAGTCCTGCTTCCCAGGGTTCCTGTTGGCATTTACGTTCATACTGCATTTATCTATTTATTTAGAGACAAGATCTCACTCTGTCACCCAGGCAGGAATGCAGAGACACCATCATAGCTCACTGCAGCCTGGTACTCCCGGGCTCAAGGGATCCTCTCACCTCAGCTTTCCAAAGCACTGGGATTACAGGCGTGAGCCATTGCACCCGGCCATAAATTCTCTTACTACCATTACTTCTTTGTTGGTTGAGGTTTTTTGGTTTTTTTTTCCTGCTTTGGGCATGATTTATTGTCTTCCTTCTAATGAAAAGAAAGATTTAGTTTAGACCACTCCCCCTACACACTTACTGTCTCACATTCCCGCTCACAATTCTCCCCAAATGACTGTATCAAATTTTTGGTGTTAAACTAGCATTTAGTATTTACATTATGATAACTATAAATTTTACCTCTAGTAACATTTATAACTGGGTCATATAATTGCATTGTGATGACATTATAATAAGTATAAATGACCTCTAGTAACATTTATAACTGGGTCATATAATTGCATTGTGATGACCATCCGTTCTTGTAATTTTTGTTTTTCTAGATATTAATAATAGCCTCATTTTTAAAATGTCCATAGTTTTCTTCATATATGTAATTAATTCATCCCAAAACCTCCACCAGAAGTATCCCTGTCTTTTCGATACACATGAGGCAATCTATCAGTTTCACTTTTTTCCCTTGAGCAATCCCATTTGGAAGCCTCTGTCCAACCAGAGCAATCCCATTTAGAAGCCTCTGTCCAACCAGTACTGGTTGCTTGCTAGGTCTCTTGTCCTGCAATCTGTATTCAGCAACATTCTGGAAATTCCCTTTTTTCCCTTGTAAATTCTTATCTTTTTTCTGGCTTTATTTTTCCATCTTGGAGCATCACTTTCTCTAGAAGCTTCCTGAGAGAGAGAGTTTATGGTGGGAAATTATTTTAAAACCTTATGCACTGTTAGGGTAATGCTAAGCTGCTGTAACAAGGAGATCCCGAAAGTGGCTTTGAAAAACAAGTTTATTTTTCTCCCTTGTACCAGTCCTAAGGTAAGTATTATAGGATGGTGGGAGCTCTGCTCCATGCAGTCATTCAGGGATCCTGGGTGAATATGGTTCTTCCGTCTTCAACATATGGTTTCCAGTGTCATCATCATTTCAGCCCAAGGAGAGGGAAGAAAAACAGTATTTTGTATTATTTTATGATACAGTCAGTCAAAGTGCAGCCACAAGAGGAGAGGCTTACAGGCCCTAGAGACAGGAGGCATGGCACTGCCATGTGGGACCACCTGAGAAAGACACCAAGGTAGTCAGGAGGCAGAAGACAGGAGTGAAGGAAAGATTTATGTCTTTCCTTTTATTGGGTTTCTGTGGGAAAGGCAAGGAAAGGCAGGGTGAACAGTTTAGGATTGGCTGGTTTGAATAATTCCTGTGTTCTTTGAGCTATATGGCTGATTACCACCTAGTTGCCTAGTACTTGACTTTGGAATGACTAAGGCAGATAAATATTGTTTCCTGGAGTATATGGGCCAGATAGAGGAGCTATGGCTCTGGAATGGTTAGTCTGCATATCAGCTCATGCTCCTGGCTGGTCCCTTTGCTACTTTTAAGAATTGGCTAGCCCTGGAAGGTCCTGTCTCTCCCTAGCTAGAAAAGTTTGTTAAGATGTCAAAACATGATAATATACAGAAATTAAAAATATATATACAAGCAGAAATCAAGGAATAGGTATTTACTCTTAAAGAAATGAAGTGGAAATTAATATGTATTCCTTCCCTTCAGGGGCCTCTGACTAGGGCTTAGACATGTAGCCCTACCTAGCTACAAGAGAGGTTGACAAATGTAACTTAGCCATGTGCCCAGGAAGAAGAGAAAGATGGGCCCAGCTGTCCATAGACCTTATACGTCTGAAAATGTCTTATTCCACCCTCACATTTGACTCATAGTTTAGCTGGTTATAGAATTCTAGGATGGATATGATTTTTCTCAGGATTTTGAAGGCGTTGATCCACTATTCCTAGATTCTAGATTGTGAAGTCTGATATTTAGATTACTGACCTCTTGTAAAAGACCCATTCTTTTTCTTCTGGAGGATTTCAGATTTTTAAAACTACTGTTCTAAAATCTCATGATATGGTGTCATAGTATGGATTCTTTCATTGTGTTAGGAATTTGCACAGTAGAAAGTTGTATCAGTCAGTTCTGGGAAATTTTATTGCATTTTTTTCTTTGATAATTGCCTCTCGTCCATTTTCTCTGTTCTGTCTTTCTGAAAAAATCTTATAATTTGGATGTTTGACCTCCTGGGCTGACACTCTAATTTTCTTATATTTCTTCTTCTGTCTTCCAACTCTGTCGTTTTATTTTTCTTCTGGGGAGATTTCCTCAGCTTCTAAAGTCTTCAAATCCTTCTAGTGAATTTTGAGGTTTTTTTTTTTCAAAGAGATCTTTTTTTTCTCTACAACCATTTTTAAGATGGCATCTCTTACTTTTTTTTTTTTTCGTGGGTGCTATACTTTCTCTTATATTGCTGAGGACATTTGAAGTTGGTTTTGCTGTTTGCATTGTCTCAGTTCTCTCTGGCTTTGCTTCATAGGGATATTTGTTTTGGTCTCTATATTTCAAGCTAGAGATTTTTCTCAAATATCTGGTAATCCCAGAATGTCCTTTGCATTTGAGTGAGGCACTAATATGATGCCTGGAAGCTTTGTGAGCAGGGGTAGGGCCTGTCAACTGGTGGACTTAGCTTTAGGGTAATTTAGCAGAGACGTGGCAGTTTAGATTGGGAAGATCCTCAAAATGTCAGTATCTAGTGTTGGCTAATTTCTTTCCACAAGAATTCTCCAGATCCTGTCTAGAGCATACTAGCATAGCTGCTGAAGTGCTGGAAGCTGAGCAAGGGAATAGGTAATGTGGGTTTTACATTTCAGGGTGTAAGCATTTCCTTAATTGCATAGTTTCAGTAAAACCTTTTGAGAGGTGACAGGGTGCTGGCAGCTCTCGCTCAGTCTCGGAGCCTCCTCGGCCTCGCCACCCATTCTGGCTGCGCTTGAGGGGCCCTTCAGCCCCCCGCTGCACTGTGGGAGACCCTCTCTGGGCTGGCCGAGGCCGGAGCCAGCTCCCTCAGCTTTCAGGGAGATGTGGAGGGAGAGGCACGGGCGGGAACCCGGGCTGCCTGCGCCACTTGCGGGCCAGCACTAGTTCCAGGTGGGCGTGGCCTCGGGGGGCCCCACACTCTGAGCCTCGGGCTGGCGTGGCCAGCACAGCCGGCCCCAGGCAGTGAGGAACTTAGCACCCGGGCCAGCAGCTGCGGAGGGTGCGCCAGGTTCCCCAGCAGTGCCGGCGGGTGCTGCGCTCCAATTCCAGCCGGACCTCAGCTGCCTCCCTGAGGGGCACGGCTCGGGACCTGCAGCCCGCCATGCCTGAGCCTCCCCCACGCCGCCATGGGCTCCTGTGCAGCCAGAACCTCCCAGACGAGCGCTGCCCCTTGCTTTGCGGCACCCGGTCCCATAGACTGCCCAAGGGCTGAGGAGTGCTGGCGCACGGCGTGGGACTGACGGGCAGCTCCATCTGCGGCCCAGGTGCAGGATCCACTAGGTGAGGCCAGCTGGGCTCCTGAGTGTAGTGGGGACTTGGAGAACCTTTATGTCTAGCTGAGGGATTGTAAATACACCAATCAGCACTCTGTGTCTAGCTCAAGGTTTGCAGATGCACCAATCAGCACCCTGTGTCTAGCTAATCTGGTGGGGACTCGGAGAATCTTTATGTCTAGCTAAGGGATTGTAAATACACCAATCAGCACTCTGTGTCTAGCTCAAGGTTTGTAAACACACCAGTCAGCACCCTGTGTCTAGCTAATCTGGTGGGGACTTGGAGAATCTTTATGTCTAGCTAAGGGATTGTAAATACACCAATCAGCACCCTGTGTCTCGCTCAAAGTTTGTAAACATACCAATCAGCACCCTGTGTATAGCTCAAGGTTTGTAAATGCACCAATCAGTGCTCTGTGGGGACTTGGAGAACTTTTGTGTCTAGCTCAGGGATTGTAAACACACCAGTCAGCACCTTGTCAAAACAGACTAATCAGCTCTCTGTAAAACAGACCAATCGGCGCTCTGTAAAATGGACCAATCAGTAGGATGTGGGTGCCACCAGATAAGGGAATAAAAGCAGGCTGCCCTGAGCCAGCAGTGGCAATCCGCTTGGGTACCCTTCCATAGTGTGGAAACTTTGTTCTTTCACTCTTTGTGATAAATATTGCTGCTGCTCACTCTTTGAGTCCACACTGCGTTTATGAGTTGTAACAGTCACTGCGAAAATCTGCAGTTTCACTCCTGAGGCCAGTGAGATCACGAACCCACCAGAAGAAACGCTGAACACATCTGAACATCAGAAGGAACAAACTCAGGACACACCACTTGTAAGAACTGTGACACTCAAGGCGAGAGTCCACGGCTTCATTGTTGAAGTCAGACCAAGAACCCACCAATTCTGGATACACTTTCACTCCTGCCTTCAGCAGTGCCTGGGATTACTGGTCTAGAGTTTCTTTGAGATAAAACCCTAAGCTGTTAAAAGGGAGAGAGGTGTATTCATCCAAGTCCTTGAGTGGAAGGAGTGATCTGGAGCTGAGAGACAGTTCCCAGCTACATTGTATTTCAACTATCCTTCCTGTATTTAGTCACATGCCACACCCAAATCTTTAGAGGAACCCAGTTGCAATTCCCGAATCTTTCCAGGATTCCACAGAATTAATAATCTACCAGTAGTTGACTTACTCTCACCCCCAATGGAGGCCTGTATGTTGAAGCTTTCTCTGTTGTGTTGGGGAGTTACCACTCATCTGCCTATTACCTTCAAAAAAACAAAAATTAAATATTTCCTCTGCTGTTATCTCTCCATCGTTTGTCCTTGTGGAGGTATGTGTTTTGTTATTTCTCTACTTTTTATTCTTCTATGAAATCCATAAGCCTCCATATATACTTATTCTTTTATTCATTCCAATTGGGGTCTACCCCATCATGCAAATCTGTTTTCAATAAACTAAACTCACTTCCATACTGTCTCTGAATCTAATGGACATGGCCCAGGCCATACCTTACTTGATCTCTCTGCAAAAATCAATTCAGCTAACTGCCATATTTTTCTAGAGCCTCTCTATTCTCTTGACTTCCTTGATTCACTTTTTAGAGTTTTCTTTCTGCCTTAGTGGATGCTCCTTCTCAGTCTCATTCATTTGCGTCTCCTCCTCTATCTGAGTGATGCAGTGGCCAGGGCTTGGTCCAGCGCCCTATTCTCCAACTATACTCTCCCAGACAAGTGATCTCAGTCAGCTTCATGGCTTTAAATACAATGTATATTTAAATGACTTCCAGTTTCACGTCTTTTGATCTGATTTCTCCTCTGAGAACTAAGTGCAGGTTTCCAACTGCCAACAGTCTCCTGGATATCTAATGGGCACAAAAAGTTCAAAGTCTAATATTTCCAACTTCCACTTCATCCCTATTCATTCAGATAAATAGAACTAATTTCCACTCTGCGTAAGCCCCAAAGCTAGAAGTTGTTCTTGACTTCTTTTCGTGTCATCCACCACATGCAGCCTTTCAACACTTCCTATTGGTTCTACTTTTCTAATTTCAAAACATAGCTTGTATTCATCCACTGAAATGTATCTCCCCTGCTACCATCCTAGTTCAAGCAATAATTACTGCTCTTAATTTTTTCACTCTTGCCCTCCTACATGCCAGTTTTCACACAGCATCTTTTAAAAACATAAATCAGTTTTGTTTTCTACTTTCTCTTCCCTTCCTGAATGATTAAGCCCCAGATCATTAGGTGAGGCAGAGCAAAGCAGATATCAGGGTTGGACAGGAGGGGAGACAGCAGTGGCCCAGAGGAGGATATAAGAAACTGAACTGGGCCGGGTGCGGTGGCTCACACCTGTAATCCTAGCACTTTGGGAGGCTGAGGTGGGCAGATCACCTGAGGTCAGGAGTTCGAGGGCAGCCTGGCCAACATGGCAAAACTCTGTTTCTACTAGAAATACAAAAATTAGCTGGGTGTGGTAGCACATGTCTGTATTTCCAGCTACTCAGGAGGCTGAGGCAGGAGAATCCCTTGAACCCGGGAGGTGGAAGTTGCAATGAGCCGAGATAGCACCACTGCACTCCAGCCTGGGTGACAGAGCAAGAAACTAAATTGGATGAAGTGGACTTCTCCACAGAGTGGCAGCCTGGCATGTTTTGTCAGAATCTTGTGAGGGTGAGAGGGAGTATGGGGTGGAGGGAGTATGGGCTGAAAATGAATGAATAGAATACCAGTGATTTTGTGAGACAATGTTTTGTCTACAATATGTGTTATTGAAGTTCCAGAAAAAAAGGGAACCGAAAACATGTTTAAAGAAATAGTAGCTGAAAAAATTAAATTTGATGAAAACTATAAACTCACAGATCCCAAGAACTCAACAAATATCAAGCAAAATAAACTTTAAAAAATCATACCAAAGTACAACGTAATCAAATAACTAAAAATCAGTGATAAAAGGGAAATCCTAGAACGAGCTAGAAAAGACACATTGTATAGAGAGGAGCAAAGACAAGCATCTAACAGACTTCCTGTGAAAAACCATGACAACCAGAAGATAAAGAAGCAACATCATTAAAATACTGAAAGAAAAAAATACTTTATCAACCTAGAATTACACGGAGTAAGAATATTTTCAATATGAAGATGAAATGAAGGCTTTTCTAGACAAGCAAAAACTGGAAGACCTTGCCTCCTGGAAATTGACTTTTTTTTTTTTTTTTTTTTTGATACGGAGTTTCGCTCTTGTTGCCCCAGGCTGGAGTGTAATGGCACGATCTTGGCTCACTGCAACCTCTGCCTCCCGGTGAGAGGTGACAGCGTGCTGGCAGTCCTCAGAGCCCTCGCTTGCTCTCGGCACCTCCTCTGCCTGGCCTCCCACTTTGGCGGCACTTGAGGAGCCCTTCAGCCCACCGCTGCACTGTGGGAGTCCCTTTCTGGGCTGGCCGAGGCCAGAGCCGGCTCCCTCAGCTTGCAGGGAGGTGTGGAGGGAGAGGCGCCAGCGGGAACCGGTACTGTGCGCGGCGCTTGCGGGCCAGCTGCAGTTCCGGGTAGGCGTGGGCTTGGCGGCCCCCGCACTCGGAGCAGCCAGCGGGCCCTGCAGGCCCCGGGCAGTGAGGGGCTTAGCACCTGGGCCAGTGGCTGCGGAGGGTGTACTAGGTCCCCCAGCAGTGCCGGCCCACTGGCGCTGCACTGGATTTCTCACTGGGCCTTAGCTGCCTTCCCATGGGGCAGGGCTGGGGACCTGCAGCCCGCCATGCCTGAGCCTCCCACCCCCTCCATGGGCACTCCCCGATGAGCGCCGCCCCCTGCTCCAGGGCGCCCAGTCCCACCGACCGCCCACGGGCTGAGGACTGTGAGCGCATGGTGTAGGACTGGCAGACAGCTCCACCTGCGGCCCCGGGGCGGGATCCACTGGGTGAAGCCAGCTGGGCTCCTGAGTCTGGTGGGGACGTGGAGAGTCTTTATGTCTAGCTTAGGGATTGTAAATACACCAATCAGCACCCTGTGTCTAGCTCAGGATTTGTGAGTACACCAATGGACACTCTGTATCTAGCTGCTCTGGTGGGGCCTTGGAGAACCTTTATGTCTAGCTCAGGGATTGTAAATACACCAATCGGCACTCTGTATCTAGCTCAAGGTTTGTAAACACACCAATCAGCACCCTGTGTCTAGCTCAGGGTTTGTGAGTGCACCAATCAACACTCTGTATCTAGCTGCTCTCGTGGGGCCTTGGAGAACCTTTATGTCTAGCTCAGGGATTGTAAATACACCAATCGGCACTCTGTATCTAGCTCAAGGTTTGTAAACACACCAATCAGCACCCTGTGTTTAGCTCAAGGTTTGTGAGTGCACCAGTTGACACTCTGTATCTAGCTGCTCTGGAGGGGCCTTGGAGGACCTCTGTGTCCATATTCTGTATCTAACTAATCTGATGGGGACGTGGAGAACCTTTGTATGTAGCTCAGGGATTGTAAACGCACCAATCAGCACCCTGTCAAAACAGACCACTCGGCTCTACCAATCAGCAGGATGTGGGTGGGGCCAGATAAGAGAATAAAAGCAGGCTGCCCGAGCCAGCAGTGGCAACCTGCTTGGGTCCTTTTCCACACTGTGGAAACTTTGTTCTTTTGCTCTTTGCAATAGATTTTGCTACTGCTCACTTTTTGGGTCTACACTGTTTTTATGATCTGTAACACTCACTGTAAAGGTCTGCAGCTTCACTCCTGAAGCCAGCGAGCCCACAAGCCCACTGAGAGGAAGGAACAATTCCACACGCACGGCCTTAAGAGTTGTTAACACTCACTGTGAAGGTCTGCAGCTTCACTCATGAGCCAGCGAGAGCACAAACCCACCAGAAGGAAGAAACTCCGAACACATCCAAACATCAGAAGGAGCAAACTCCAGACATGCCACCTTAAGAGCTGTAACACTCACTGTGAGGGTCTGTGGCTTCATTCTTGAAGTCAGTGAGACCAAGAACCCACCAATTCCAGACACACTGGGTTCAAGCGATTCTCCTGCCTCAGCCTCTCGAGTAGCTGGGATTACAGGCATGTAATTAGCCACACCATGCCTGGCTAATTTTGTATTTTTAGTACAGATGGGGGTTCTCAATTTTGGTTAGGCTGGTATCGAACTCCTGGTGATCTGCCTGCCTCTGCTTCCCAAAATGCTGGGATTACAGGTGTGAATCGACGGGCAAGACTGACATTTTTTTTTAAATGTAAAAGTTCTTCAGGAAGAAAAAATTTAGATCTATGCAAAAAAGAATGAAGTGTGCTGGAAATGATAAATATATGGGTAAAAATAAAATTTTTTTCATTTAAATTTTAAAAGATAATATACTTGAGTAATAATGAATTATGAGGCTTGTATGTAGACATAAAATGTATGACAACAGTGGTACAAGGGATAGAAAAAGGAAATGGAAGTGTACTGTGTTGAGACTCTCATGCCTTTACATGAAGAGGAATGAGCTCACTGGGAGGTAGACAGTGATAAAGGTGTATATCGTAAATCCTAGAGCAAAGGCACACAAATAAGTGATATTTAATAAGCTAATGGTGGAAATAAAATGGGGTCAAAAATGACTCAGGTCATGGTGCAGCGGTTTATGCCTGTAATCCCAGCCCTTTGGGAGGCTGAGGCAGGTGGATCACTTGAGGCCAGGAGTTAGAGACCAGCCTGGGCAACGTGGTGAAACCCTGTCTCTACTAAAAATACAAAAATTAGCTGGGCGTGGTGGCGCATGCCTGTGGTTCCAGCTACTCAGGAGGCCGAGGCAGGAGAATCACTTGAACCTGGGAAGTGGAATTGGCAGTGAGCTGAGATCCCATCACTGCACTCCAGCCTGAGTGACAGATCAAGACGCTCAAAAAACAAAACAAAACAAAAAACAAAATACTGGGTTAATTAAAAAAAAAAAAAGTAGGCGAAAAATGGAGGAAAAGGTAAGAAGATCAGATGAGAAAAATAGAAAACAAATATGAAGACTATTAAATTCAGGGCCAGCTACAGTGGTTCACACTTGTAATTCCAGCACTTTTTGGGGCTGAGGCAGGAAGATTACTTGAGCCCAGGAGTTCGAGACAAGCCCAGGCAACATAGGGAGACCCCATCTTTACAAGAAATAAAAATTAAAAAGTAATTAGCCAGGCATCATGACTCGTGCCTGTGATCCTAGATAGTTCGGAGGCTGAGGCAGGAGGATTTCTTGAGCTTAGAAAGTCAAGGCTGCAGTCAGCCGTGATTGTGCCACTGCATTATAGCCTGAGAGACAGAGCAAGACTCTGTCTCTAAAAAAGAATCAGACCCAACGTATTTATAATTACATTAAATGTATATGGTCCAGACACCACAATTAAAAGGCAGAGATTGACACATTGGTTAAAAAAGAAAGCCCCAAATAAATAATATTCAACCAAGAAATACATTTTAACTAACTATAACTACAAATAGGGTAAACAATAGGATAAAAATAAGAGGAAGAAAGATACGGCCATACTGTATGTTAGCCATGCTAACATCAATTTAAAAAAAAATTGAGTGACTATTTCAAAATCAGACAAAATAGGCTTAAGAAGAGGTATATTATTAGGGATAAAGAGAGACATTTCATAATTATAATCACAACACAATATTTACTAACTACAAAGGGAGAAAAACCAGCCTGGATACACCTTCTTAATCAAGTAATCCAAGAGAACATCATCAATGATGGGACACATTGATATTATCTGTCACCTGATAGTATGCAAAGAGAAGAATACAGCATCACTTCAGTGGTTTTCCTGGCAAAGATTAATAACATGAGCCTAATCATGATGAAACATTACAAAAACTCAGTTTAAGGAAAATTCTATAAAATAATTGACCTGTAATCTTCAAAGGTTAAAAGTTATGAGATCAAAGGAAGACTGAAGAACTGCACCAGACTGAAGAAGACTAAAGAGACAGAACAACGAAAAACAACACACGATTCTGAATTGAACTGGTTTACTATTAAAGACATTATTAGAACAACTAACAAAACTTGAAAGGGATCTAAGGATCAGGTGGCAGCAATATATTCATGTGAATTTCTTGATCTTGATGGCTGTATTATGGTTGCGTATGAGAATATATAAAGTATTGAAGGATAATGAGACATCAGGTTACCAAGTAACTCCCAAATGATTCAGGGAAAAGGGTTCTTTGTGTTATACTTGTTACAAAAGAATTTGTGATTTTTTTTTCAAAATAAAAACAAAGAGAAATTAACCAGAGTATGTTATTCCAGTGGGTCTTCATTGTATTTGAGATGAAATTTAACCTTTCTACCATGGTATTTTGCTAAACTCTGAGTATACCCCTGTCAGCAAAAGAAATGTGGGCTTATGTTCTTGTAAAGAAGAGTTTAGAATATAAAGAATGTAAATACACCTTTGGGTTATGTGTTGTTAAAAAGGCAGGGGTCCTGCTTCAGAGATTATGGTTAGAAAAGGTCTCTCTACCGCCTCGTTTTCTCCTTCAGTAACTACATTCCAGCCACCCTGGTCTCCTATATATTCATGAATCACATCGAGCTCATTAACAACTCAGGGTATTTGTACTTATGCTATCAATCTGTGATGTCCTTCTCCTGGCCTTTCAAATTGCTGCCTTCTTTTTTTTTTTTTTTTTAAGATGGAGTTTTGCCCTTGTTGGCCAGGCTGGAGTGCAGTGGTGCAATCTTGGCTCACCGCAACCTCCGCCTTCCGGTTCAAGTGATTCTCCTGCCTCAGCCTCCTGAATAGCTGGGATTATAGGCATGCGCCACCATGCCTGGCTATATTTTGTATTTTTAGTAGAGATGGGGTTTCTCCATATTGGTCAGGCTGGTCTTGAACTCCCGGCCTCAGGTGATCTGCCTGCCTTGGCCTCCCAAAGTGCTGGGATTACAGGCTTGAGCCACTGCGCCCAGCCCAAATGGCTGCCTTCTTATCCTTCAGATCTCAGTTCATATGTCAGTTCCTCAGAGAGACCTTTTCTGACTCCAGTATCTAAAGCAGCACCACTGCTTTCTTTAACAGCACTTAAGCCAATGTGTATTTATATTTTATATTGTAGCTCTCTTCTTTACTAAATTATAAGCCCATATCCCTTTTGCTGACAGGAGTATGCCCAGAATTTAGTAAAATACCAGGTACATGTTAAGCCCTCAATAACTGAATAAATAAATGAATAAGCAGTACTGAGTATATGTGAAAGTAACACTATACTAAACCAGCAAATTCATCTTTAACCCATTCCCACCACCTTATTTGTTCTCCACCTCAGGCTCTGAGAATACCACAGCCTTCACAAAAGGCTCCGACACCACCACAGCCTCCATCACAGGCTCTGAGACCACCATGGCCTCCACCATGGCCTCTACTACGGCCTTAACTACAGGCTCTAAGATCACCACAGACTCTACCACAGGCTCTGAGACAACCTCAGCCTCCACCATGGCTTCTACTGCAGCCTTCACCACAGGCTCTGAGACCAACACGGCCTCCACCACAGACTCAGGGACTACTATAGCCTCCACTGGGACCTTCACCACAGGCTCTGACACAACCACAGGCTCCACTGCAGGCTCTGAAACTATCGTGGCCTCCACCACAGTCTCTGGGACCACAACAACCTTTACTATAGCCTCCACTACAGTCCCTGAGACTACCATGGCCTCCAGCACAACCTCCACTGCAGGCTCTGAGAAAACGATGGCCTCCTCCATAATTTCTGAGACCACCATGGCCTCCACCACAGGCTCTGAGACTGCCACAGTCTCTACCACAGGCTCTGAGACCACCACCACCTCCACTGCAAGCTCTGAGGCCACTAAAGTCTCTACCACAGGCTCTGAAACCACCACAGCATCTACTGCAGGTTCTGAGACCACCACTACCTCCACCTCCATGGCAGGCTCTGAGGCCACCACAACCTCAACTGCAGACTCCAAGGTGATCACGGCGTCCAGCATGAGCTCTGAGACCACTGTGGCCCCCGCTGCAGGCTCTAACACCACCACAGCCTCTACCACAGGCTCTGAGACCACTACAATCCTGATTAAAGCCTCTGAGACCACCACAGCCTCTACAGCAGGTTCTGAGACCACCACCCCCTCCCCCACAGGCTCTCAGACCACCATAGTCTCTATTTCAGGTTCTGAGATCACCACCACCTCTACGGCAGGATCCGAGAACACCACAGTCTCTAGTGCAGGCTCTGGGACCACCACAGCTTCTATGGCAGGCTCTGAGACCACCGTCTCCACTGCAGGCTCTGAGACCACTACAGTCTCTATCACAGGCACTGAGACCACCATGGTCTCTGCCATGGGCTCAGAGACCACCACAAACTCTACTACAAGCTCTGAGACCACCGTCACCTCTACTGCAGGCTCTGAGACCACCACAGTCTCCACCGTGGGCTCTGAGACCACCACAGCCTATACTGCAGATTCTGAGACCACTGCAGCCTCTACCACAGGCTCTGAGATGACCACAGTCTTCACTGCAGGCTCGGAAACCATCACACCCTCTACTGCAGGCTCAGAGACCACCACAGTCTCTACTGCAGGCTCTGAGACCACTACAGTCTCCACCACAGGCTCTGAGACCACAACAGCCTCTACTGCACATTCTGAGACGACTGCAGCCTCCACCATGGGCTCTGAGACCACCAAAGTCTCAACTGCAGGCTCTGAGACCACAGTCTCCACTGCAGGCTCTGAGACCACTGCAGCCTCTACTGAAGATTCTGAAACCAACACAGCATTTACTGAAGATTCTAAGACTACCACAGCCTCTACTACAGGGTTTGAGACAACCGCAGCCTCTACTACAGGCTCTGAGCCTACCATGGCATCCACCATGGGCTCTGAGACCACTATGGCCTCTACCATAGGCCCTGAGACCACCAAGGTCTCCACTGCAAGCTCTGAGGTGACCACAGTCTTTGCTGCAGGCTCTGAGACAATCAGAGCCTCTACCGTAGGCTCTGAGACCACCACAGTCTCTACCACAGGCTCTGAGACCACCACAGCCTCCATCATGGGCTCTGAGACCAGCACAGATTCTACCACAGGCTCTGAGACCACCACAGCCTCTACTGAAGGCTCTGAGACCACCACAGCTTCCACTGAAGGCTCTGAGGCCACTACAGTCTCCACCACAGGCTCTGAGACCACTACAGTTTCTATCACAGACTCAGAGACCACCACCACCTGTACTGAAGGCTCTGAGATGACTGCAGTCTCCACCACAGTCTTTGAGACCACTACAGCCTCTACTGAAGGCTCTGAGATCACAATAGCCTCTACTTCAGACTCTGAGACCACCACAGCTTCTACTGAAGGTTCTGAGACCACTACAGTCACTACCGCAGGCTCTGAGACCAAAACAGCCTATACTACAGGCTCTGAGACCACCACAGCCTCTAATACAGGCTTGGAGACCACCACAGTCTTTACCATAGGCTCTGACACCACCACAGCCTCTACTGAAGGCTCTGAGACCACTGCAGTCTCTGCCACAGGCTCTGAGATGACCACAGTCTCTACTGAAGGCTCTGAGAACACTACAGTCTCCACCACAGGCTCTGAGACCACTACAGTTTCCACCACAGGCTTGGAGACCACCACCACTTCCACTGAAGGCTCTGAGATGACTACAGTCTCCACCACAGGTGCTGAGACCACCACAGACTCTACTGAAGGCTCTGGGACCACTGCAGCCTCCACTGCAGGCTCTGAGACCACCACAGTCTCTACTGCAGATTCTGAGAACACCACAGCATCTACTGCAGATTCTGAGACCACCTCAGCCTCTACTACAGGCTCTGAGACCACCACAGCCTCTACTACAAGCTCTGAGACCACCACAGCCTCTACTGAAGGCTCTGAGACCACTACAGTCTCCACCACAGACTCTGAGACCACCATGGTCTCTACCACAGGCTCTGAGAGGACCATCACCTCTACTGAAGGCTCTGAGACCACTACAGTATCTGCCACAGGCTCTGAGACCACAGTCTCTACTGAAGGCTCTGGGACCACTACAGTCTCCATCACAGGCTCTGAGACCACTAAAGTTTCTACCACAGGTTCAGAGACCACCATCACTTCTACTGAAGGCTCTGAGATTACTACAGCCTCCATCACAGGCTCTGAGACCACCACAGCCTCTACTGAAGGCTCCGAGACCACCACAGCCTCTACTGAAGGCTCCGAGACCACCTCAGCCTCTACTACAGGCTCTGAGACCACCACAGCCTCTACTACAAGCTCTGAGACCACCATGGCATCCATCATGGGCTCTGAGACCACTATGGCCTCTACCATAGGCTCTGAGACCACCAAGGTCTCCACTGCAAGCTCTAAAATGACCACAGTCTTCACTGAAAACTCTGAGACCACCATAGCCTCTACCACAGCCTCTGAGACCACCACAGTCTCCACTGCAGGCTCTGAGACCATCCCAGCCTCTACAGCAGGCTCTGAGACCACCACCACCACCTCTACTGAAGGCTCTGAGACCACTACAGCCTCTACTGAAGGCTCTGAGACCACCACAGCCTCTACTGAAAGCTCTGAGACCACTACAGCCACTACCATAGGCTCTGAGACCACCACAGCCTCTACTGAAGGCTCTGAGACTACCACCACCTCTACTGAAGGCTCTGAGACCACCACAGCCTCTACTGAAGGCTCTGAGATCACTACAGTTTCTACCACAGGCTCTGAGACCACCACAGCCTCTACTGAAGGCTCTGAGACCACCACAGCCTCTACTGAAGGCTCTGAGCTCACTACAGTTTCTACCACAGGCTCTGAGACCATCACAGTCTCTGCTGAAGGCTCTGAGACCACTACAGTCACTACTATGGGCTCTGAGACCACCACGGCCTCTACTGCAGGCTCAGAGACCACCACAGTCTCTACTGCAGGCTCTGAGACCACCACAGCCTCTATTGAAGGCTCTGAGACCACTACAGTCTCCTCCACAGGCTCTGAGACCACCACAGTCTCTACCACAGGCACTGAGACTACCATCACCTCTACTGAAGGTTCAGAGACCACTACAGTCACTACTGCAGGTTCTGAGACCACAGCAGTCTATACCACAGGCTCTGAGACTACCACCACCTCTACTGAAGGCTCTGAGACAACCACAGTCTCTACCACGGGCTCTGAGACCACCACAGCCTCTACCGCAGATTTGGAGACCACCACAGTCTCCACCTCAGGCTCTGGGACCACCACAGCCTCTACCGCAGGCTCTGAGACCACAACAGTCTATATCACAGGCTCTAAGACTACCACCGCCTCTACTGAAGGCTCTGAGGCCACTACAGTTTCTACCACTAGCTCTGAGACCACCACAGCCTCTACCACAGGCTCTGAGATGACTACAGTCTTTACCACAGTCTCTGAGACCACCACAGTCTCTACCATAGGCTCTGAGGCCACCACATCCTCTGCTGCAGGCTCTGAGGCCACCACCACCTCTACTGAAGGCTCTGAGACCACCACAGCCTCCACTGCAGGCTCTGAGACCACCACAGCCTCCACTGCAGGCTCTGAGACCACCACAGCCTCCACTTCAGGCTCTGAGACCAACACAGCCTGTACCACAGGTTCTGAGACCTCCACACCCTCCAGTGCAGGCTCTGAGACCAACACTGCCTTCATCATAGGCTCTGAGACCACCATAGCTTCCACTGCAAGCTTGGAGCCCACTGCAACTTCCCTCACAGGCTCTGAGACCACCACAGTCTCTATCACAGCTTCTGGGGCCACTGCAGCCTCCACCACTGTCTCTTCCACCACGTTTGTACTCACCAAGGCCACTGACGTTTCTATCCAGCCCATCACCAACACACCTATGTCAGGTACTAACCCCCATGTCTTCTTTGAGCCCACACATTTTAACTCCAGTGGCAACCACCAGCTGTTCACCTGTTTCTATCATCTCTGCCCTGGTTCAAGTCAAGCCAGCACACAGTTAGATATAATTTCCTCTTCTAGGCTGGGCGCGGTGGCTCATGCCTGTAATCCCAGCACATTGGAAGGCTGAGGCGAGCGAATCACGAGATCAGGAGATTGAGACCATCCTGGCTAACACGGTGAAATCCAGTCTCTACTAAAAATACAAAAAATTAGCTGGGCGTGGTGGCGGGCACCTGTAGTCCCAGCTACTCGGAAGGCTGAGGCAGGAGAATGATGTGAATCCGGGAGGTGGAGCTTGCAGTGAGCAGAGATCGCGCCATTGCATTCCAGCCTGGGCGACAGAGCGAGACTCCGTCTCAAAAAAAAAAAAAAAAAATGTCCTCTTCTGGAATCCTAATTGCCTCTACTCTGGTCTCACCTCTTTTTTTTTAAGTGCCCACCACTTCCATTGCAATCAGAACCACAATATAGTAAACCACAAGTGCATCATATCTGTCACATCTTCCTCCAGCAAGCCCGCCTCAACTCTACTGGCCCATCACAGTTTTGTGAAATGCTCCCACTTCGGTGCCAAGTAGATTATCTCTATTCAACCAACCATCTGTGACACTGCCACCTCCTATCAATGTATTGACTCTAGACCAGAGGCTGGCAGACCACATTTCATGGGTCAAGTCTCACCTGTTACCTGGTTTTGTAAAGTTTTACTGGAACATAGTCATGCCCATTCATTTATGGTTTGTCTCCAGCTGCTTTTCTGCTTTTCCGTGTATTTGCAACAGAGACAGCCTGGCCCAAAAGCCTAAATTATTTGCTGTTTGGACCTTTACAGAAAAAATTTGGCAACCTTTGCTCCAGTCTGAGACCAAACAATTTTGTTCATTCTCTGGCACTTGCCATCAGCAAGCCGGTTACATCTGATTCTATCCTCTTGGTTCTAAGCATACTCACTTCTATTCTCATGACTGGTGCTGTTTGTGATCCCATTTTAACCACTTCTGACCTAGGCACACCCATCGCTACCTAAGCCGCCACCACCGCCTCTGCTGTGTTGATTCGTGCTCACACCTGTCTGAGCCCACCCTCTCCTATCCCTGTGAGCAGCCTTCTCCACTTGGGTCAGGTCCTCCTACATCTGCCCAAGCACACTCACCTCACCTTTGCTGATCACCACAGTGTGGTAGATGATGTCACCTCTGTCCCAGCCACGGCCACTGGCATGCCCATGAGTGAATCCAATTCTACCATCTCCTCCTCCAGCTCCCTCCTTACACCCAGTGATCACAGTCACAAAAGAAGCAGGGCCTGCCGCTTTGTATACCAGCCCACCCACTTATTTGATCTGCTTTGATTTATTTATTTTCAATTTTTTCCATAAGTTATTGGGATGCAGGTGGTATTTGGTTATATGAATAAGTTCTTTAGTGGTGATTTGTGAGATTTTGGTGCACCCATCACCCTAGTAGTATACACTGCACCATATTTGAAGTCTTTTATCCCTCGCCCCCTCCCACTCTTCCCCCAAAGTCCCCAAAGTCCATTGCATCATTCTTATGTCTTCGTATTTCCATAGCTTAGCTCCCACATATCAGTGAGAACATACGATGTTCGGTTTTCCATTCCTGAGTTACTTCACTTAGAAGAATAGTCTAAAATCTCATCCAGGTCACTGCAAATGCTGTTAATTCATTCATTTTTATCAGCCCACCCTCTTCTATTTGGGTGGCCACTTCTGAAGTCAAATAGATCTTCCACTTCTGAACCCATCGCGATAACGTTTCCTCAAACTTCTGCCTCCTCCATCACCAACTCCACCAGGTGACACATTCTACCTCCTTCTCTGTATGACACCCACCTGCATTCTGGGGACATGGCCACAGCAGAATCGCTTTCTACCATCTCTCCTCCCCCACCACACCTCTCCTGAGCCACCTCCACCATAGGTTTGTTAGATTCACCCTCCTCTGGTCTAAGCACCCCCATTCCCCTTTAATCATCTCTGCTACAAATGCATCATCTTGTGTGACCTGTTTCATAGGCACCAGAACCACTGGAACCAGACTCACTGCCTCCAGCTCTGTCACCATGGCCCCTGGAATGGACTTCACGGCCTCTGCTGCCAGCCATACTGTGCCAGGAATAGTCTTAAACACCTCTGGCCTGGGTACATCCACTATGGGAGCATCATCTACCACCTCAGCCCACGGCGTCAGGACCACCACAGGATCCACCCGTGAGCCAACCAGCAGCACCTTCCAGGAAACAGGCCCGGTGTCCATGGGCACAAACACAGTTAGCATGAGCCACACACCCACAAACGTGATCAAACCAAGTGGATATTTACAGCCCTGGGCTATCATCCTCATTTCCCTGGCTGCAGTTGTGGCTGCTGTTGGATTGTCAGTAGGACTGAGTTTTTGTCTGGTGAGTACCCAGGGTGGGTTCATAGGGGAGCCTGGCAAGAAGGCAGGGGGGAATCATGTCAGCAGTGCTTTGGAAAAATCCAGAATGAGAAAGGGGAGTAAGTTGGTGCGCTCAGAAGGAAAGAATCACCTAGCCTGATATAAGGACCAGAGAGAATGCTTAAGTCAGAGAAAGTGAGAAGCAAAGTAGAAAAAGAGGAGGGAAAAGATGGAGTTGGGGCCAAAGTGAAGGGAAATACTGACAGAACAAGGGAAATACTGAGAGAGAACAAGGAGGACATAAACATAAAGAAAGCAAGAAGCAGCTGGGCGCAGTGGCTCACCCCTGTAATTCCAGCACTTTGGAAGGCCAAGGAGGGCGGATCACTTGAGTCCAGGCATTTGAGACCAGCCTGGCCAACATGGTGAAACTTGTCTTTACTAAAAATACAAAAATTAGTCGAGAGTGGTAGCATGGACCTGTAGTCCCAGCTACTTTGGAGGCTGAGGCACGAGAATTGCTTGAACCTGGGAGATGGAGGTTGCAGTGAGCAGAGATCGTGCCACTGCACTCCAGCCTGAGTGACAGAGCAAGATCCTGTCTCGAAAGGAAGGAAGAAAGAAAAGAAAGGTAGGAAGGAAGGAAGGAGAGAGAGAGAGAAAAAGAGAAAGAATGAGGAAGAAAGGAAGAAAGCAAGAAAGAGAAAGAAAGGAAGAAAGAAAGAAAGAAACTGAGAGAGAAAGAGAAAGAAAAAAGAAAGAAGGAAAGAAAGAGAGAGAGAAATAGAGAAAAGAAAGAAGCATAAAAATGTTCAGCCATCCAAAATGCGGGCTTCCGATTGTCTCATGTATGACAAATTTCTGGTCCTCACAGCAATTCCTTGTGTGGCCTGTGACTGTTACTCTCTGACCTCCCACTCCATCTCTGCTCTCTGGTCTTGATTGTTCTTTGAATACATATTTTTCTTACATCGATTTCACATTTATTGATGTTCTTCCTGTTTTCTTGTGATCCTGCGGGTAAGTTACCATTTGAGGAGTGAAGCAGAGTATAAATCAGTGGTGTGCTGGAGCTGGCTCATCCTGGCCCACAAGAGATTGTGCAGTTCTTCCCAATTCTGAGCTGAGTGATGTGACACTGGTAGCTTAAAATATGCTGGGTTGGAAATACTTACACCACAGCAATTGTCAAACACTACAAATCAGCACTTTTCCCTCGGAGAGCCTGTTATTAAGTGTTGGACAGCATACCACTGGTAAAAATGGACAAAATGAAAAATACGGAAGTCACAAAAGATTTGGATAATATAGTCAATTTGCTGAGGTTCTTTGTTTTAGAATTCTCAGCCTCTCTCCGTATGTGGACTACATAATAAATACCAGCATCTAAGAATTACTCCCTAAATTACTTTATTATTTCATTTGCAAGATCAAGAGAGAATAACGAAAGTGAACATTGAGTTTTTACTGCCTGCTAGGCTCAAGGCTGAATGTTTAAAATGCATAATGTTATTTAATCTGGCCTACAATCCCGTGGCCATATTATATTCATCTTACAAGTAAGGGATCTGGAGCTTCATGATCTTAGCTATTTGCCCCAGCACATGTAGTGAGTGGCAGATATAAGACTCTAACTCAGGTTAGTTGGATTCTGGAGTTCATGCCTATAATCTCAAGGCTCTGTGTAGACAGCTTTCTAGAGCTCTCAATTCCACGTACCTGTTCTGAGCTTTCTTAGCTGACTAACAAAGAGAAAGACTGTCTGTAAAGTGAGTCTCTGTGCCTTTCACATAGGGGTATGGATTTACCTTTGTCTTGGAAGTCCAAAAACACATAACCTTATGATCTGCAGAGCTAGGGCCTGAGTACGCACATAAAGATGATATGTTAATAAGGTAACAAGGAAGCTTATTTTGTCAGACGGAGAAAGAGTAAAAGAACAAGGAAAAAGAGAGACAGAGACAGAGATCATAGTAAGGATGGTGGTAAAGAGAAGAGAACATGGGCAGTTTGGAAAAGTGAAAATCTGACATTGGTGAAACAGGCATGTATGGTGATTAGGGAGAGGAGACTTAATTTTCATTTATCAATGTATTTATTTTTTTCTTTTAGAGAAACCTTTTCTTCCCCCTGAGATATTGTGGTATTTATTACCCCCATGGCCACAGCCACAGCCTTGGTCTGGACCTGAACTTGGGCCTGGGCTCTGGGACATTCCACAGCCTGGGAAATGCACTGGTTCATGGAGGAGAACTTGAAATGGGACATGGAGGAACACACGGCTTTGGATATGGAGTGGGCCATGGACTGAGCCACATCCATGGAGATGGCTACGGAGTGAATCATGGCGGGCATTATGGACATGGAGGAGGCCACTGAGGACACCATGGAGTGGATCACAGAGGGAGCCACCAAGGAGGCCACGGCAGGACAAGATGGCTGTGGCCATAGATTGGGTATCAAAACATATTATGGGTGGGAGGGGGTCATGGAGGAGAAAAAAATAATGATCATGAAATAATTAAAATGGAGCATAGGAAGCTTCCCAGGATGTGATCCATGGAGATGGACATGGACTAGGTCAAGAAAAGAACCAGCAAAAGGACCACAGAGACTTTGACTGGCTTGGAGGGGACTTCAAGTCAAAGCTTCTGTGAGTTCTTCCTGAGTCTCAGCCTCTGTTGTGGGGAGTCACGACAACCACCCTCAGGACATCTTCTCTCCCATTTCCCGCCACATCAGGGTCAACGTTTCTCATCCCTGTGTTTCCTCATGGTGCTATAAATATTACCAAGACATGTCTAAGAAACAAAAGCACATAATGAATGTATTATCAGGGCCACACACGTATTCGTTTTCCTGTTTGTTCTTTCAGGTTTGGTTTTGTTTTTTTTTTTGAGTGCTTATTATGTACCAATCACTATCCCAGGAGCCTTTAAATACGTCATCATTTGGCTGGGTGTGGTGGCTCACGCCTGTAATCCCAGCACTTTGGGAGGCCAATGCGGGTGGATCACTTGAGGTCAGGAGTTCGAGACCAGCCTGGCCAACATGGTGAAACCCCGTCTCTACTAAATAAATACAAAAATCAGCCAGGCGTGGTGGCGAGTGCCTATAATCCCAGCTACTCGGGATGCTGAGGCAGGAGAATCGGTTGAATCTGGGAGGTGGAGGTTGCAGTGAGCCGAGATTGTGCCACTGCACTCCAGCCTGGGCGACAGAGGAAGACTCTGTCTCAAAAAAAAAAAAAAGGTCATCATTTAATCCTCAGAAAATATCTTGGTGACCTTGAGGTAGGCAAAGATACTTAGATACTTAAGCAAGACACAAAAAGCACTAGCTATTAAAAGAAAGTGTGATGATTTGGACTTCATTAAAGCCTAGTATCAGCATATACCTTTAAGAGGTATATTCTTAACTATAAAAGGAAAGTCAAAGATGGGAGAAGATATTGCAACACATATAGCTAACAAACGACTCATATCCAGAATGCAGAAAGAGCTACAATAAGAAAAAGATGATGCAATTTTAAATTGGGCAAAATATTTGATAAATAGTTAGCAAAAGAGGATATCAAAACAGCCGGTGAACATTTGAAAAGGTACCCAATATCACTGCTTATCAGAAGTGGAATGTAAAACCGCAATGAGATACCACTACATACACACACTGTAATGACTAGCATTTGAAAGACTGCCAGTACCAAGTATTGGAAAGGACATTGAACAACTGGAACTCTCACACATTGTTAGTGGGAGTGTAAATTGATACAATTATCTTGGGAAAATGTTTGGCAATGCTAAAATTAAACACATACCCTATGACTCGGTACTTCCACTCCTGAGAGTAAATATCCAGCAGAAATGAATACCTGTGTCCACCAAAAGACATGTACCATGCCAGCTTCATTCATACCACTGCAGGGTGGAAATTTAACCCCAAAGTCCACTAACATTAGAACAGGTAAGTAAATTGTGACATATTCATGCAGTGGAATGCTACCCAGTAGTGAAAAAAAAAACCTATGAAATCACACAATAACATTAATGAATCTCATAGTCAGTGTTGAGTAAAAGAAGTCAAAACAAAAGTGTACCTACTGTATAATTCCATTCACATGCAGTTCAAGGCCATGTGACATTAACCTGTTGTAATAAAGGTCAGAGTTGAGGATGCCTTGGGGGAAAAGGCTGACCGGGAGAAGGCATGAGAAAGCCTTCTTGCAGGGGCAGACAGGGGAAGCTGAGAATGTTCTGTGTATGATCTGGGTGGTGATTACAAGGGTGTATAGATATGTAAAACTTCATTAAAATGTGCACATGAGATCTGTGCACTTTATGGTATGTAAGTTATGTCTCAATTTGAAAAATGAAAAAGATATTCTGAGGCTATTTTCTCAGCATATTATGATTTCCTTGGTCAGAGAATGTGGTTGGAGACACATGACGATAAATGAGGCATTTGGTAAGCCCAAAGACAGTGGTGCTGCAGGAAGCATTGTGTGCAAGGGAGGCAAGCAGCTATTTTCAATGAGGACAAATCACCTCTCTCTTTAGGTTGAAATAGGTCTGATATAATTAATCTGCCATTCTCTCTGGAGAATGGTGCCACATAACGGGGCCAACACTGATCTCTGCTGTTAGCAGTTGAGGCACTCAGCCATGGATTATCTGTCCAGCTTGGCCTTGGTGAGGGGAAGGCCAGCTCACTGAGCCTTGCATACGCTTCATCCCTGCCAGCCTGTCTGCTTTGTCCATGTCCCTGCTGAGCGAGCACTAGAGCAGCTGGAAAAAGAGATTGACTGACGTCTGCAGAATGGATCGCTTGGTCAACCTCATCATGGAAGATTTCCTCTGTAGTGAACGCCCATTGGTGAACAGTCACATGGGATGCACATACTCTCACCATCTGTGCCCTTCCCAAGAGACTCGTCCACCTTCCTCTTTCCCAGACTTCCTTGTCATCAATTCACCATGTCTTTCCTCACCCTGAGTTATCTAGCCAAACTGTTAGCCACTGCCTATTGATCAGGGTTAACTGTAACTGGTCATCTCTTTGCCCAGGCAAAGTAAACAAAGCAGATGCATTCTTTACAATTCGGATCACTGGGAGAATTTTCCTTCCCTACTGTCCTGCAGGGCTGCCGTGAGTGGGGTGGTAATGCTGCAGCAGCCTGCTCTCTGTGGTGTTAGAATAGCATGCAGAACCACCCACACACCAGAGGAAACCAAATCTTTCCTTTCTCAGTCAACTAGACATAGGAAACCCTTCATGTGACTGTGATTATGGAGAGAGAGGTTAGGAATGTAGCTGGAGATGCCACTGGAGTTACAGCTGCCTACTCATGCCTCTTACTTGTGCCTTGAGGAACTAATTCAGCCAAATTCACAGGCACCACTTCCATTCAAGGAGGTGAGCACTGCTAAGTATGCCCAGTCTAGTGTGGTGGTGCAGACAACACCCAGTTCATAAAGGGCAGCTCATGTTTCATGAACCCTCGCATGCTGAGGACCCAAGATTAAGTCAGATGCTAGGATGTGGAAGAGGGCTTGCTTTTGCTCCAAAACTCTGGGGACCTGTGCCGTGGCTCTTCTACTAGCTACCCAGTGTCTCCACACAGCTTTCTGATGTACCACAGACATTTTAGGCAACATTGGATCTAGTCAGCAATGTCTCAAGCAGCCTTATGGCCTTGCTTTGGTTCCCACTTGAAAGTGGGGAAATATGCGCAGACGGAGCCTAGAGATGAACTTCGAGTAAGATGTTATTTATGTTCTTTTTTTTTTGAGATGGAGTCTTGCTCTGTCGCCCAGGCTGGAATAGTGGCACGATCTTGGCTCACTGCAACCTCCGCCTCCCGCCTCCCGGGTTCAAGCGATTCTCCTGTCTCAACCTCTCGAGTAGGTGGGACTACAGGCGCCTGCCACCATGCCTGGCTAATTTTCGTATCTTTAGTAGAGCCAGGTTTTTACCTTGTTGGTCAGGCTGGTCTCAAACTTCTGACCTCAAGTAATCCACCTGCCTTGGCCCCACAAAGTGCTAGGATTGCCGGCATGAACCACTGTGCCCGGCCACGTCATTTATGTTCTAAGCCCCATAAGCTCCACCCTGACTTGTAGATCGCAATGATGTCTTGTATGTTACCCTAAAGGTTTGGGTGTTTTCATTTCCCCATTGCACTGTCACGATGATAAATGGCTGAGATTCCTTTTGAAAGCTAGGAGGAAGATTCGCGGCACATCCTGGTGGTGGTGGTGGATCTTGCTGCCTTCCCTTCATTTCTAGCTCTGTGAACAGGTTCGGGCCTGGGAATTAGGTGAGAGTCTGTGGCAACTCAAGTCAGCTCTCTGTTCAACCACCTGGATATTTTCACTTATATAGATCAAGTAAGATTTTAGTGGTTAATTGATTAATGATTAATTAGCCATAGCCAAAGAGCCCTGATTACAGCTCTGGTCGTGATGCCCACATCGATAATCATGCCTGTCTTGTCTCTGGAGGGAAAGCCCTACCACCCACCTACTGTTTCCTGAAGATTCCACCATGCCCACTGAAATCAGGAAGCTCATTTCAATGGTCAGATCATCCACCATTGCATTTAGCAAAGAGCTGCTACAGAGCTTTTCAACGATGCTGGTCCTCTCCCTTCTAATGCTTTGATGAAGACAGTTTCAATGGAACCTTCTGGGAGGACGTAATGAAAGAGTGAGTGAGCAAGTTGCACATATTAAATCCATTCCAACATAACTCTCTTCCTAAGTCTTTTGATTTTTTTCTTCCGCTTATACTAATGAAATACTGGGATCTCAACTTTATTTAGTGTAGGCCACCACTAAGTCCACATTTCAAGCAACCGAGAGAACTATTAGTGCAACTCACACCTACTTGAGCTAATGTTTTGAATCTAGAACATGTGATAAGTTCACCCATGTATTTGTTTTCTATCAGTGATAACTTACTACAAACGCAGCAGCTTAAACCAACACCCATTTATCAGACCACAGTTCTATGAGGCGGGTCTGGGGCCAGCATGACTGACTCCTTTGCTCAGTCTCACAGGTTAAAATGAAGGTGTTAGTTGAGCTGCATCCTCATCTGGAGGCTGGCATCTCTTTCAAGCTCACGTGGTTGTGGCAGAGTCCAGTTCCTTGTGTTTAGAGTTGAGGCCCCTGTTTCCTTGCTCACTGTCATCTATGGTTGTTTTCAGCCCCTAGATCTGACTCAACGCATGGAGCTGGAGGCCACGAGGGGTATTGTAATAGGGCCTGTGGTAGGCAGAATAACAGCCCCTCAAAAACATCCACGTTTCAATTCCCAGAACCTGGAAATATGTTACTTTATATGGCAAAAGGGACTCTGCATGCATGATCGCATTAAGGATCTTGTAATGGGGAGATTATCCTGGATTATCTGTATGGGCCCAATGTGATCACAAAGGTCCTTATAAGAGGGAGATGAGAGGCCGGGCGCAGTGACTCACACCTGTAATCTCAGCACTTAGGGAGGCTGAGGAGGGTAGATCACGAGATCAGGAGTTCGAGACCAGCCTGGTCAAGATGATGAAACCCTGTCTCTACTAAAAATACAAAATGTAGCCGGGTGTAGTGGTGGGTGCCTGTAATCCCAGCCACTCAGGGGGCTGAGGCAGGAGAATGGCTTGAACCCAGGAGGTGGAGGTTGCAGTGAGCCAAGATTGCGCCCCTGCACTCTAGCCTGGGCAACAGGGCAAGACTCAATCTCAAAAAAAAAAAAAAAAAAGAGGGAGACAGGAGTCAGAGTCAGAGAGATTTGAAGATGCTGCGATGCAAGCTTTGAAGATGGAAGAAGGGGCCACAAACCAAGGAGTGCTGGAAGCCTCTAGCGGTGGAAAAGGTGAGTAAACAGATTCTTCTCTAGAGCCTCCAGAAGGACCACAGACCAGCTGACACCTTGACTTTAGCCCAGTAAAACCTATTTTAAACTTCCGATCTCCAGAACTGCAAGATAATATATTTGTGCTATCTTCAGCCTGAATTTGTGGTAATTTGTCATGCAGCAATAAGAAACTAATACAGGGCCTGAGGAAAATCTGTGTCCCCTTGCCAAGGGAGTGCTGTGAGGGCGTCACTATAGGGTCTTCAGGCAAGAGAAAGTGACTTCCTCACAGAGGGGAGGAGGGGCTACTTCTGCTGGCAAGGAAAGCTCTGCGGGATTTGGAGGTTCAAAGTTTTTCAGACTCATCAAAATCTACCCAGGTGTCTCCACTCCAATTCTGGGCTTCCGTTAACAAATATTCCAAATGTCACACATGAGACTGGCAAAGATATAAATGCAAGTTGAATATAATTCTCCATTCTGCAGAATCAAACTGTGGGTCTGGTTTTTTCATACATAGTCCCTGTGGCTTTGAGAGATAAGCATGTCTTTTAGAATATTCAGAGAAAGCTCTGTGTTCGCTGGCAATGCCTTGACTGAGGATGCAGCAGAGGGGTCATTTTTTTTCTGTAATCTCCCAGTGCAGCCACCCACAGTCCCGGCAGTCAACACTCCCAGCTTCACGATCTGTCACAGCGACCACCTGGGCTCCCGGCCCTTCCCTTCAACAATTGCTTTATTCCAGGCACCACCACAGATGATAACTTAAGTCACTTTTTCTATCTTTTGCTGTGTAATACAAAGACTTCATTTTATACTAGCATGAGGTCGCCCCTGCCCTCAAGCCTAATGGGTCAGGGAACCAATCCCAGATTGCCACCTTTGAAAGTCAATTTTCTGAAACCTCTTGTTATACCAAATACTGTAACAGTCAGAGTTCACTTATGAAAACAGAAACCACTTTGGATATTTCAAGCATAAAAGGATTTAGTACAAGAAGTAGGTGCTTATAAAACCGCTCGAAAAGGTGGAGGAGTGAAAGTCAGGATGACAGCCAATAGCTTTCAGGTTCACTGCCACCGAGAGCAGAGATCTGCGGTCACCGGAGGCAGGGACGTGCAGGCAACTGCTGAGGCTCCTCCACTCCTCCACAGCCCCACAGTGTGCCAGAGGCAGGGAAATGCGGAGGCCACCGCAAAATCCTCCCCCAGGAAGCCATGCACGCATGCAGCCATTACTGCCACAGAACTGAGTCTCATGAGAGTTTGTTTCACTGGAGGAAGGTAAAATGTGCCTGGAGCCTCCTGGCAAGGGAGCCTGGAAAAGGTAGTTCCCAGGATCGGGGTCCCTGCCATCCAGGGGAGACAGTGGAAACACGTTAAATGTGCTAAGTGCACATTAAGCTTGGCAGTCTGGAGGGCTGCAGTGGAACTGGAGATCGGAGATGAAAACTAGGAAGAGAAAGCAGACGACCTGTCTAGACGTCTGAAAGCGATCTGAATTAGGACATGCTAAAATTAAAGGACAGGGCAGAGAGAATCTGGAGTTCAGGCAATTCCTAAATAGGACTCCACCTTTCTTTTCTTTTTTTTTTTTCCCTAGGTTAGACTAATACAATTCCAAAATTACTCTGTGTCTTTGTGATTTTTCTGTTTGTATGCAACTGTTTGCATCCTAACATTTCTAATACTGAGGTAAATTAATCTGTCATTCTCTAAACAAGACAGAAGTTCTAAGCTCTTAGCCTCTGCATCCTGTCCCTTCACGGTTGTCAGCACTGACCCTCCAAACATGTATCAAAATACGATCTCTTTCAGTCAGCTTTGCCTGGAGAACCTGCTTCTAACTTACTCATTCTAATGGAATGTCCCTTCTGATAAATATTGCGTCTGTTTTATTTTAAACTTAACCTGGCTGAACCTTTGCTGCTTCTGTGGAAGCTCCAGAATTTCTCTGGGGGAGGGGTTTAGGTACATGCAATATTTTCAAGGGGGCAGCTGGGACCAATGTTTGTAATTGATGCCTTCTTTTTATAGTGATTAAGAACATGGCAGGCCGGGCACAGTGACTCACGCCTGTCATCCCAGCACTTTGAGAGGCCAAGGCAGGTGGATCACCTGAGTTCAGGAGTTCGAGACCAGCCTGACCAACAAAGTGAAACCCCATCTCTACTAAAAATACAAAAATTAGCTGGGTGTGGCGGCATGCACCTGTAATCCCAGCTACTCAGGAGACTGAGGCAGGAGAATAGCTTGAACCTGGGCAGCAGAGATTGCAGTGAGCCGAGATCATGCCACTGCACTCCAGCCTGGGTGACGGAGCGAGACTCCATCTCAAAAAAAAAGAAAGAACGTGGCACAGGAGTCAGACTGCCTGAGTATGAATCCTGATTCTGCCACTTGTTAGCTTTACAAGTCTGGGCAAGATGAACTGAGGCATCTTAAATTTGTAAAACAGAGATTGTGGCACCTAAGCATAGAGTAATATAAATACTAAATAAACTAATATCTGTAAAACACTTTGAATAATGTCTGGCACATGGAATACTCAATAAAAGCTAACTATTATTAGGTATCATTAGATTGTTCATTTGTGGATATCTTACAAAGGAGGGAAGGAAATACTTTTTAGGGGTCTTTTATAAAAGCTGTATTTGTATAGCAACCATATTGTTTCAAATTAGGTTTTATGTATATTCAGGTGGCTTTGAAGGGGCCAGATGGAGATTGGAGGAGGTAGGGCAAATCCCTTTTTAGCCCCTCCAAGTGCTGCTGTCCTTTCCCAAAAATGTTGTATCAGGGCCATTTAAACATTTTTGTAGATATAAGTAATTAGGATCATATTGTTAGAACATACTCCAATATATTTTCCCCTCTAGATAATTTGACGTTTTTCTCCTGCAACTTTTCCAAATTCAAACTTAGCCAAAAGCTGGAAGGAAATGATTTGATGCTTAAGAAGTCCCCTGGTGGCCAGGTGCAGTGGCTCACACCTGTAATCCCAGCACTTTGGGAGGCTGAGGCAGGAGGATTACTTGAGCCCAGGAGTTTGAGACCAGCATGAACAACATAGTGAAAACCCAGCTCTACAAAAGAGTACAAAAATTAGCCAAGCGTGGTGACACATGCCTATAGTCCCAGCTACTTGGGAGGCTGAGGTAAGAGGATCACTTGAGCCTGGGAGGTTGCAGTGAGTCAAGATTGTGCCACTGCACTCCAGCCTGGGCAACAGAGCAAGACCCTGTCTCAAAAAAACAGAAAACAGGCCGGGCACGGTGGCTCGCGCCTGTAATCCCAGCACTTTGGGAGGCTGAGGCGGGTGGATCACAAGGTCAGGAGATCGAGACCATCCTGGCTAACACAGTGAAACCCTGTCTCTACTAAAAATACAAAACAATTAGCAGGGCGTGGTGGCGGGCGCCTGTAGTCCCAGCTACTCGGGAGGCTGAGGCAGGAGAATGGCGTGAACCTGGGAAGCGGAGCTTGTAGTGAGCCGAGATCGCGCCACTGCACTCCAGCCTGGGTGACAGAGCGAGACTCAGTCTCAAACAAACAAACAGACAAACAAAACAGAAAACAAAAAAACTCTCATGGAGTCTAGCCCCAGGTTTTTTTCATGACCTGCGAATGAAGGAACTGGAAGCCAATTACCCCGTTCCCATCTTTGTTTTCTGCCGCTCCTTCAGTTGTCTTTGGGCTCTCTCTGTTGGCCTCAGCCAGAGTTGAAGCAAGCTTGGACTGTAAGCTCTCAGTCCCCAGGCAAACTGACAGTGTCCAAAGTGTAGGTACTTCCTTGATCATCTGGCTTGTCTGGCACACAGCACTGATGAGAAGACCTAGCTGAAGCTCCCCGGTGGAAAAGCTTCTATAAATTCTTCAAAAACAAAAGGGGAGCGCCTCTATCAAGGAGGATTAGAAGCAGGAGCATTCCTCTTTCCAGTGCCATCACTCTCCTTAGGTCCCCTGCAGCGTGTGTGCTGGTAAATGTTTAACAACTCACTTCTCGTGGCGCAAATGCACCCGCCAGAGCTGACTGCGTGTGACCAGCGTGAATCACTGTGTATAGAATGGGAAGCGATGGGCGGCACACCATTCCATACCATTCCCACCAGGCAGATGTGATAGGCGTACGTAACTCCGTGCGCAGAGATAATAGTAAAATGTGGTAAAGCAATTAGAAAGTAATGAGTTTGGAACATTTTTACCTTTGTTTTAAATATAATTTAGTTCACTGTAAGTTAATACACGTTAATTTTTAATGATGGCTGTGTTGCCAAAAATCCTGAAAATTCAGCAATGAGCTCTAGCACACAGGCATGCACTGACCCAGTACACCATTGGTTCCATCTCCTCAACAGCTCACACCACCACCCCCAACTCTCCCACCCCCAGCTCCCACGCTGCGGAGACCCCAGAGTCTATTTCCCTCCCCCGGGTCTCTCTTCCCCACCTCATTCAAGGTATGCTTTGCAGGCTTACTAATTATTCAGCAATGCCCAGAGGTCCAGTCTCCAGTGCCTATTCACAGGGATCTCACTTCCTGTGCCCTACCTGCTAAGCTCTGTTTGCAGGGGCTTCCTTCTCACACACCTGCTCCTGCCCAGCTATACTGGGTTCTCAGGACTTCTTGTCCAGGAAAGGAGGCCTCCAACTAGAGCAGGTTTTCTGCCCCATCCCTGCCTCAGAGGGTGGAGCCCCTCCACTTTGACAGCCTTGATCCCCTTGAACTATTCCACTTCCCACTCCTCCCCAGGCCCTTCCTAATGGGACTAAGTCATCCTCCACCCTCACCTACCTTCTGGCTGCTGTACCCTCCTCTCTAAACTTGGGGATTCTGCCACTGCTCACAGCTGGAAGAACAACAGCCTACATGTCCAGGCCTTGCCCAGTCCAGATGATGCTTTAAAGGCCTTCTTCTTCTTCCTTTTTTTTTTTTTTTTTTTTTGAGATGGAGTCTCACTCTGTTGCCCAGGCTGGAGTGCAATGGCGTGGTCTCAGCTCACTGCAACCTCTGCCTCCTGGGCTCAAGCGATTCTCCCGCCTCAGCCTCCCAAGCAACTGGGACTACAGGCATGTGCCACCACACCAAGCTAATTTTTGTATTTTTAGTAGTGATGGCGTTTCACTATGTTGGCCAGGCTGGTCTCGAACTACTGACCTCGTAATCTGCCTATCTTGGCCTCCCAAAGTTCTGGGATTACAGGCATGAGCCACTGTACCCGCCCTAAAGGCCTTCTTTGAAAGAGAAAAAGAAGAGGTGGCATTCTGTGAAGGAACATCAAGGACCAGACATCCAGCTTCCCCTGTAGCCCAGGTCCCCCTAGCGGTGCTTCTCTTCAGATTGAGGACCTATTCTTTGGAGTTCCGAATTCCTAGTAGTCCAGCCCTCAGATCTCCACCTTGAGACTCCACCCTCAAGATTCTCATTTTCTGCCTTTCCCTTCTAAGGCTTAATCCCATCGGGACTAAGGGAGGAGCCTTCCCTTCCAGCCTCACACAGGCAGACTATCTCAAAAGAAAGAGAAAGCAATTTTCCCTTGCATGCTGGCTGTTTCACTTCCTTCTACTTTTAGGAAATGGTGAGTGATTTTGTTTAAAAGAGAATAATCTTGGAGTTTGAGTAGAGTTTGGGGAAAATGTTGACAACTTCTGGGACACACACTCTGTCCTTGTTGCCCCCATTCTCTTCAAGGCAGGAGGGATGATTATTTTGCTTCTTTCTCTCCAATGCAACCCAGCATCTGTCCTCCGTTCTGTTCTCAGTGGCAACTCTTCTGCCCAGAAGATGGACCTATTTACTCTATAATACATCATTCCCAGATATAGGCGCATTAGAGTTGGAAGAGAACTTGAATTAGTGTCTGACCACCTGTAATAGGCAGGGATCTATTTCCAGCGTCTCTGACAGCAGTCATCTAGCCTCTAATTAAACACTTCATGAGACATTGCTGTTCCACACTCACGCAGATTTAATTCTCTCTAGAATCTGCCCCAGCATGGCTTTGACTCTTGTGTTTTATGCCCCTGACCAACACAAAACCAGTCTATTCCCTCTCCACAGGCCAGCTTTTCATCTCAACTTCTCACTTAGTTTCTCTCTTGGCTCTGACCCTAACCTAAGGCATCGACACACAGTTTTGGGATTCTTCCCTCAAATCTAAATTGGCAATCCTTATGTTAGTCCAGACAACACCAAGGCAAGAACATATGTGGAGGGTGAAGGGCAGCACCTACATCCAGGGAGAGAACAGGGCCATCGATGAGGAGAGGGTCTATAGGGATCTGGGAGGTCAAGGGCTTGGTTGTTAATGGGATGGAAAATCAGAACAGGGTAGAAAATAGGCATGACAGGGAAAGAAGCTCAGTCTCACCTTAACTCTAACTGATCCAACAAGAAAGCTGAGCCACTTTCCTGAATCCCAGAAGATCTTATTTCTTCAAGCTGACATGACTGATTCTTTACTAGTCCATGTGTCAAGACCATCTGGGGTCCCTTAAACCAGTGGCTCCCAAACAATTTTTTTTTTTTTTGAGACAGAGTCTTGCTCCGTCGCCCAGGCTGGAGTGCAGTGGCGTGCTCTCAGCTCATTGCAACCTCCACCTTCCAGGCTCAAGCGATTCTCGTGCCTCAACCTCCCGAGTAGCTGGGATTACAGGCTTGCACCACCATGCTTGGCTAATTTTTTTGTATGTGTAGTAGAGACAGGGTTTCTCCATGTTGTCCAGGCTGGTCGAGACTCCTGGCCTCAAGTGATCCTCCTGCCTTGGCCTCCCAAAGTGCTGGGATTACAGGTGTGAGCCACTGCGCCCAGCCCCAAACTTTTGTGTTCAGAAGAATTACCCGATGTAGTAAAAATGCACATCATGGTCCCCTCCCAAACCGATTCCCCTTGATTATCTGCCCCCTAGAGGAAGGGCACAATACTGTTTGGAGAGGAGCTTGATGGGCCTTCAACTTTTCTCTTACGTTCTTTAGTCGGAGAGTATCATGAATAGTTAAAAGAATAACACCATCCCCTGTAAACCCTGGTCTTGTAACTCCCCCATACCTGGGATATGGAATAATGCATGGGTTAAGGGCTTTAGGGGCTAGCTCTGGGGTCAGACTGCTTTGATTTAAATCGTTGTTCCACTACCTACTAACTGTCTGACCTGGAACTAGCTGCTTAACTTCTCTAAACCTCAATTTACCTATCTATAAAATGGGGGTAATATTAGTTTCTATCTCAAGGAGGTATTGTAAGGATTTTAGTACTAATTTATATGTGGCACTTAGCACAGTGCCTGGAATATAGTGAGCATTCTTAAATGACAGCCACTATTATTATCACTAGTATTACTCATAGTAGCGGTAGCGGTGAACAAAACCAAATTTCCAGTGGAGCCAACCAGCCACCCTTTCTTAACCAGCTGTAACTTCCAGTGAAATCACCACGATCATCCCCCCAGATTAACCCCACCTTCCAGTGGAATCACTGTGACCACCCCTCCAGGATCAACCACATTATCCAGCAGAATCACCGTGACCACGCCCCCTGGACCAACCACACCTCCCAGTGGAATCACTACAACCCCCCTGCCCTGGGTCCACTATATCTTCCAGTGGAACTAACACAACAACTGCAACCTCCAGTGTCACCAGCACAAGTGCAGCCCCTCCAGGGAATGAGGGAAGGTCTAATGGATGCCTGAGGCTGTGGGAAGTCATCCTAGTCACTCTGGCCTTGGTTGCAATGGCTGTGATTCTCTTCACAGGGCTCTTTTATTTCATGAGTGCCTGATGTGTGGGAAATCCTTTTTCTGAGGGAGGGAGTGCAGGGAACTGAGGAGGGAAGCAGGGTAGAGAGAGTAGGGTCATTGTGTGGCTAATAGGGAATGAGAAATCAGGAGAGGGACAAAGCAAGACAGAGACAGCAGGTGAGAACCAGCAAGAGAGAGGGCTAGAAAAGCTGGTACATGTTCAGAGGAAATTGATGAGGAGAGAAGGGGCCAAAGGAGTACTGAGGCTGGGGAGGCCGAATGGGGAGTGGGGACACGTGGGATGGGAGAGCACTGGAAGAGGGGCATAACTCTGAACGATCCATCCTTTTGTTTTCTAGAGAAACTCTCTGTGCCTAAGAAACCTCTTCACCAAAGATCTTCACATCCCAAACCTTGGTCCATGTCCTCAAGGATATCATGGAGTCCAAGATGGGTCAAGTGAGACTGAAACGGATTTTAGAGACCAGTGTTCTCCCACAGGCATGGAGCTGATGAGGAGACACAGTGTCCCTAAAGGCAGGCACTTCACTGTCCTCAGGGTGGGGAGGACCAGCGGTCTCGGTTTTCCTCACTTGCCCCCAGGGCTGCTCCTCCCAGCTCTGCTCCAGCCCCTGACACTCCTACCTTCTGTTTAGTTCTCCCAGACCTGAAACAGGAGGCTATCGCTAGTGCTGAATGATTAAATAAGTGCATCTGCTCTATGTGACAGCCAGACTGTGGGTGTGTGCTTGTATATTGCTGTGAAGAGAGGTTTCCTATATCATGAGGACACTCTTTCGCTGTGTACTCCCAGTTCTCAAATCCTAGCATGAAATCCAGAGACCTCACATCTGTCCCATTTTCTTCCCCACTCCTTCCCTGCTCCCCGAGGCCTCTGGGTCGATGGAAGAATGGAGTCAGGAGAGATGGGGGAAGGCAGGTGCTGGTCTTTACAGACGTGTGTTGCATGGCAGGAAAACAGCCTCTGCGTGAGCCTAGAACATGAACTGGAGGAAAGTGATCCTGTTTTCATGTTGTGAGGTAGGAAAGAGCTTGCTACTGGGGCCACCCTTAGACATGGCCACTTTTCCTGGCCACTCACGTCTGCTCTGGGCTGCAGGTGTGAGTTGCCACCTTTCTCTCCTGTGGGCTCCCAGCCCAGCAACTGTCCTGGGCAGGGAGAATGTGCTCCCAGTTTTTGCAAGGGCAGGACTGGCTTGCCCTGCTACGGTCTAGATCCTCAGCAGCTCCCCCAAAACCAGGCCTCAGAGGGCACACATGCCAGTGTCAGCACCATGCTCAGGCCTGGTCCCACCCAGGCTTCTGGTGCAACTTGCTCTCGCACACGCACCCCACTGATTCTTCCTCCCTGTGAATCACTCGCCTCTGCTTTATCAGTTTCACCCTCTGCTAAGTCTCTTCAGCTTCTGGGATTCTCCTGGGTCTTTGGGAGAGCCTTAACAGGACCAAGCTGTTTCTCTAAGAACATTTTACAATATGATGAACAAAACTGTTTTTAGGCTGGGTGCGGTGGCTCATGATGCCTGTAATCTTAGCATTTTGGGAGGCTGAGGCGGGCGGATCGCCTGAGGTCAGGAGTTCAAAACCAGCCCAGCCAACATGGCAAAACCCCGTCTCTACTAAAAATACAAAAATTAGCCGGGTGTGGTGGCACATGCCTGTAGTTTCAGCTACTCGGGAAGCTGAGGTGGGAGGATTGCTTGAACCTGGGAGGCGGAGGTTGCAGTGAGCAGAGATTGCGCTACTGCACTCCACTGTGGGCAACAGAGAAAGACTCTGTCTCCAAAACAAAACAAACAAAAAACATAACAACAACAACAAAATCTATTTTTAACAGATGCAAGAGAGTATCTACTGTACAATTTATTTGCATGAAATTCAACAATAGGCAAAACTAATCTATGGTGGCAGAGATCAGATCTCCTATGAGGGTGAGGGTTTTTAGGAAGGGAGCACTTTCTGGGTGATAGGAATGTTTTCTATATCAACTGGTCTGTTGGTTACACAGGTAAATACACTTGTCAAAACTCAGCTAACAGCTGGGTGTGGTGGCTGACGCTTGTAATTCCAGCACTTTGGGAGGCTGAGGTGAAAGGATTGCTTCAGCCCAAGAGTTTGAGACCAGCCTGGGCAACATGGCAAGACCTCATCTCTACAAAACATACAAATATTAGTCGGGTATAGTAATGCACACCTGTAGTTCTAGCTACTTGGGAGGCTGAGGTGGGATGATTGCTTGAGCCCAGGAGGTCAAGGCTGCAGTGAGCCGTGATGGTGCCACTGCACTCCAACCCGGGCAACAGAGTGAGACCCTGTCTCAAAAAAACAAAACAAAACAAGAAACCTCCACTAACTGAATTCTTAAGATCTGTGCATTTCACTTTTTGTAAATTTTACCTCAATAGGAAGAAAAAATGTATATTCGGGTTTTTTATTTTGGGATTTTTTAATTTTTATTTTTATATTAGGGTTTTAAAATAATACCTTGAAGATATTTATCAGTGTATCCATTATCTCCTCTTCAGTTTTAAGAGCCCCCAGACCTTTTCGTAAAATAATTATCATCTTTTGCACTCATTTTTTCATTCATTCATTCACCATATTTACTGGACACCTGCTTGGCATGAGGTCTCAAGGAGCTGGGGCAGCTAGGATGACCCTGTAGGTCACAGTTGGGTGAGGGAGGTACATAAGTTACAGGCCAACGCATCAAGTAGTATGAATGGAAGCACCACAGGAGGAAACATCTAACTTGATGAGGGGAGGAGAGGCTGACTCACATAGAAGGTGACATTTGGATTTTGAGGAGTTAGCAGGCATTTACGAGGAGCAGAAGAGGAAATGCCAGGCAAGCAAGCAGCTTGTGCAAGACTGGGCATGGCACGGCCAGTGAAGGTCAGAAGACCTGTGGGGCTAGAGAGCACAGCAGAGGGAGCTGGGGCTGGGGGCTAATGCGTGGCTTTGAACACCACTCCAAGGAGGCCAGATTTCATCCTTTAACAGCACAAAGCCCACAGATCACTTTAAGGTGTAGTGGGACACAATTTTTTCCCCAATAAGAACACTTCAATCAGCTGAGTGAGTAGAAAATAGAGGCTGGAAACCAGCAAAAATGGTGTTGTAATGCCCCTGCAAAGAAAGAAGCAAATAGACAAATCTAAGACCACAAAACATGGAAATGGGAAAGAAGAAAAGAAGTGGAGGCTGGGCACAGTAGCTCATGCCTGTAATCCTAACACTTTGGGAGGCCAAAGTGGGAAAACTGTTTGAGCCCAGGAGTTTGAGACCAGCCTGGGCAACAGAGTGAGGTCCTGTCTCTACAAAAAGTTAAAAAGATTAGCCAGGTGTGGTGGTGCACACCTGTAGTCCCAGCTGAGGTGGGAGGATAACTTGAGCCCAGGGGGTCAAGCCTTCACTGAGCTGTGATTGTGCCACTCACTCCAGCCTGGGTAACAGAGTGAGACCCTGTCTCAAAAAAAAAAAAAAAAAAAAAAAACGAGAAGAAATGTGAATTTCAAGAGATTTCTGCCTAGCACTTTTTTAAAAATCCCCAACTCCATAATTTATGGTGACTTTTGTTAAAAGTCCTGTTTTAGGGAGGTCTTCATCTAACGAGCTCTAGGCAATTTTCTTAAAACTAATTCATCAAATGACTAATTCTTTGAATTTTTAAATTTTCTTTAAATCCTATTCAGTGTGATTCCCTCCTGCTGCAGGCTGGAGGCTGGGAGACAGAGGGAGAATGGGGAATGTCTTCTTGATTTATAGCATGTTTTCTAGTTAAGAAAATACTCAAGATAAATATATTTATTTATAACAATTTTCACATGAAAGACTTTATTCAAAAATATGTGCAAGAAAAAATTATTTATTCTTGACTCTGATGAATAATTGCAAATATGATTCCTATGAATAGTATATAAATTATATCTAAAACTATAAGGCTACAGACTATACGATTCCCTTCATATGACATTCTGAAAATGGCAAAATTATAGGGAAAGAAACAAGATCCATGTTGCCAGGGTTTGGGAAGTGGGAGAAGGGTTGGCTCTAAAGGAACGGCATGGGGGGAGATTGAGGAGGATGAAGGGATTCGGTGCGCCGAATACGTGACTCTACCATTTATCAAAATCCATAGAACTGTACACTACAAAAAGTGATTTTTAGGGTATGGAAATTCAGCAAATCAACCAGGATGTGGAGGGAAAGATGGAAAGCAGACTCTGACAAATGACTCATGTAAGCACAGTGAAACGGATGGAGAAGAAGGAGCTGGCCTAAGTAACTTTGAAAAACTGTTTTGAGTCAGGCATGATGGCTCATGCCTGTAATCCTACCACTTTGGGAGGCCAAGGCAGGAGGCTTGTTTGAGTCCAGGAGCTTGAGATCAGCCTCGGCAACACAGCGAGAACCCCGCCTCTACAAAAAGTTAAAAAAATTAGCTGGGCATGATGGTGTGCCTGTAGTCCTAGCTGCTCAGGAGGCTAGGATGGAGGGATCGCTTGAGTCCAGGAGATCAAGGCTGCAGTGCTACTGCACCCCAGACTGGGTGACAGAGCAAGACCCTGTCTCAAATTTAAAAAAGAAAAAGAAAAGAAAAACTGTGTTTTGACCATAAAGCTAAAGACAAAAAAAAAAAAAAAATACAGAAACACTGTACTGTAGTTGGTAAATGTGTTTCTGGCAAGGGTATGAATTAGCAGTTCTGAAACCACTATTTGTTTATTAGGGTTGAAAAAATAAGTAAAAAAATATGTTTATAGACATTCGTAGCCATGTCAGAGAAAGGAGTTACAAATAAAGAAAAGGGAGAGACTAGAATGAACCCCATGTTGCTGGATTAAAGCTGGAGGTGTCAAAATGCACCCATGCTTGTGTTTAAAACACAGGTTGAGCAACCCTCATCTGAAAATCCAAAATGCTCCAAAATCCAAAACTTGCTGAGCACCAACATGACACCACAAGTCAACATACACAAACTTTGTTTCATGCACAAAATTATTTAAAATATCACGTAAAGTTACCTTCAGGCTACATGTATAAGATATATATAAAACATAAACAAATTTCATGTTTAGACTTGGGTCTCATCCACAAGATATCTCATTGTGTATATACAAATATTTCGAAATCCAAGAAATTGAAAATCCAAAACACTTACGGTCTCAAGCATTTCAGATAAGGGATTCAATCTGTATATGCAGACAGGTCATTGCAGAAATAAATACAGACCTGTGTTTATGCATGAGTTAGTTTACATACATACGTTTCCTAGCTCTAACTTCCGTGGGGGCAAGAAGCAGTGACATCCACTATGAATGAGCACACCTAGTACCCAAATCTTGGTTTCTAAATATTATTCTCTAATACAAAGAGGAGCCAGAGCTCTGTGGAGAAATAGTTGATTCCAGGGCCTGGATGGACAAAATAAAAAATGAGCATGAAGCATCTTGTAATACCAGAATGCAAGAAAGTGTTTTAAAAAGGGATGGAGAGGGCCATGCACAGTGTCTCATGCCTGTAATCCCAGCACTTTGGGAGGCCCAGGCTGGGGGATCACCTGAGGTTCGTGAGTTGGAGACCAGCCTGACCAACTTGGAGAAACCTCTCCCTACTAAAATAATACAGAATTAGTTGGGCATGGTGGTGCATGCCTGTAATCCCAGCTACTTGGGAGGCTGAGGCAGGAGAATCACTTGAACCCAGGAAGCAGAGGTTGCAGTGAGCCGAGATTGCACCATTGCGCTCCAGTCTAGGCAACGAGAACGAAATTCCATCTCACACACAAAAAAAACAAAAAAACAAAATACCACGGATGGAGAGGCTGGGCACAGTGGCTTGAGCCTGTAATCCCAGCACTTTGGGAGGCCAAGACAAGTGGATTGCTTGAGCCCAGGAGTTTAAGACCAGCCTGAGCAATATGACAAAACTTTGTCTCTACAAAAACAAAAAAGTTAGCTGGGTGTGGTGGCGCACACTTGTTGTCCCAGCTACTTGGAAGGCTGTGGTGGGAGGATTAGTTGAGCTCAGGATACGGAGATTACAGTGAGCCAATATTGCACCACTGCACTCTAGCATGGGCAACAAAGTGAGACCCTGTCTCAAAAAACAAAACAAAATAGCAATGGAGATATCAGCTGGGTGTGCTGGTGCATGCCTGTAGTCCTAGCTACTTGTAGGAGGCTGAGGCAGGAGGATCCCTTGAGCCCAGGAGTTTGAGGCTGTATGATGATGCCACCGCAATTCAGCCTAGGAAACACAGTGAAGTCTTGTCTCATAAGTAAAACAAAACAAAAAAAGGATGGAGGACATTAAAACGGCACTGGAGCCCATCTGAAAGAGCTCCCAGTGGCCAAAGTTTGAGCAACAAAATAAATAGTGATAGTATTGGATCATAACTCACAGAACAAAATAAACATTTATGAGTCCATTCTGATATAAACAAATAGTTGAATAAATAAAATGGGGAGAGGGCACGACTTTTTCTTACAGAAGAATTTCAATTAATAAATGTAGAAGGAATCTAATCTATCACCATTAGGATTACACACCTGTAATCCCGGGTGCTCGGGAGGCTGAGGCAGGAGAATTACTTGAACCTGGGAGGGGAAGGTTGCTGTGGGCTGAGATCGTGCCATTGCACTCCAGCCTGGGCAGCAAGAGTGAAACTCTGTCTCAAAAAAATATATATAGTATTGTACCAACAATAACTTCTTAGCTTCTATAATTGTATGTATAATCTCTCAGTTTCTATAATTGTACTATGTAAGATATTGACATGAGGAAAAGCTAGGGGAAAAATATACGGGAACTCTGTTAACTATTTTTGTAATTCTCTGTAAGTCTAAAATTATCTCAAAATGAAGTTTTAAAAATTCTAAAACAAAGCCAAACCAAAAAAATTCTATTGACCTGCACATGAAAAAGGGTGAATTTTATCATATGCAAATTATACCTCTTGACTTAGAAAATCAGATATTTTCCTTACTATACTCTTTTGAAATCTATTCATTAGTTATACTAAATACATACAAATTCTTTTGAGTGTGTTTAAATACTATGTTTGAAAATGTTGCTGGGTGATGTGGCTCACACCTGTAATCCCAGCACTTTGGGAGGCTGACGAGGGAGGATCTCTTGAGCTCAGGAGTTCGAGACCAGCCTGGGCAACATAGTGAGACCTTGTCTCTACTAAAAATAAAAAAACAATCAGCTGGGCATGGTGGTGCATGCATATAGTCCCAGCTACTCCGGAGGCTGAGGTGGAAGGATCACTTGAGCCTGGGAGATCGAGGCTGCAGTGAGCCGTGATAGCACCACTGCACTCCAACCTGGGCAATACAGCAAGACCCTGTCAAAAAGAAAGAAAGAGAGAGAAAGAGAAAGAAAGAAAGAAAGAAAGAAAGAAAGAAAGAAAGAAAGAAAGAAAGGAAGGAAGGAAAAGAGAAAATATTTAATACATTCAAATAATACTAGTAGTTAACATAGTCAGTTACATGTGGTAAACTAGCCATTCATTAAATTGATTTTCAGGAAATCAGCTGCCTTCTAAGAGAGGAACAGTTCCCGGCCCACCTGCAATTTCACACTCCTCTTTTAGTTAGAAGGACACTGGGAAAGAGAGAGGCCCCACAAATGGTGAGAGACATCTCTGAATGAAGATGGGAACCAACAATGATCTTCTAAAGAGTGGGCAAGGCAGGGATAAGGGTCAGAGAAGGAGGAAAAGATGTGGGTATTCTCATTCAGGCCTGACCTCACCACAAGTGGACTAATTTTGTGCAGTGATATGGCTTGGCTCTGTCCCCACAGAAATCTCGACTTGAATTGTAGCTCCCACAATTCCCCTCATGCTGTGGGGAGTTTTTCTCTTTTCGCCAATCATCTTTCTCTTGCTATTCTCATGACTGTGAATAAGTCTCATGAGATTTGATGGGTTTATCAGGGGTTTCCGCTTTTGCTTCTTTCTCATTTTCTCTTGCCGCCACTGTGTAAGAAGTGCCTTTTGTCTCCCTCCGTGATTCTGAGGCCTCCCCAGCCATGTGGAACTGTAAGTCCAATTAAACCTCTTTTTCTTCCCAGTCTTGGGTATGTCTTTATCAGCAGCGTGAAAACAGACTAATACATGCAGTAATTGAGAAAGCTCACTGGGGTGAGGGCACTCGAGCAGGGGGAGCAAGGAGAGAGATCCGTGGGCTGGAGAGAAGCCAAGGAAGAGGATTTGGGTGGATGATTGAGCAAAGAGCGAGGTTTTAAGAGACAGAGAGATTGGGTGTTTTAGCCCCCTCGTGAGTGTTCCTCTCCTTCTGTTGGAGGACCTTCTCTTGGTCCTTACCAAATGTCCTCTACCCTCTGACACCCAGCTCTCCTCTTGCCAAGCATCATCCCCCAGGCAGGCCTGGCCTATGCCCTCCTTGGTCATCCTGACTTTACTGTGGCCACCTGTGGGAAGGAAGGCCGAGGCCCTCCCTGAGCACTGAAACACCGGGTGGAGGATGGTTTTCAACTAGGCTCCACATCAGAAAGCAGTGCACTCACGCTGACAGGCTTGATCCCCTGTGGCTGCTCGACTCTGGGCTCTGGTCCAAAGCTGAGAGCCCCCCTTCCCCTCATGACAGCCTCTTCTGCCCTGCCCGGCCACTCCTTTGAGTGACAGGGGGTAATTGAGAAGCTGCTCCTCCCTCCAGGAAGGAAGACCCGGAGCTCTGGCTTCCCTCGGCAAAGCACATATAAACCCACAGCCACTGCGGGTGGAAGGAGAAGGGCAGGGTGGAAAAAGTTTGAGAGAAGGAGGGAGGAAAAGGTGTCCTGGCTAGCACCATGTGGATTCTCTTGAGATGAGAAGAAAATGCCCGGCTACGTCCCCCTTCTGCTGCTCCTGCTTCTCCTGAGGTGTTCACAACGGGGTGGAGGAGTTAATTTTGGTGAGAAGGATGCAAAAGTCCCCGGGACCTGGAGAGATGGAGTCAGGGTCCCTGGAGAAGGAGCCTCTTGGGACTCAGACAGGGCCAGTCCTGAGCGAAGGTACGGAATAGGTGAGTGAACCTTGGGAACTCCGGACCCTGTTATCTACCCTCAATCACCTGCCACAGGGAGGCAGGGACCCCAGCGTCTTTCTCATATCCCCTTTTAAGGAAATGCTCTGCTTTTGATTTTGTGCATTTTATTTAAGTTTCTTTGTTTCAACTTTCCTGGAGAAATGAAAAATTTGGCACTCCTCTAATCCCAGCGCTTTGGGAGGCTGAGAAGGAGTGGGATCCCTTGAGCCCAGGAGTTTGAGACAAGCCTGGGCGACATAATGAGACACCATCTCTACAAAAACCAAAAAAATCAGCCAGGCGTGGTAGCCCATGCCTGTAGTCTAATCTACTCGGGAGGCTGAGGTGGGAGGATCACTTGAGGCCAGGAGGCCAAGGCTGCATTGAGCCATGATTGTGCTACTGAACTCTAGCCTGAATCACAGAACAAGACACTGTGTCCAAAAAGAGAGAAAGAAAAAGAGAAAGAAAAGAAAGAAACGGTCAGGTGCAGTGGCTCATGCCCGTAATCTTAGCACTTTGGGAGGCTGAGGTGGGTGGGTCATCTGAGGTCAGGTGTTTGAGACCAGCCTGGCCAGCATGGTGAAACCCAGTCTCTAGTAAAAATACAAAAATTAGCTGGGTCTGGTGGCGCGCGCCTGTAATCCCAAATACTTGAGAAGCTGAGGCAGGAGAATCGCTTGAACCTGGGAGGTGGAGGTTGCAGTGAGTGGAGATCGCGCTATTGCATTCCAGCCTGGATGACAGAGGGAGACTCCGTCTCAAAGAAAAAAAAAAAAAAAAGAGAGAGAGAGAGGGAAAGGAAGGAAGGAAGGAAGGAGGGAAGGAAGGAAGGAAGGAAGGAAGGAAGGAAGACTTGAACCCTATTAGAAAAATGTGGAGCATCAGCAGTAGGGAGGGATGACTAGATTTGGGCAGAGTCCCAAAAGTTCAAAATTTATGCCATGTAAGCTACATGTATTCCTAAGAATAAGAATACTCCCAAGTCCTGACGGCTCACCAGTTCAGAGAGGAGTGAGCTTGAGAAAGAGTCAGGTTTAGTGTCCCACGGAAAGAGACCAGACCTGGAAAAGACAGAGTCAAAGCTGGGTGAGCAGGCCTTCGAAGGGCGTGGCTCAGCAAAGATAATCCATATTGTAGTGCAAGAGGATTCTTTGTGGAATATGTTTTACCAGAATTAAACCAAAAATGCCAAATGATCCCTAACTCGAATAAATCTCACCACATTACCTGGGGAGAGGTGTCATTTGGATGTGAGGATAGTTATGAAAATACTGAGCAGAGCAGATGAGGATAGGCCATCAACAATTCACATTAAATGAGATTACTTTTTAGTAGGACTAAGCCAAAGCATTTCCACTAAGCACCCAGAGACCAGCCCTAAAGACTCAAGAATAAGAGAAAATGATGTAACTGCAGATGGAAGGACCACTGAGGACCACATCACTGCAGACCCAGGGACCACCGAGGACTCTGTCACTGCAGACCCAGGGACCACTGAGGACAATGTGACTGTGGACCCAGGGACCACCGAGGGCTCTGTCACTGCAGACCCAGCGACCACCAAGGACTATGTGTCTGCAGACCCAGGGACCACCAAGGATTCTGTCACTGCAGACCCAGGGACCACTGAGAACTTTGTCACTGCAGACCCAGGGACCACCAAGGACTCCATCACTGCAGACCCAAGGACCACAGAGGACTCCGTCACTGCAGACCCAGGGACCACCAAACACTCCATCACTGTAGACCCAGGGACCACTGAGGACTCTGTCACTGCAGACCCAGGGACCACCAAACACTCCATCACTGCAGACCCAGGGACCACCGAGGACTCCGTCACTGCAGACCCAGGGACCACAGAAGATGAAACCACTAAACATGGTGACACTCACCTTCTGTGAACTACTTCAGTCACAGCAGTGAAACCCACCAGGATCCTGACACCCATGGGAATTATCCTCATATCCCTGGCTGCAACCACAGTCACTGTTGTGCTCTTTGTTGGATTGGGCTTCATTGTGGTGAGTATTTGGTCTGGGAATATTTAGGGCATCAGGGGAACGAGGCCAACTGAGGATAAGTGGTGGGCATGGAGAGCTGAGGTACAGAGGCCCAAGAAATCGTCAGGCGTGAGGAAGCCTGCATAGAGAGAGCTCTGCAAAGACTCCTGGAAAGACAGAGGTGGAGAGAAAGGAAAAGAGCACCTGGCACAAAAGATGCAGAAAGCATTGGGGACAGAGGAAGCTGTGAGAGACAGGAAGGAGAGAAAGGGAAGAGAGGCTGAGAGTGAGAAACATAAGAACACAAACATGGTAAGACACAGCGGGAGTCAGGGCAAAGCATGAACCGTTAGGTACAGATGGATGTAAAAGAGGAAATTTTCCCAAGAAGACAAGGAACTGGGGACCAGAGGAGTGGATGAATTAGAAACATTCTGAGTGGTCCACTCATATCAGAAATTACATATTCTTGTGTTAATTACTACCTACTCTGAAGTTCTGAAGAAGATTTTTTTAAAACCAAAATTGAGTGGGTTTTTATGAGCCACCACTACCCTGCACCAAAGAGACAGTTTGTACCAGCTCTCAAAGAGGAGCTCTGGGTATTTTTCTGTCTCTGAGGGTCCCTGTTGTTTCTACAAGAGGAGACAAAAGAATTCCATGCCAGCCCTGCATGTTTCATCTCACCAAACTCGCAGCTGGAATCATCCCAAAAGCAGCAGCAGGGAAATTCCCACAGGGAGTGGCCCAAACCCTCCAGAGATGGGGCCAATTGGGATTCCAAAGAAAGAAGCCCAGATGTCAGGGTGATCAATTCAAAGCATTTATTAGGGGAACTTACAGAGGACTGCAGCAATCCTCCCTGCCGACAGGGAGGGAAAAGGGATGTTCTGCCTAAGCATGTCTGTAGCAAGGGGGTCAGGGTATGGAGTTTATATGAGGGTTTAGGGAATTTGACTCAGGGCTGGAGCCAGTTTCTTTCAACGTTTTGGGCAACAACCTAGATACCTTTATTAGTGCCTGGGAGTGTTCAAGGCCCTGGTTTGAGTTCAAGCCTGCTGGGGAAAACCTGCAGCTGGCTGGGTCACAGAACGGTCAAGGCAATCTGTGATTTTTGGTCAGTCTGATCAGAAAGAAAAGGAGGTGATCTGGGGGACCCCACATTGTGGCTTCCTCTCGCTAACATTTGATCTAAAACCCAAGCCTCCTGCTTCTGGCCTGCTGCTTGAGGGGGAAGGGCTGGTCCTTTTTGGCCATCCTGACCTACGGATTAAGTGCATGTCGAAATTTTAACAAGTGGCGGCTTGCAGGATTAGCCAACTCGGGCAGGTCATTAAAGCCTCGTTAATTCTTGCGGTCATTGATGCCATTGTGCACTGACCCCTGCTCCAAGATGCAAATCCACAGCTTTGGATCAGTTTGTAAGTGTGAGTAAAGCCGAAAGTAATGCATGATACAGATGAGGTGTTCACATTTAATTCTGCTAAAATGACACCATGAAACTAGAGCATTCTGAAGGATGCTGACAAGAGGAAAATGGAATGAAAGCGTCCATATGTACCTGACTCATGCATGAGTCATGTTCAGTATTCACCAGTAGAGGGAGGACCTTCTGGACTTCGCTGTTACCATAAACAATTGGATTTCTGATCATGTGGATCACCATGAAAAGTTGGACACTCTTGCTCTAGAACAAAAGATGCTTTCCTTCCTCCAAACCAGGCATTGGCCCAGAGAGGTCACTAGCATTAGCACCTTCTTAATTTCGTGTAGAGACTAAAAACAAGAGATGGCTCAAAAGGCTCAGGGTGTGGGAAGTAAGAGGAAAGTCTATGCTCCCAAACTTGCTAAATTTTTGACTTTTAAATCTTTAACTCGAAAAGTTTTAAAAATAAGAACTATATTACCATTCCTCCCAAGTTCCATTTGTCAAAATGCTTTTTTCTTTAAACTTTAATGGTTTAAGTTTTTTTTAAGTTGTTTTAAAAAAAACAAAAAAGGTTTAAGTTTTTTTTGGCAGGGTGCGGTGGCTCACGCCTGTAATCCCAGCACTTTGGGAGGCCGAGGTGGGTGGATCACGAGGTCAGGACTTTAAGGCCAGCCTGGCCAATATGGTGAAACCCCATCTCTACTAAAACTACAAAAAAGTTAGCCAGCCATAGTGGTGGGCACCTGTAATCCCAGCTACTTGAGAGACTGAGGCAGAGAATTGCTCGAACCCGGGAGGCAGAGGTTGCAGTGAGCTGAGATCGTGCCATTGCGCTCCAGCGTGGGCAACAGAGCGAGACTCCATCTAAAAAAAAAAAAACAAAAGGCTTTTTTTTCCCCCTAAATGTCGTCCACATTTTTGGCAAGTATTGATCTCTAGTAGTCAGTGTCAGGATCTGAAGAAAACAGTGACATCTAGCAGACTCCCAGAGCCAGGGAAACAGGCTGGGCAGAAGTGATAAATTACAAACCACCAGGGTTAAGAGAAGAACAGAGTGTTAAAACCAAACCATTTTCTTCCTCCCTAGAAAGAGTGTTTCCTGCCTCCATTAAATCCATCCACCAGGGTTATTTATCATCCCCATGTCATGGACTACAGTACACCATAAAGAGGACCCCAGCAGTGACTACAGTTGGTTCTAGAAAAAGGAGACCCCTCATCCGCCTCTGCAAGACTATGCAGCATGATGTGTATCCTCAGGCCTCCACTCCTCCGCCCTAGTCTGGAGCCCTGGGCCCACCACATGAGGAAGGCAGCTGGCCCCTGGAATAAGCATGTGGAGGACACTCAGAAGGATGCCCATCTGCTCTGAGTGTCTCCTAATTCTGCCTGACCTTGGTTACTTCCTCTAGACAATCACCTTTACCTATCTACCAGGTTTTGAGGAATTACACACAGCTCAGGTATAAGAGATATTCGGTAAGTCTGATCAAATCAATAAAGCAAATTTTATCTGTTTTTGTCTGGGACATATCTCTACATTCATTCATTTAACCAAAAAAAAAAAAAATTTTTTTTTTTGAGACGAAGTTTTGCTCTTTTGCCCAGGCTGGAGTGAAGTGGCGCGATCTCAGCTCACTGCAACCTCTGCCCCCCAGGTTCAAGTGATTCTCCTGCCTCAGCCTCCCTAGTAGCTGGGATTACAGGCGCATGCCACCACGCCTGGCTAATTTTTGTATTTATAGTAGAGACAAGGGTTTCACCATGTTGGCCAGGCTGGTCCCGAACTCTTGACCTCAGGTGATCCACCCGCCTTGGCCTCCCAAAGTGCTAGGATTACAGGCGTGAGCCACCGCACCTGGCCTTAACAAAATATTTATTCAGTGCCTAGCATGAGCTCAACACTCTACGTCTCCCAGTCTGTCTATCTCAGTCTACCTGTAAGCTGAAGGATACAACTTATCTCTTAAGAGGACTATGCCCGCGTTCTCCTACCACCCAGGCCAAAGGGTCACATTTACAGGATGTAGTCAACTGGTCATTCAGCAAGTATGTATGAGCACCTGTGTGGGACTGGCCACCGTAGCAAATAAATGAGTCTCATCTTAGTCAATCGCGGTGTGAAATGAGGACACGAAGTCCAGACCTAACCTCTAAGAGAAAAGCCCTGCCTGATAGAAGAAGAGATTTGTCCTTACTTAATGCAAATGCACCATATTCATGCACCTATGAATGATGGCTAAGACCATAGACAAGGCCGGGGCATTGGATATAACAGCTCTGTGAGGAGCTCAGGACAAAAACCAAAGAATCAAAGATATGTGAAGACAGTTGATTATTGTTTGCTCACTACTGATGCCACTATGAGCAGCATCACCACCAGTGTTAAATAATGGAATTGTAGTATTATGATACAGAGTCGGAAACACGGAATAATAAATTAAAATACTAAAGTGAAAAAATTGGATTGATTAAATAAATATTAAACCAATATTTCTCAGACTTATGTGATAAACACCTTTAAAGGAAAAGATACATATATATTTTTGAGACAGAGTCTCATTCTGTTGCCCAGGTTGGAGTCCAGTGGTGCGATCTTGGCTCACTGCAACCTCCACTTCCTGGGTTCAAGCGATTCTCCTTCCTCAGCCTCTGAGTAGCTGGGATTACAGGCGTGCACCACCATGCCTGGCTAATTTTTGTATTTTTAGTAGAGATGGAGTTTCACCATGTTGCCCAGGCTGGTCTTGAACTCCTGACCTCAGGTGATCCACCCGCCTTGGCCTCCCAAAGTGCTGGGATTACAGTGTGGGCCACCGTGCCCGGCTGGAAAAGAGATTTTTTGAGAACTCGCCATGTTGGCTTAAACGTAAATATATATGAAACAGAAAATGAAGTATAAACTCCTTATGCTTATAGCTCTACTGTTCCAATAACGTTAGAAGTAACAGCAGTAGTTTAATGTAATGCATGATATTTCTTTACTGAAGAATTCTTCGCTCCAACATTAATATTGTAGTGATTGCTACAGCCTAGTTTCTCAAATCTCATTTGCCACTTGATGTTTTCCTTCTTTCATGGATCGTCTCTGTACAAGCTCTCTCAAGACCTTCAGTCTCTCAGTCAGCTGCGGGATTATTGGGCCCTTAATGCAAATGCACTGTTTAAATTTTAAGACAGTTCTCGTTCTACTCTTGTTAGGCTGTGCAATTGTAAAGACTAATCATTTCTATTAGCTTTATGTTGGTTTTATATTGGTCATCAATAGAATCCAGGAAATGCTTATATTATGGGGATTTTCAAGTTTATTACCTGAAGGAAAACGTGACAGAAACAGCTCTAGTCTCCCCTTCCCTTACACTTGGAGAACCTGAGTTTTGGGGGTGATGGTAATGTGCCCAGCTGAAGAAAACCATTTCCCAAATCCCCAATTTCCCGGTCCCCCTTGCAGCCAGTGCAGTGAGGAGATACAGCTCTGGCCAATGTGATATAGGCATAAGTTCCTGGGGATGGTGTCCCTTCCAGATGAAAAGGCCAAAGCTCATGAGGAGAAAGCCCTTTGCCCCTTCCCCTTCGTTCCTCTTCCTATCTGGAATGCAGATATGAGACCTGGGGCTCAGCAATGCTGAGGTCAGGGGGAGACCCACAGCAGGGTGAAGGCTTCAAGCTGAGAGTGGAGCAGAGGGAAGAAATCACTTGGGTGCCCGATGGCAATACTGAGCCCTGGGCTGCTCCTCTCGGACATTTCGTATATGAGATGAGCAGTGTGCCGGAGCTCAGTGAGGTGAGCTTCTTGTGATTCCAGCTAAATGGGATCCTAACTGATATGACACATAAACATCATCTAGAACATGCAGACTTCTGCGAATATCTCCATGACACATTTGGGAAGACACAGTGCTCAGGATTTTAAGAATGTGGGAGCTACACATAGTGGGGAATGGGAGAATAATAAAATGATCTCCCTCTTCTGCCCCCATGGAGGCAGCAAGTGGCCAAGGGAGAATTTTGTGATTAGAGATACTGGCATGAATATCAGTTTATTGCAGGAAAAAAGAGTGACAGAAGAGTCTCTTGGTTAATATACAGGCAGGAAAAGTCCAATGTGTTTCTATAAAATCTTCCTCCTGAAGTTCAGGCTGGGGTTTGGGGCTGGGCATTTGTCAAAGGGTATTGGCAAGCACAAAGAATTCCAGAATCTGCCTTGGTCTTCAAGGGGGCAGAACTTTTGGTCTCGGTACAAGCTAGGTTTGTGCAATAAACAAAGGAATTGCTAGAGCTACAAATTCTAGCTGAGAAGTCTGTGTGCTTGAGTTTCTGCACCTCAAAGACAACTTAGAGCAATTGAAGAGACCATGAAATCTCTGTAAATGGCATAGAAACTTTAGCATGCAAAAGCATGCATGCAAAAACGCTAGCATATCAAAAGCTTTTCTTTTCTTTCAATCAAGTTAATTTCTGGCCAGGCAGGATGACACACCTGTAATCGCAGCACTTTGGCAGACCGAGGTAGGAAGATCACTTGAGCTCAGAAGATCTGCACCAGCCTGGGCAACATGGTGAGACCTTGTCTCTACTAAAAATAAAAAAAAATTAGCCGAGTGTGGTGGCACATGCCTGTAGGCTCAGATACTTGGGAGGCTAAGGCAAGAGGCTCGCTTGAGCCCAGGAGGTGGAGGCTGCAGTGAGCCATGACTGTGCCACTGTACTCCAGCCCGGGCGACAGAGCAAGATCCTGTCTCAAAAAAAAAAAAAAAAAAAAAAGAAAAGAAAAGAAAAAAAGAAAGAAAGAAAGAAAAAGGCTGGGCACAGTGGCTCACGCTTGTAATCCCAACACTTTGGGAGGCTGAGGCAGGAGGATTGCTTGAGGCCTGGAGTTCAAGACCAGCCTGGGCAACATAGTGAGACCTCGTCTCTACAAAAAAAATTAAAAATTAGCTGGGTATGGTAGTGTATGCCTGTAGTCCCAGCTACTTGGGAGGCTGAGGTGAGAGGATTGCTTGAGCCCAGGAGGTCGAGGCAGCAGTGAGCTGTGATCATGTCACTGCCCTCCATCTTGGGCAACAGAGAGAGACCTTGTCTCGAAGAGAAAAATAAAAGAAAGAAAATGTTAATTTCTGCTCCTGTCAGATTAGAGGGAAATTCAATCTCAGTCTTTTTGCTGCTCTCCAAAGATCCCAGAGTTGTACATAGGATTGAAGCATAAGGAACATCCTTAAAGTCAGTAGCAACTGGCCTGTACTAATTATTCCCAGGATACGCATATCCCTTTGTGGCAGCAGTTCTGCCAGAGGCACAGGGGCTTTGCCCAGTCAGTCTCCTTCAACTTGCCACGTAGCTTTCTCCAGAATAAGTCCACCCCCTCAGGGTGCTACCGTGAAGGAGAGTATGGTTTTGGCATTTGAGAGCCCAGAGAGATATACATGAAGATCTGGTCTCTGGAGAGTATTGAAGTTAGAAAAGACAAGGAGAAGATGCTGCAGAACACCCAGAAGGGAAGAAAAAAAAAATGAAGCCTCAATGAATAAGGGAAATACCTTTCTAACCACTCCTGGGACCTGAACTACAAGATTTGGTAGTTGACTCTCAAACCATAATATACTCACACTCAGATGACACTTGTAAGTTGTCGCACATATCTGTGCATTCCATGCCTTTGGTAAATGCATACAGTTAATCATACAGCTAATCCTCCTTTTCTCTTTATGAAGTCCAGTGTTTAAAGGACCTCTTCAGGTGTCATCAAGGAGTCATACCAGGTCCAGCTGAACCCAACTTGCACAAGTCCAGATTGAGGACACCAGGCAAGTAAGCACACCCCTCTAGATTGTGCCTGAACAGGATTTATGCCTTTTGGGGAGTGTCACCTCTCATTAAAACGTCTGCGAATGCACACTCTGGTCCAGTCCCCTGTCTTTCTAAACAAGAATGTTTGGTGAAGCAACAGTGATTCAACACTCTCCCTTAGCGAGGTATTGTTTGACACCTTAGAAAACACGTAGTTATTTTTCAGATCTATTCAGGACCTTTCTTGTGATTCATCTAAAACAAACCCCTCTCTTCAGTCTCTACAGATTACCATATTTATTTTCTTTATGGAGCTGACGACAATCTGAACTTATGCTTATTTACATGTTAACTTATTTGTTTTATGTCTGTCTCCTTCCACTAGAATGTCAGTTCCTTGAGAATAGGGGTTTTGAGGACAATATATGAGATAGATTAGATATTTAATAATCATATGCTTCATTGAGCCTCTGATGCACATCTTCCCCATTGGATCATAATCTAAAATGGAGATGTCGGATGGGCATAGTGGCTCACACCTGTAACCCCAGCACTTTGGGAGGCTGAGGCAGGTGGATCACTTGACGTCAGGAGTTGGAGACCAGCCTGGCCAACATAGTGAAACCCCGTCTCTACTAAAAATACAAAAATTAGCTGGGCGCTGGTGGCACACACCTGTAGTCCCAGCTACTCAGGAGGCTGAGGCAGGAGAATCACTTGAACCTGGGAGGTGGAGGTTGCAGTGAGCCGAGATTGCACCACTGCACTCCAGCCTGGGTGACAGAGTGAGATGCTGTCTTAAAAAAATAATAATAAAAATAAAATGGAGATGTCCACTGGCTGCAGTGGTTCAGGCCTGTAATCCCAGGACTTTTGGAGGACAAGGTGGGAGGATTGCCCAGAGCTAGGAGTTAGAGACCTGCCTGGGCAACATCGCAAGACACTGCCTAAAAAAAAAAACCAAGAAACGTTTAAAAATGGAAAAGTGTCTTACACTTGATAGCACATCATGAACCAGTCAGTAGCACTCTTTCTTCCTTAGTGGGGCATAAGTAATGCTGCATCTTGCATTCAATGTCATCTTAGATGGGATGAAATACACATTTTGGAATAAACGAATAAATGTATGCTTTCTTTTGGTGCTATTTCTTCTGTTTTGGTCTTATTTGTAAACACAAGGAAATTAGGATTCCTTTTTTTTTTTTTTTGAGACAGAGTCTCACTCTGTCACCCAGGCTGGATTGCAATGGTGTGGTCTCAGCTCACTGCAACCTCCGCCTCCCAGGCTCAAGCAATTCTCCTGCCTCAGCCTCCTGAGTAGCTGGGACTACAGGCGCGTGCCACCACACCCGGCTAATTTTTGTATTTTTAGTAGAGACAGGGTTTCACTATGATGGCCAGGCTGATCTCGAACTCCTGACCTTGTGATCCACCCACCTTGGCCTCCCAGAGTGCTGGGATTACAGGTATGAGCCACTGCACCTGGCCTAGGATTCCTTTAGTAACTGTCTAGTATGGTGCTGGGAATTCTTTTGGGAACAGAGGCAGCCAACCAACAGAAGTGAATGACATAGTTCTTACCCTCAAGGACAAGAAAACCAGCAATTACAGTGCAACATGCTAAGTGCTACAATAAAGGAATGCTTTTGGGCAGAGTCCAGAGAAGGGATCTCATTCAGCCTGTGCAGATCCTGGAAAGCTTCCCAAGGGATAGGGTAACTGACCGGAGACTTGTGACATATTTGTGGGGCACTTTGAGCTGCTGTCACATATGTGGATTCTTTTGATCTTCACATCACCTCTGTGAGGTAGGAGAACCATCCTGTCTTAGAAATGCAAAGACTGAAGTTCAGAGAAGTTAAATAAATTGTCCCCAAACCTCCTTAACGGTAAGTGGCAGGGAGGGGTGGGGGGTGAGGGAGTTAAACTCAGGTTTCCTGGCTCCAGGATTACTCACTTTTTATCTCATTTGGACTGAATCTCAAGTGATGAACTGTTCTGCACTGTCTCTACAAAAATCACTCACAGGTATGAACACTTTTATCCTTCAGTCTTCTCTTCTTTAGGCTTGCAATGGCAGGCTCTCGGATCTTTCCTCCAATCTGTATTGGGTTTTGAGCCAAGCAAGAAAAACCAGACACAGTCCCTATTCTTGAGGAGCCCCCAGTCTGAAAACAAGTCGTGGATACACAGAAAAAACATTCTTGTGTGTGTGATGGATGGTAGGGAACGTGTCATCAATTGTGACGTTTATGGCATTTATTTGCCTTTACTAGTGAGTTCTGCTTTTTAAGATGTTTGCGACTTCTCAGGCCTCACCCTCAAAAGAATTTGAAAATTGAACACAAGCAGAGATGTTTTGTTTTCAACTCAGGACCTCACCCAGAGTTTTTTAGGCAGCAACCCTGAACCAAGTTGGCCTCGAGGTATTCGTGAGTTTCCATACCCAGAAGACTTTTTCAGCTTCTACCTTCTACCCATGAAAGGAGGTGGCATGGATGTTTCCTTTTTCTTTTTCTTTTTTTTTTTTTTTTAGTATTTATTGATCATTCTTGGGTGTTTCTCGGACAGGGGGATTTGGCAGGGTCATAGGACAATAGTGGAGGGAAGGTCAGCAGATAAACAAGTGAACAAGGGTCTCTGGTTTTCCTAGGCAGAGGACCCTGCGGCCTTCCGCAGTGTTTGTGTCCCTGGGTACTTGAGATTAGGGAGTGGTGATGACTCTTAACGAGCACGCTGCCTTCAAGCATCTGTTTAACAAAGCACATGGTGCACCGCCCTTAATCCATTTAACCCTGAGTGGACACAGCACATGTTTCAGAGAGCAGGGGGTTGGGGGTAAGGTTATAGATTAACAGCATCCCAAGGCAGAAGAATTTTTCTTAGTACAGAACAAAATGGAGTCTCCTACGTCTACTTCCCTCTACACAGACACAGCAACAATCTGATTTCTCTATCTTTTCCCCACATTTCCCCCTTTCTATTCGACAAAACCGCCATCGTCATCATGGCCCGTTCTCAATGAGCTGTTGGGTACACCTCCCAGACGGGGTGGCTGCTGGGCAGAGGGGCTCCTCACTTCCCAGTCGGGGCTGCCGGGCGGAGGTGCCCCTCACCTCCCGGACGGGGCGGCTGGCCGGGCGGGGGCTGCTCCCCCACCTCCCTCCCTGACAGGGCAGCTGCCGGGCGGAGACGCTCCTCACTTCCCAGACGGGGCGGCTGCCGGGCGGAGGGGCTCTTCACTTCTCAGACGGGGCGGCCGGGCAGAGACGCTCCTCACCTCCCAGACGGGGTCGCGGCTGGGCAGAGGCGCTCCTCACATCCCAGACGGGGCGGCGGGGCAGAGGCGCTCCCCACATCTCAGACGATGGGCGGCCCGGCAGAGATGCTCCTCACTTCCTAGACGGGATGGCAGCCGGGAAGAGGCGCTCCTCACTTCCCAGACTGGGCGGCCGGGCAGAGGGGCTCCTCACCTCCCAGACAATGGGCGGCCAGGCAGAGACGCTCCTCACTTCCCAGACGGGGTGGCGGCCGGGCAGAGGCTGCAATCTCGGCACTTTGGGAGGCCAAGGCAGGCGGCTGGAAGGTGGAGGTTGTAGCCAGCCGAGATCACGCCACTGCACTCCAGCCTGGGCAACATTGAGCACTGAGTGATTGAGACTCCGTCTGCAATCCCAGCACCTCGGGAGGCCGAGGCTGGCAGATCACTCGCGGTTAGGAGCTGGAGACCAGCCCGGCCAACACAGCAAAACCCCGTCTCCACCAAAAAAATACGAAAACCAATCAGGCGTGGCGGCGCGCGCCTGCAATCCCAGGCACTGGGCAGGCTGAGACAGGAGAATCAGGCAGGGAGGTTGCAGTGAGCTGAGATGGTGGCAGTACAGTCCAGCTTCGGCTCGGCATCAGAGGGAGACCGTGGAGAGAGAGGGAGAGGGAGAGGGAGACAGTGGGGAAAGGGAGAGGGAGACCGTGGGGAGAGGGAGGGGGAGAGGGAGACCGTGGGGAGAGGGAGGGGGAGAGGGAGGGGGAGAGGGAGACCGTGGGGAGAGGGAGAGGGAGAGGAGGGAGAGGGAGGGGAGGGAGAGGGAGAGGGAGGAGAGGGAGAGGGAGGAGAGGGAGGAGAGGGAGAGGGAGGAGAGGGAGAGGGAGAGGGAGGAGAGGGAGAGGGAGAGGGGGAGGGGGAGGAGGGGGAGGGGGAGGGAGAGGGAGGAGACTGGATGTTTCCTTTGATCATCTATCACATCTTTGCAGAGGACATATAAGCCTGTGCATGGCTATGAGAACACAGTGGAGAGCCATGTAAATAGCTTTTGCCTTCAAGGTGCCTGGCAGAAGCGAATGAATATTGCTGTCATGTACATGCAAACGTTGTGAAATGCTTCAATGTTCCACATCTTCTTTGGAGACCTTTAAGAAATTCATGGAACTTTCAGCAGTGATATTTACCACCAACAATGTAATCAAATGGGGCAGCAAGCAAAATGAGCTACTACTAATGCACCATGGAGCAGAGGAATTTTCTCTTGCGCTAACACCACAACAGACCCATTCTTTCATTTGGATTAGTATTCACTACTTGTGCTTAGTTGCTTGCAGTGGATACCCAATTTGTGAAGTGAGCTGAGGTATAATGCAGTATTGTATACTGGAACACAGGGGCTGCAAAAGCAGAACTCACTAACAAAGTCAAATGCCATGAACGTCACAATTGATGAAAACTGGCCATTTGAAAAATCTAGATATGATAAAATTGTTAAATTGATGAGGATGAAGATTGGATTATAGTATATATTCAGCATGCAAAAACAGATAATCAGGGAAAATGCAGTGACAGTCAAAGCAACTATGGAAACAATATCCATGGCAACAAATGGCCTGGTCGGAAGAGAGGCCCAAGGACTGCCTGTGTCTTCCTGATGAAATGTCTGGTAAGCCCCCTAGTGGCAATGACCGGGTAGTGGCCCTCTGCGAGATGGGCGCCTCTGGAGATTGAGCGCCACTTCTGAGGGCCTGGAGAAGTTGACTTGTTTTGCATCCCACGGGGTCACCCCCACCTCCCCCTTTCCTTGCACTCACTGACATGAGACACAACGTATGTCCACAAACAACTGCTGCTCCTCATTGCATCTAAAGCTCCGTTGCCGGAAAACATACCATTATTTCATGCAGCACTAAGAGGAAAACACAGCGGGTTAAACTATGACACGCCATTGATTGTAAGACGCATCCCTATTCAAGAGATGATAAATGGGAAAATAAATATATGTCTTACAACCTATAAAATATAAATGACTTTCGGCATTTATATTATATTACAGGGTGAGGTGGCTCACACCTGTAATCCCAGCACTTTGGGAGGCCGAGGCGAGTGGTTTGCTTGAGCTCAGGAGTTGGAGACCAGCTCGGATAACATAGCAAGACTCTGTATTTAAAAATATATATATATATATGTATATATATACACACACACATATATATAAATGACTTTCAGTGATTCATTTAACATTTTCAGATACTTGTTCCCTCACTTACAAACTAAACAACTAAACCATTAATTAATTAATTCACTCATTCTACTCACATTTATTAAGTGTGGATTATTGGACAAGCACACTGACGTCAACACTGAGGATACAGCAGTGAGCTGGTGTCCTGTCTTTAGGGGGCTTTTGTTACAGTGACTTGGTTTCTGATTATCTTTGTCACACTGAATCTGTGAGTCAGTGAGTCCGTGACCCTAAGTGAGTTTCAGAGTGAAAACAGACACCAGATAAGAAGCCAGAAAACCTGGGTTCTAGTCTAGTTCTTCCCCTTAATAGTTTATTTAATCTGTCTCAACCTTATTTTATCTACTTATAGTCTATCACGGTTAAATTGAGAAATAGTTATATTTTTCTCATAGCAGAGTCCTTCAAACAATACGCAATGACAATCAAAATAGCAAAGTAGCTGTGGAAACAGTGTCCATGGCGACCAATGGTCCCATCTTTTCTTTCTTTCTTTTTTTCTTTCTTTCTTTCTTTCTTTCTTTCTTTCTTTCTTTCTTTCTTTCCTTCTTTCTTCTTCTTTTTCTTTCTTTTTCAAGGTCTCTGAGTTTCAAGTCAAGCCTAAAAAAATTTTTTTTTAAGTTTTTTTAATTTGCTGGAATGCAGTGGCATGATCATGGCTCATAGAAGCCTTAATCTCACTGGCTCAAGTAGTCTTCCCACCTCAGCTTCCCAAATAGCTGGGATCATAGGCATGCACCACCATGCCCTGCTACGTTTTATTTTTATTTTTTCAATAAAGATTAGGTCTCACCATGTTGCCCAGGCTGGCCTTGAACTCCTGGACTCAAGGTATCTTCCAGCCTCAGCCTCCCAAAGTGCTGGGATTACAGGCATGAGCCACAGCACATGGACCTCATCTTTCTTTCATGTCACTAGATCAAGAAAGCTCCAGAGTTTTTCTTGTTCCCTTCAGGTGTCAAGCAATATCATTTTATGTATATAAACATCTAATTCAGAATAGTTTCACTCTTTTTTCCTATTGTCCTGCATAAAGCTTCCCCCTCCCCAGTGGACAGACTGCAATGGGCTGGCATCTGACATTTGTCTGCAGACCTCATGGTAGGAGACAGGCTGGTTTTCTGCCCTGGGAGTGGGAGTGTAGGAAAGGAGGAGGCACTGGGGACCTGTATCCCAGGTTTTCAGGGCAAGGCTGTGTAAGTATTTCCAGCAGACTAGTGTGAGGCATGCTAGGAAGTGAGCTGATGTGGAGCTGAGCTAATCCTGTCTGATGTGGCCACCTACAGGCATCAACAGGCCTCAGCAGAGAGAAGCTGAAGTGATTACTGCATTCCTATGAGCTGTGGGAGGAATAAATCGTGGAAAGAAATCCTCATTTGCAACTGTATGGCATTAGGGGTGAGGGGTCTCGGAAGAAGCACCCAAGGAGGAGGAATCCCCTGTAAGCACCTACCAGTCCCAGAGAATGCAAAGCCCTCTTGCAAACCGTGCCTGCTCCACGCCCCAGACCACTCCTTCCCCCAACCCTTCCCCATTCTACTCAACCTTGGAGGGTTAGAAACCACCATTAGCAAGACAGGAGAAGAAGGATAGATGCATAATGTTGAGGACCTGTTTCCCTATTTCTCATCTTCCCATCCTTGCAAAGCCCTTGCTGGAGGAAAGGAGACTTACCTTTGGAACTAAACGTTGAGTTTCTGAATTGGCATTGTGTTTGGTAATATAAAATAACTACAGGACCTAAGAGAGATCAGAACAGTCTTAGTACTGTCCATATTTTCATCTTGGAATGGGGAAAACTGGCTCCACTGAGCAAGTTAAGGACGTCATAGACTGATCTGTAGATGTTCAATGAAATCTGTAATTCAAGACTAAATAACGTATTCTTGGCTGGGCGCAGTGGCTCACGCCTGTAATCCCAGCACTTTGGGAGGCCGAGGAGGCGGGCGGAGGGCAGATCACCCGAGGGCAGGAGTTTGAGATCAGCCTGGCCAAAGTGGTGAAACCCCATCTCTATTAAAAATACAAAAATTAGCCAGGCGTGGTGGTGTGCACCTGTAATCTCAGCCACTCGGGAGGCTGAGGCAGGAGAATCACTTGAACCCACGAGACAGAGGTTACAGTGAGCCAAGATCATGCCACTGCACTCCAGCCTGGGCTACAAGAGCAAGACTCCGTCTCAAGGAAAAAAAACTAATTAATAATAATAACTTATTCTTGAGACACATGCGATGCAAGACAAGTATTTATTGCTAGGATCTCCTCAGGTAAGCTGTGCAGTAAGTCTGTGCTGTCCTACATGGTAGCCATTAGCCACATGTAGCAACTGAGCACATGAAGTGTGGCTAGTCCAAATACAAATGTGCTCTTAAGTGCAAGACACACATGAGATTTCAAAGACTTAGTACAAAAACAGTAAAATATCTCACTAATAATTTTTATGTTTATTACTTGTCAAAATCACAATATTTTGGATATGCTGTGTTAAATAAAATTTACTATTAGAATTAATTTCACCTGTTGTTTTTTTACCTTTTTGATGTGACTACTAGAACTTTGTAAATTACACGGAGCTCGCTTTCTGTGGACATGTAGTCTCTCTCACAGAGAAATACATGTATATTTCTGCTGGACATGTAGTCTCTCTCACAGGTCATAAGGCACTGAGGTCACAGGCCATAGGTTGGGATGTTTCTCCTCCAGAGAGTAGCTCATTCTCACTTTAAATCATCCTAAAGAACACAGGTACTGGTAGGTAGGTGGGCCGCAAGCTGGATTGAGTGGGGAAACTTCCTGCTGTCTTTGAACCAGAACAAGAACAGAGTTGGGAGCCTGTATTTTGCATAGTGAAGGCACACTCAAGGGAGCCACCTATCTTGGGGAGTTATGCTGGCCCCCAAAACTCAGAGCGTGCTAAAGGTGAGGCAGAGAAGCCTCCTGTAGGAAGTGCATACAGGGAGGGGCGTGGGCCTCTGAAATCTGAAAGCACCATGTCTCATTTCCAGTTTTAAGTGTACCTGGAATTCTCTTCTGTTATCCCTAGGTCTTTAGTGGAGCCTGATTAAACATGAGGCTGAGGGCAGCTGTGGGAGCTGAGGGTGGATTCTGTGCCCACTCGTGGCCCCCCCACTGGCCATGGCTTCCTCCCCAGCAGGCCTCGACAGCAGTCTCTGGAGCCTCTGGCCCAGCTTGCTGCGGGTCGCTGCTGTTCTCTTTGTGTCTCTTAGCCTGTGACTTCAATGCAGTCATCTCATTTCTGGGAATCTATCCAATTCTCAATTGTGTAAAAAGCTTTATAAACAAAAAAAGTGCATTACAGTTTACTATCTTAACAAAATATTGGAAGCAGCAGAAACATTTAGCAGGAAAAGCTATAAATTATAGACTATGTACTTTGTGCATCATTGGGGAGCCACTTAAGTGACTTTTATTAAAACTTATATTAACAAAGAAGACAATAGTGTCATAATAATTTATTTAAAAAGAATTAAAGGCCAGGCACAGTGGCTCATGCTGTAATCCCAGCACTTTGGGAGGCCGAGGCTGGCGGATCACTTGAGGTCATGGCGAAACCCCATCTCTACTAAAAATACAAAAATTAGCCAGGCGTGGTTGGTGGGTGCCTGTAATTCCAGCTACTTGGGAGGCTGAGGCACGAGAATCTCTTGAACCCGGCAGGCAGAGGTTGCAGTGAACAGAGATCACGCCACTTTACTCCATCCTGGGTGACAGAACTAGACTGTCTCAAAAATAAATAAATAAATAAATATAAGGAATTAAGGAACACACAATTATATATGTAATTGGTGACAATAAAATACAACCCCTCAAAAAGAACAAAAACAAAAACCTAAACAACAACAACCACCTAGGTATAAAGAAAAGACTAGAAAAAAATGTTTTAAAATGAAACCATAACTGTATTAGGGTTCTCCAGAGAAACAGAACTAAAACCTCTCTCTCTCTGTCTCTCTCTCTCTCTCATATAGATGAGAAGACACACTCAAAGGAGCTCATATAGGTGAGAGAGAGATTTTAAGGAATTGGCTCACACGATTGTGGAGATTGGCAAGTCCAAAATTTGCAGGGAAAACTGGCAGGCTTGGAGACAAAAGTTAATGTCACAGTTCAGGCCTAAAGGCAACCTGGAGGCAGAATTCCCTCTTCCTTGGGGGATGTCAGACCCACTCACATACGGGAGGGTAATTTGCTTTATTCAAAGTCCATCCATTTAAATGTTGATTTCATCTACAAAATACCTTAGTAGAAACATCTAGAATAATGTTTGACCAAATATTTGGGTACCATGGCTTAAGCATACTGACACATGAAATTAACCTTTGGCTGGGCACAGCAGCTCATCCCTGTAATCTCAGCACTTTGGGAGGTTTAGATGGGTGGATTGCTTGAGCCCAGGAGTTCAAGACCAGCCTGGGGAATATAGTGAGACTCTGTCCCTACAAAAAACAACGAGAAAAAATTAGCTAGGCATGGTGGCGAGTGCCTGTGGTCCCAGCTGCTCGGGAGGCTGAGGTGGGAGGATCTCTTGAGCCTGAGAAGTTGAGGCTGCAGTGAGCCGTGATTGTGCCACTGCACTCCAGCCCGAGTGACAGAGTAAGACCATGCCTCAAAAAATTAATTAATTCATTAAATTTAATAAATATTTTTAAAAATTAACTTTCACAATGATCTAAGGCTTACTACTTTAGGATTTGTTTTTGAAATACTTTTCTGTGTTTTCCAAAATACATAAAATAATAAAGATGTACTTATGATGGAAAAGGCCTGTGTAAACACATTTTAAAACACAGCCTCCTTGGGGTAGCCCCAGAGTCCCAGGGCTCTCCATGGCCCCTTGGACATCTTTCACAGCATTCCTCACCTCTGTCTTCTACCATTATTATGCATGTCTGAATATGTCTTCCTTTGCTAAACATCAAACAGAGTTTTAAGACTGGGATTCTAGAAAGTGAGAGAAGGCAGGCGCAGAGGAGGCAGTGGGAGCCTGCCTGAGGGCATTAACGTCAGTCCTGGGCTATGTGCTGGCTCCTCAGGACCGCCCTTCTGAGGGGCACAGACACGTGAGTGGAGGGAGCTCATGTTCCAGTTTCTTTGCAAAAATCAACTTGATAAAGTTTTTCCTGTTTTGTTAAAATTGCCTAAAATTTTTTAGCAATACTTCATTTGATTTTCTCTAATGGTTTCTGTCATTTCTTTGAGTTTTAATTTATTGCTCATGCTTTAACATCCCAGGTTATGTCTTGCTTAATTTAATGTCCATATAGTTGACCCTTGAGCAACATGGATTTGAACTGCATAGGTCCACTTAGGTCCACTTATGCATGGGTTATTTTCAATCAAATGCAGATCACAAACACAGTAATGGTGACATGTGAAACCCATGTATACAAAGGGCCAACTTTACATATATTTGGGACCCAAAGGGCTGACTGTGGAACTTGAATATGTGTAGGTTTTGGTATACACAGGAGTCTTGGAACCAATCCCCCTCATATACCAAGGGACTACTGTATATCTGCTTTATTTCTTTTTTTTTTTTTTTGAGATGGAGTCTCACTCTGTTGCCCAGGCTGGAGTGCAGTGGCGCCATCTCGGCTCACTGCAACCTCCGGCTCCCGGGTTCAAGTGATTCTCCTGCCTCAGACTCTCAAGCATCTGGGACTCCAGTCACCCGCCACGCCCAGCTAATTTTTTGTATTTTTAGTAGAGACGGGGATTCACCATGTCGGCCAGGTTGATCTCCAACTCCTGACCTCAAGTGATCCGCCAGCCTCAGCCTCCCAAAGTGCTGGGATTACAGTCGTGAGCCACGGTGGCCAGTCTCATTACCATTTGTTAAGAACTCATTTGGGCAGGCAACAGGTATACATCGCCTCATGAAAACTGAGTCACTCAGCCTGTGCTCCCACCTGGACAGAACACCATGCAGCCTCTGCTTAGAGATGCTCCACAGGAGCCAGTGTGGAAACACCAGGGCCAGGCATCCTTTAGAAAACCATTTTGGGATTGCTCCAGCTCATGAACCAGCAGTTAACTGAGTCACCAGCCATATCATAAAGCATGACTACAACTACGCAGGCCTGGTCCCTAACCCCATGTTGTTACAGCAAAATATAACCCATTCTTATTTCAGAAAAAAAAAAAAAAGCTAGATGTGATGGCACATGCCTGTAGTCCTGGCTACTTGGGGGGCTGAGTCAGAGGATCAGTTGAGCCCAGGAGTTCAAGGTCACAGTCAGCTGATTGCACCACTGCACCCCAGCCTGGGCAACAGAGGGAGACCATCTCTAAATAAAATAAGACAAAAACAACAACAAAAAAAAAACAGAAGAAGAAAATATACCAAAATGTTAACAATGTCTTCTATCTTTATTTATTGGGGTTAGAAATTACTTTTGTTTTCTTATATTATGTATATTTTATTTCAAACCTGATAATTTTTTTTTTCCTTTTTGAGACAGGATCTCGCTCTGTTGCCCAGGGTGGAGGGCAGTGGTGCGATCTCGGCTCATTGCAGCCTCAGTCTCCCAGGCTCAGGCAATCCTCCCACCTCACCTCCCTGAGTAGCTGGGGCTACAAGAACACGCCACCATGCCTGGCTAATTTTGTTCGCTTTTTGTAGAGATGGAGATCTCACTACGTTGTCCAGGCTGGTTGCAAACTCCTGGACTCAAGCCCTCCTGCCTCGGCCTCCCAAAGTGCTGGGATTACAGGCGTGAGCCACCATGTCCAGCCAATGTTATTTAATTTATTTATTTTTATTTATTTATTTTTTTGAGACAGGGTCTCATTCTGTTGTCCAGACTAGAGTGCAGTGGTGCAATCATGGCTTATCGCAACCTCAACTTCCCTGGGCTGAGGTGATCCTCCTACTTTAGCCTCCCAAGCAGCTGGGACTACAGGTGTGAGCCACCACACCTGGCTAATTTTTGTATTTTTTGTAGAGATGGGGGTCTTACTATGTTGCTCAGGCTGGTCTTGAACTCCTGGACTCAAGTTATCCTCCCACCTCGGTGTCCCAAAGTGCCGGTATTACAGATGTGAGCCACCATGTCCAGCCTTATTTTTAAAAGAAGGAGAAAATTATTGAGTAAGAGAGTCTCTCTGCAGTTCTTAAGATTGCTGTCAGAACCACCTCAATACTCTTTCTGCAGTCTGTGCTTTGAGCAGCAATATAAAAATGCAGCATTTTATGAGCATTAATAGCAGGGAATGTAAATTAGCCTATTTGTTTTGGCTCTGCTTTGCTTCTGATCATTAGAGGCCAGCAAAAATAGAATGAGAACTGCAAACTCCCTCTTGTTCCCGGAAGATCTCTCCACAGCATGGCATATCAGTCAGATTTCTGGGCTGTCTCATCTCCGTCTCCGTAAGAAAGGATCTTGTTGGAAATACATTGAGGCATACACTGAAGCAGAGGCCCCATTGCCACCTGGGCAGAGGCAAGCCAGAGAAAACAGAGGGAAATGAAAAGAAAGACTTCCTGATATTCACTTCTACATACTGCCAGCTAAGCTGCGCTGGGTACCCAGAGCCCACCCACCACATCTACACCACAAATTCAACTGGGACTTCGGGCTTTTTTTTTTTTTTTTTTGAGTCTGAGTTTTGCTCTTGGTTCCCAGGCTGGAGTACAGTGGCAGGATCTTGGCTCACCACAACCTCCACCTCCTGGGTTCAAGTGATTCTCCTGCCTCAGCCTTCCTGAGTAGCTGGGATTACAGGCATGCACCACTACGGCTGGCTAAGTTTTTTGTTTTTTTTTTTTTAGTATAGACGGGGTTTCTCCATGTTGGTTAGGCTGGTCTTGAACTCCTAACCTCAGATGATCCGCCCACCTTGGCCTCCCAAAGTGCTGGGATTACAGGCCTGAGCCACTGTGCCTGGCCGGGCCTTCAGGCTTTATGTAGCTGATTGAACACAACCATCTCTGCTCCCAGCAGAAATCCCACCAAAATGTGATAAAGGGGTTTTAAAAGGCAAGGACTGACAAGAACAAAAGCGGGAGGAGAGGAGAGAGAGAGAGAGAGAGAGAGAGAGAGAGAGAGAGAGAGAGAGAAACTGACTACACAATCTAAATAAATAGAGAATAATGATCTGGATAACAAATAGACAAAGGTCTTAGCAGATAAGAGAAATTTAAAGGTAAAATGTCAGTGGGAGAATCCCAGAAGCAGGCTGATTTCACATAGCAGAACCCCAGTAAGGAATGGAGAAACGAAGTATCCCAAACGTGAGTGTGCAAGAGGCCTGGAACCAGAGGCTGATGGTCTATGTAAGAAGCCACTAGAACCCTAGATCTCCTAACTCAACGCACATGGCAGAGTGACCCCCTATATTCCACCCTAATGAGTGGTTTGCTCGCTGGAGGCGTTGAACCATGCCACATCCTGGGAACCACAATGAAAATCATTTAAGGCTGGGCGTGATAGCTCATGCTTATAATCCTAGCACTTTGGGAGGCCAAGGCAGGAGGATCACTTGAGTCCAGAAATTCAAGACCAGCCTAGGCAACAGAGCAAGATCCCCAGCTCTACCAAAAAAAAAAAATTACCTATATATATATATAGCCTATGGCCTTCTGGCTTTATGTGGCCAGAAGAAAACAAAATAAAATAATTTAAAAAATAGAAAATAAGTAATAATAAAAGAAATAAAATAAGAGAAGCAATAAAAGAAAAGAAAAAGTCATTTAGGATTATGTAAAAGCCTGCCTATCGAACAGTAAGGCTTCCTGGTCCCCTCCATGAAGTTGGTTCTGAGAACTCCAGCAGCCAGACTTGCCCCAGGCCGATTAATAGAGAAACCTTCTCTGGAGAAACTGACCAGACAAGGAAAAACACCTAGGAACACAGGAGTAAGGGGGTTCTGACGGATATTAAGCTACTGTCACTTGACTTCAAAACCCTCTTCCACTCTCTCCTTCCCAGCTGGCTCCCTCTTAGGTGTAGAGGGAGGTGTCAGCACTGGAGGAAGAAGGGATCCCTTCCCTTGTTGGCCTCCCAATCCTGCCGGCATCACCACAGCCGAGGATCTTCAGCCCTGTAGCAACAGCTGGTCCAGCAGCAGTAGCAAGTCCCAAACTGTGGTTCTTCCTCACTCCCGGCAAAGGCCTCTTCCCGTGGCCTCAGTGATACCAGCTCACTGGCCAGGCTCCTCCTTAGGAAACTGAGTTCTAGCTCCGTGGGGCCATCCTCCCAGATTCTCCCATTGAATAATACTGACCTCTTCCCTCAGTTCCCCAAGACTGAGGGAGAGGCAGTTGCCCCATTCCTGATTCCCACGCGTTCTACCTCTGCGGTATCTCAGTGCTCTTTTTGTCTTTTTAGATCTCAATATGTGGTTAACAATCCTTTATATAAAATTACCTCTGTCTGGGCGCGGAGGCTCACGCTTGCAATCCCAGCACTTTGGGAGGCCGAGGCAGGTGGATCACCTGAGGTCAGGAGTTTGAGACCACCCTGGCCAATATGGTGAAACCCTGTCTCTACTAAAAATACAAAACTTAGCTGGGTGTGGTGGCAGGTGCCTGTAATCCCACTACTTGGGAGGCTGAGGCAGGAGAATCATTTGAACCCGGGAGACCGAGGTTGCAGTGAGCCGAGATTGTGCCACTGCACTCCAGCCTGGGCAACAGAGTGAAATTCCTTTTCAAATAGAATAAAATAAAACAAAATTACCTCTGTTTAAATATTTGGATTTTTTTCTTTCACCTGACTAGACCCTAATACAAGGGTCTTCTGGAGAAACAGTTCAGCCCATTTGCACTATGGTGAAGCCCACTGAAACTTCCCCCCATCCCCACCACACACACCTGGAGTTTCCAAACAGCTTAAGATCTAACTAAGCCAAGGATTACTGTATCATTCACAAAGCCCAAGCCCCAATTTGAGCAGAGAAAGTTTATTATTAGAAAGAATTATTGGCTGTAACAGGCTAAAAAGACGTGCAGAGAACTCCAAAGAATGCTGTAGGGCCGCGGGAGAGTACCCAAAGAAGGACACACGTGGAAGCATCCCCACCCCAAAGCTGGATTCAGAACTCAAGGCAGAAAGTGTGCATGTGCCCACCAGGTACCAGATTATTTCCCTGGGATGCCCAGGCCAAAGCCTGTGCACAGTCATGAGCAAGCAGGAAACTGGGGGGGTCGCGGCATCGGGAGCCCACTCACTGCATGCAAGGCCTGGGGCATGCAGGGTCCACGTCAGGGCCAGCTCGCTGGGGGAACGCATGCTGTCAGCACGCAGCTAGGACAGAGACCACCGGATGTTCCCACCTGGCCACTGATGGGCCCTGCCGCAGGAGCAACAAGAATCACAAACCATAGCTCCCGGAACCAGAGATAAAAGAAATTCTTTCCTCTGGCAGTGTCCCTCCGGCGCCCTCTACTGAGAAAGCTTAATATTGTGCTGGCTGCGAAGGAGAACCGCTTAATTCAATACAGATCAGTTAAGAGGATGGATTTACGGTTGAGAGGCAATACATTGATAAGAAACTAGTCATTATGGGATGAAAACCACTGACATGAAAGACAGGTATTGAAAACACAAGAATTAAGGAATATAAAGCCAGGCGCGGTGGCTCACGCCTGTAATCTCAGTGCCTTCGCAAGCCAAGCTGGGCGGATCGCTTGAGCCCAAGAGTTCAAGAACAGCCTGAGCAAAATGGCGAGATTCTGTGTCTACAAAAAGTACAAAAATTAGCCGGGCGCGGTGGCGTGCACCTGTAGTCTCAGCTGCTCAGGAGGCTGAGATGGGAGGATCACTTGAGTCCGGGAGGTCGAGGCTTCATTGAGCTGTGATTAAGCCATTGCCCTGGACCACAACAGAGAGACCCTGTCAAAAAAAAAAAAAAAAAGAAGAAGAAGAGGAAATTTAGAGAATGCAAAGAGCCAAACAATAAAATCCACTGCAATTAATATTTTCATAAACATAAGAGACGATATTTTCTCCATGGTAAAAGAACACATTATTAAATAAAAAATTTAAAGTTGAAGAAATCTTCTAAAAAGAAGCAAAGGATAAAGAAATGTAGATGGGACCGGGCACAGTAGCTCAGGCCTGTAATCCCAGCACTTTGAGATGCGGAAGTGGGTGGATCACTTGAGATTAGGAGTTCGAGACCAGCCTTGCCAACATAGTGAAACCCCATCTCTACTAAAAATACAAAAATTAGCCAGGCGTGGTGGCATACGCCTGTAATCCCAGCTACTTGGGAGGCTAAGGCAGGAGAATCGCTTGAACCCGAGAGAGATGGAGGTTGGAGTGAGCCGAGATAGTGCCACTACACTCCAACCTGGGTGACTCCATCTCAAAAGAAAAAAAAAAGGAAAAGAAATGTAGATGGTATAGAAAATATATGAAAATTAGATCATCTGGATGAATAGGAGGATTTCTAGAAAGAATAGACAGAGGGAACAGAAGGGATGAAATTATCAAAGAAATAATTCAAGAACTTTTCTCAGAACTGAGAGATATGGTTCCCAAGTGAGATAGACCTCAAGTGTCTAACAGAAGTGTCTAACAAAAGGAATGAAATCCAAGGCATAGTACCATAATTTTAAAAATACTGAGGACAAAAAGAAAAATCCCAAAATTGGACAAAAAGAAAAAAACAGGTCACATAAAAAAGATCAAAACTCAAATGGTATAGGGCTTTCTCTTTTTTTCTTTCTCTTTTCCTTTTTTTTTTTTTTTTTTGAGACAGGATCTCACTCTGTCACCCAGGCTGGAGCGTAGTGATACAATCATGGATCACTGCAGCCTTGAACTCCTGGGCTCAAGGGATCGTCCCCTCTCAGCCTTCTGAAAACTACAGACACGTACCACCATGCCCAGCTAATTTTTAAATTTAATTTTATTTTTTGTAGAGACGAAATCTTACTACGTTGCCCAGGCTGGTCTTGAACTCCTGGGCTCAAGCAATCCTCCCACTTTGGCTTCCCAAAGTGCTGGTATTACAGGTGCACACCATAACACCTAGCTGAGGACTTTTCAACAGTAGCACTGGAAGCTGGAAGATAGTGGAGCAGTGCTTTCCTAATTTAGGTGTAAATTTTACAACTTGGAATTTTATTTTCAGTAAAACTATTAATCAGATGTAATCATAATATAAAAGACATTTTCAGACAAAATTTCAAAAATTGCCCTCCCTTGCCCCTTTCCTTAGGAAGTTCCATCAAAGTAAGGGATTAGATCAGGAGAGATAAAGATGTGGGATCCTCCAAAGAGTGAGGAGAATGAAAATCCCAGGAGGTTGCTGTGTAGGAGAACTAGGGATCCGCAGGTCCAGATTAAAATGGTTTGGAGGCCGGGCATGGTGGCTCCTGCTTGTAATCCCAGCACTTTGTGAAGCCAAGGCGGGTGGATCACCTGAGGCTAGGAGTTTGAGACCAGCCCGGCCAACATAGTGAAACCCCGCCTCTACCAAAAACACACAAAAGAATTAGCTGGGCATGGTGGCACATGCCTGTAATTCCAACTACTCAAGAGGCGGAGGCAGAGAATTTCTTGAACCCAGAAGGCAGAAGTTGCAGTGAGCCAAGATTTCACCACTGCACTTCTGCCTGGGTGACAGAGTGGATCTCAAAAAGAAAAAAGAAAAAAAAAAAAAAGGCTTGGGGCCAAAACCTCAGGGATTAAGAAAATTCCTTTACCTGGTTACAGAAAGATATTACCAAGAAAAAGAGGGAATTGATTAATTGTAATACATTAGACTGCAGAGAAAAAATAGACTTCTATAGAATCTGCTGACAAATTTGTGATAAATTCATAGACAAATGATCAAAAGAAAACCTAGTAGATCTGTATAGTTCTGGATATCATTCCATAAAGCCCAGCTTAGAACCTGTGCCCTCAGCCCTTATAAAGATTTCACAAGCTCTTAATACCCTTTGTAAAATGTCTTCCTGTTAATTTACCTAGCGTAATCTCTAGTTGCTGCACTGAACCCTGACTGATATAACTTGTTATTAAGAAACGGGAAGATAAAAACTAATTGAGCATCGAAGTGCTTTTACTTCTAGGAAGAGAGAATTAGGGGTTGGTACCGGACTATAGCTTTTGTTCTGTCTTTGGCTTTTTAAATTACATATCTGTAATTTATATACACACACATATATATTTGGCTTTTAAAATTACATATCTGTATAAATCTGATAAAAATTTTAAATAGTTAAATAAAAACTTATTTAGGAGATAATATATTAGAATACTAAGATGAGTGCTGAGTTTAAAAAACAAAGAGGCCAGGAGCGGTGGCTCACACCTGTAATCCCAGCATTTTGGGAGGCCAAGGTGGGTGGATCACCTGAGGTCAGGAGTTTGAGACCAGCCTGACCAACATGGTGAAACCCTGTCTCTACTAAAAATACAAAAAAATCAGCTGGGGATGGTGGCAGGTGCCTGGGTAACAGAGTGAGACTCCGTCTAAAAATGAAAGTGGCATCTGATACAGAGAAGATTAGCATGGCCCCTGCTCAAGGATGACACACAAATTTGTGAAGGGTTCCATTTAAAAAAAAAAAAAAGTCTGAGCGAGGTGGCTCAGTCCTGTAATCCCAGCACTTCGGGAGGCCAAGGCGGGAGGATCACTTGAGGTCAGGGGTTCAAGTCCAGCCTGGCCAACATGGCGAAACTCCGTCTGTACTAAAGTACAGAAAAATTAGCTGGGCATGGTGGTGCATGCCTGTAGTCCCAGCCCCAGCTACTCCGGAGGCTGAGGCAGCAGAATTGCTTGAACTCAGGAGGCGGAGGTTGCAGTGAGCTGAGATCATGCCATTGCACTCCAGCCTGGGCAAGAAGAGCAAAATTCCATCTCAAAAAAAAAAAAAGGGCATCTGAATATATACAATTACAATGTCAATAAAAATAGATAAATGAATAAATACAGTTAGTCTTTTTTTTTTAATGGCATCTGGACATTCCTACATTCTGGAAGATTTACAAATACATAGTGGGGATACCTCTCATAAATGTATAAGCCTCTCAGTTTTTCCTTCCAATGCATTGCAGATTGTCTTTATTTAGCCCTTTCCCCTGGGAACCTGAGACTGAGAGCAGTGCAAGCTATGCTTTTTTTGTAAACACAGCACCTCACATTTCTAGAAGACAACCCTAAGTAAACTTCAGGGCCCTACGTCGGTCACCATTCCATCTGCTCTTCTCTGCTCTGATTCTTCCTATCCCTCAGAAACCCAAGGCCTCCTTAGCCAAACGGAGCTGCTGTGGTCGCAAATAGCCTTGTGCCCCTGGGAACCTGTGAGATGCAATATGTCGTCAGTCTCCCTCAATCTTGGCCTGAGTCCAAGAGAAAGGCAGCTGCTCTGAGGTTCGAGACTCTCCAGTGACTCAGCTCTCTAATTCCCAGTACTCTGTGCATATGCCCTCCTCAATTCCATCTCCTAGACTTGCCAGATGTAGGTCGAGTCCTCAAAGA